>NC_000001.11:116826562-117129592 GCF_000001405.40 Homo sapiens | reverse complement strand
CAGCACGAAACTCAATCTCTAAAATGTGCCATTTTCTTACTGTTACTCATTTTACTTATGAATATTTTATATGGAAGATAAATTTATGTAAAAATAATATAATCACAACACATTTATCCACATTTTAAAAATAAAATACATTAACAGAATGTAGCAGGTAATTTTTAAAACATGTATTTCAAACAACATTAATATTGAGCTCTGTTATGTAATAAACATAAACAAGGGAGTTCAGAGAAACAGATGAATAAAGTGTAAATGTCTAAGAACCGCTTATATTTATATCAGACCAACTAAGATTGGGTGCAGCTTCCTGTCTTACTACATCAACTACAGATTGTTTGGGGTCATGACAGACAATCGATCAGACAACTAGGAGTCAATTGAGAAGAGCTAAGGAGTCTGTCTTGGATAAAACAGTACAGAATTTTTTTCTAAAAGGATAGTTGTTAATAATGGAACTGATATCTTGTGTACTTCTAGTTTGACCTAAAAGCAGTTACACAAGGAGAGTTCCAAAGCTCACATTATTCTAGCTGTTTCCTTCTTACCTTCTCAAAGTTGAAGAGTTGCCCATTTTCACAAAATGTCAATGATAAGGGACTATTTATACTTGTTAGATCTCACAACTAGAGTCTTCTCGGGTAGAGTGAACTTTTAGATAAAAATAAAAACACCCAGCATGCAGTGTGCCCTGGAGTCTATGCAACCTAGCCCTCTCTTCTCTGTCCGTCTTGGTTCAAAATAAATAAAATAGAACAAAGGAAGCTGAGTTTTATTCATAGTATAGCGTTTTTATTGAGCTGTTTCCACTAGATGGCACTAAAGATTCTGTGTTTCAGGAATCAGGCCCTTTTAAAAAAGAAAATCAGAAGACAAAAATGATCTGTCTGAAATAAACAATAAATTTCTCCAGTCATCTGTCCTAATGATCAGTTTCTTAGAAATGAAACATGAATCTTGGCCATTTATTCACTATCAAACATTTATTAAACCATATTAAGTTTCAGACACTGTGCCCAGTATTAAGGATGCAGAAACAGGACAAGGTCCCTTGTGCTTAAGAGTTCCCAGTGTGGAAGAGGAGGGGAACAGTGAGAACAGAGGGCTGAATCAGACAAGCGAGTAGAAAATTGAAATGCAGAATGTTAAAGACTTGATAGAGATCATCACAGTACCACGGGTAACACACAGAGGGATGCCTAATGAAGACTTGGTGAATGGAGGATTCCTAAAGAAGTTGATGTCTAAACTGAGCTTTGAAGAATGGGTTGGAATTCATTAGGCAAAGAAGAGTGGGCAGAGTGTCCGAAGCAGAATAAGTAGTAGCTTGTATAATCATAAAAGAAGGCTGAAGCCCAGTGTGCATGCTTGGGTTTGGATGGGGCAGTGCAAGAAATGAGGTTGACTGGGCTGGCAGAGGCAGGGTCATGGGAAACCATATATACATATGAGATTATATATATCACTCTAAGACATATGGAGTTTTATCCTGAAGGCACCTCCTACTCCTCTCCCCCTAGTTCATTCTGATTTTGTCACACTGGCCTCCTCACTGTTGCTCAAACATGAGTAGGCACATTCCTCTCTCAGCAAGCACTAACTCTTCCCTCATCTGAACTACCTTTTCCCCATGGGTCCCTCCTTCACCTTTAAGTGTTTGCTCAAATATCACCTTCTCAATAATACTTATCCTGACCACTCCAGTTATATTGCAACACCCTCATCCTGCACTGGATGCTCCTCACTCTGCTTAATTTTTCTCCATAGCATTCTCACATTCTAACATACTGTATAGTTTCTGCAGTTATTATATTTATTCTTTTTTTTTTTTTTTTTGAGACAGAATCTCGCTTTGTCACCCAAGCTGGAGTACAGTGGTATGATCTCCGCTCACTGCAGCCTCCGTCTCCCGGGCTCAAGTGATTCTCCTGCCTCAGCATCCCGAGTAGCTGGGATTACAAACATGCACTACCATGCCCAGCTAATTTTTGTATTTTTAGTAGAGACGGAGTTTCGCCATGTTGGCCAGTGATCTCAAGTGATTCGCCCACCTCAGTCTCCCAAAGTTCTGGGATTACAGGCATGAGCCACCGTGCCCAGCATATTTATTGTTTATTGGCTGCTTTCCCCTACTAGAAGGTAAGTTCCACGAGAGCAGGAATTTTTGCTTGTTTTAACAATACATCTCTGGTGCCTGGCACATAGTCAAAAGTCCTTGCTGTCAAGGAACTTATTATTTTAGTAGGGAGTAAGTTGTGAAGACATTTGGGAAAATCATATTCCAGGTACTCAAAGGATATTAAATGAGTAAACATAGGCATGGAAGAGCTACCAAAGAGCATGATCAAACTGGAATTGCAAAAAGATCCCTAACAGGATTATAGAGAATGAATTGAAAACAGGGAGTGAATTCAGAGATGATGGAGGTAATAATATAGTAAAAAGAGCCCCCATGTAACAAGTGGGCTCATGGTTTATAAATCACCTCCAAATCCCACATCAATCAAGGGAGGATGAAAAGGTTAAAAAAGAAGAAGAAGAAGAAGAAAGAAGAAAAGAAGAAGAAGAAGAAGAAGAAGAAGAAGAAGAAGAAGAAGAGGAGGAGGAGGAGGAGGAGGAAGACGAGGAAGAGGAAGAAGAAGCCACCAGCGTAGTGGCTCATGCCTGTAATCCCAGCACTTTGGGAGGCCAAGGCAGGTGGATCACCAGAGGTTGGGAGTTCAAGAC
Source organism: Homo sapiens (assembly GCF_000001405.40). NCBI lineage: Eukaryota > Metazoa > Chordata > Mammalia > Primates > Hominidae > Homo > Homo sapiens. Next base: position 117,126,862 of record NC_000001.11, on the reverse strand, counting down.
CACCCTGACCAACATAGTGAAGCAGTGTCCTGTAGAGAAAAAGAGAAGTGGTCAGAGCGGCAGGAGGTAGAAGAAAAATCAAGAATAGCATATGGTAACTGAGGAAGAAGAAAGTTTCAAGAAGAAAGTTGTCAGTGTCAGACCAGGCGCAGTGGCTAATGCCTATAATCCGAGCACTTTGGAAGGCTAAGGCTGGAGGATCACTTGAGCCCAGGAGTTCAAGACTAGCCTGGGCAACATGGTGAGACCTCATTGCTACAAAAATAAAAATATTAGCTGGGCATAGTGGCACACACATATAATCCCAGCTACTTGGGAAGCTAAGGTGGGAGGATCGCTTGAGTCCAGGAGATTGAGGCTGCAGTGAGCTGTGATCACACCACTGCACTGCAGCCTGGGCAATAGAGTGAGACCCTGTCTCAAACAAGAAAAACAAACTGAAACAAAAAACTGTCAGTGTTAAAAGCTATAGTGAATTCAGTTAGTTAAAAACTGAAAAGTATCCAATGGATTTAGCAAATATGAAATTATTGGTAACTTTGGCAAAGGCAAGTTCAGAGGAATGGTGAGAGCAAATGCCAGATTGCGCTGTGTTTAGGAGTAAAATGCAAGGGAAGAAGAGATGCAAATGTAGACTATTCTTGTCAAGCAGCTTGGCTATAAAGAAGTAGAGAGGGATTGGGAGCTAGAGAGGGGCATAGGGTAGAAGGAGAGACTGAAGCATGGACATGAGCGGAAAGAAAGATCCACCAGAAAGAAGATAAAGACAGAAGAGAGAGGAGGCAGGCAGGGCTGAACTTCAGAGCACAGGTCCCAGGAGAAAGGAGTCTCCTTCCTTTGAAGGAAAGAAGGAAGGATGGTGACAGAGACAGATGGAATGGTGAAAGATAAGTCTGACAGAACTCTCTGGTCCCTTTCCATATATCCACTCAATGTCTGATGGTAATGATCAAGCATAGTGCCCAAACCAGCCTTGCCTGATTTCCTGATGGGTCATTCTCCCTTCCTGGCTTTCTTGCCTTCAATATCTTCCCTGTCTTGGGCAAACAGGTGTGGGCTGAAAGTCTTGTAGACACTTTCATGAACGCTGGTCACTTTCATCAGTCCTGTTCCTCTCATCCCATGACTATTGCTTCCCCAGACAGATGAAGCAATGTGTGAGCATGGAAGAAGACACCGAACTAATTCTGAGAAAGGAGCATCCTTAACAAATCCTCTCTCGTCCTGTGATGTCACCCCATATCACTTATGGTCTGCACTATCCATAAAACTCTTGGTTGAAGGTGGTCCTGTTTGTCCTCCCATTACTTGAGATCACCATTCTCTCCTTCATCAATAACAGGTCTTTATTAAATGACTACTGTCTAGGTTGCCAAGATTTTCCATCTTAACAGAGAGAGTATACATGTATGTATGTGATATATATAGTGTGTAAATATATACACATATGTAAATATATACACATGCATATATATACACACATAATAAATAAAAACAATACCACAAGGTAGCACAAACTGCAAAGTGAATAATATAGGCAAAACAGCATTAGGCTTGAATCTGGAGCCCTGAAATAAGAGAAAGCTTCAAGGGGGTAGTGTGAAGTAGGGCTTTCATAGAAGGAAGGGTAGGTTTAAATAATAAAGGAAGGAGAATGTTGCCGACAACTTGGCAAACACCAAGAAACGTGCTTGGCAATGTTTAGGGAATAACTAAACAAGCAGTTTTATGAATCTATTGAAGAATGCAGATATTATCCTACAAAAATGGGGAGCTACTGAAAGTTTTAGAATGAAGACTGACTTGTATCATGTTTTTATATGTTTTTACAATTAATTTGGAAGAACTGTGTAGATCAAAAAAAATAAAGGGCAGGGATAATTCAGACACTATTGTAATACTTAAGGTGAGGGTGATAAAGAGCTATAGCATCTTAAAAAGTGTATGCAGTGAGGTGTTGGCAGTGGGGATGGAAAGAAATCGGTGTCTGCCTGGATATGGAACAAGAGAAAGGAGGCCAGCAGCACTATAAGGTTTCATGCAGGAGGGAAAGGAGAATGATGATACTCTGGAGAGAATCAAATAGGAAAATTCAGAGAGTGCAGTTCAGTGAGCAAAGAAGTTCAGTGAAGTTTAAGCTATGTGGGACTTGGTGATAGGAACATATTTGAGTGCAGATTTAGAAATCTATGTCAAAAGCTCAGGGGAGACATCAGTACTGGAAGCGTTGGTCTGGGAATCATCCACGTGAGGAAATGTAGACGCAAAGGTAGGAGATAAAGTGGAGGAAGGGGAACTAGTGAGGATGGAGGGTGTGAGAAGCAGCCCAAGAGACAGAAGGTTAGGAGAGTAGAGTATTTCAGAAGTCAAGGAGGAGGCAAGTTTTAAGGATGAGGAAGTACAAAAAATGGTAAATACTAAAGAGATTGCCTATTGAGAAAAGGCCAGCAATATGGTCACTCATGATCTACAAGAAAGTCTCAATAGGAAAGAGGGGAGGAATAAATCGGTGGTGATGGTTATAAAAAGATGATGAAAGCAGACAGTGAGACCACCCTTTTGAGAAATATAGGGGCGAGAACCACCACTATTAATACGTTGAAGGGGAGCTAGATCAAAAGACGATTTGCTTCCCCTTTCAGGACTTCATCAGAACTCTTGGCAGAAAAACTGACTGAAACATAGGAATAAGGTTTTGAGGAAGCAGGAGAGGTTGGGATAAAAAACAAAAATCTTGAGGAACTAATCTTGGCACTAAAGAATGGCAGTCAGGAGAGGTAAGAGAGGAGGTGTGAGGAATCATGGATTTTTTAAGTAGAAAGGCGAGGCAGTTCTTCAGACAACCTTGTTTTTCTCATCAATGGAAGGGAATTAGCTGCAGCATGTGTGAGGGATTTGATGCTTAATAAACTGAGAAAGGAAAGGTAGAGGTGGCCAGGCGCGGTGGCTCACGCCTGTAATCCCAGCGCTTTGGGAGGCCGAGGCGGGTGGATCACCTGAGGTCAGGAGTTCGAGAGGAGCCTGCCCAACATGGTGAAATCCAGTCTCTACTAAAAATACAAAAAATTAGCCAGGTGTGGTGGTGCATGCCTGTAATTCCAGCTACCTGGGAGGCTGAGGCAGGAGAATCGCTTGAACCCTGGAGGTGGAGGTTGCAGTGTGCCGAGATCCTGCCATTGCATTCCGGCCTAGGCAACAAGAGCAAAACTCAATCTCAAAAAAAGAAAAAAAAAAAAAGGGAAAGGTAGAGGTAGCCCGAATATAATCTTAGATATGGCATCATAAGGTTGTGTTCAAGTTCCAGATATGTTAACTTGGGCTGGCCATCCAAGACCTGGCAAGACCTCTTTGAGGCCATTTCCTTACAATATTGTTAAAGGTTAAATGAGATACTGCTAAATGAGATATTGCACGTGTAAATTATGAAGTACTTCTGAAACAAGAGAAGCTTGAAACTACTACCACAAGAAATGTGATACAGTATGAACAAGAGATGAAGTAAAGCACAGCCAAGCAGCAGGGAGGGTAAAGGTGAAGTTCAAAGCAAGAATATATAGCAAACCCAAGTCCACACAGTTTTTGTGACTTCCTCCAGCCTACTGGAGAGGCGAATGCCGATTTTGAGAGTAGATGCAAGAAGGACAAGAGGCTGAAAAAAATCTAGGTAAGGACTATTTAAAAATCTTTGGAGATATGCTTAACATTTGGAAATTACTTGCACATTTTATATAAAGGTGGCATTTGACTCATTGGCGTGTTATATTTTGGAAATGGCCAAACATTTCATTTTTATATTTTATAATGGTTTTTTTTTTTTTTTTCATATTTTGGGGTTAACTTTTTTTCAGATTCCATACTTTTAAAAGCTTAGGCTCCAGACACTATGCCTATAGCATGAAACAGATAATGAAGGAATCAAGTGAAACAGTCGCCCACTGGGTACAAATTAAGTAGGGAAGGTCATGAACAAAGAAAGCAGTGAGGGCCCAGTAGACAAGCTGACGCAACTGGAGATAACAACAGGTGGAGGGGAAAGGAGCAGCTGTTTCCATTTTTGGAATTTTGGAGAATCAGGAGACGCCTGGTAAGGCCAGAGAAGGTGGCCGTGTAATTATAAAGTTAAAGGGGTCGGACGTGTTCATCTTCCCAATTAGTTTTAAGCCCACAAAGGGCTTGTCCCTCATTGCCACCGTCCATTGTCTCACTGTGACCAGGCAGGAGCCCTCCGTGATTGACTGATAAAAACAGCGGGTCCAACTCGCTCAGCTCGTTTCTGTTACACAGGACTGTGGAATCCCGGGTGACATTCAACTCCTTAGGTCATCTGCACTCCCCCCGGACCGGAAAACAAAGCCTTCCCGAGCCCGACAAGGAGGGTGGCGCTCCCTGGCCCGGCCGAAGTAAGCCCTCCATTCGACACCTCGGCTCCACGGTCTCCCGAACCGGTCCCCGTAACGCGAGCCTGAGATGCCCTCACCCCCGAAAAATACCCAAAGTCGGGGAGCCGCGGGAGTGCTTGTACCCAGCACGCTAGGCCTGAGGGACCTGTGAGCTACAGTAAGCGCCTGAGGACAGAGGGGAGCCTCGCAGCCTCAAACCCGCGTGGAGGAGAAACGTCTGGCGCCCCCGAGCGGCCGAGACCTCGGGAGCCCGAAAAACGTCTCCCACTCCCAGCGCAGAGCCAACTGACAGTGCCATCCACCAATGGGAGAACCCAGTCTGCGTTCGTGGGACGAGTCCGAGGGCAGAAAGAAGGCCGTCCCGGCGCCAAATCAGCGTGGCTTTTTAAGAGGTCCTGAGGCCTCTCTGGTCACCACAGAGAGAGGGACAGTCCCTGTGAAACGGTGACGCTGACTACACTATGCCGCTCGCTCCGAGCCTTGGCCTTTTCCTCCCGCCGCACTCTAAGCCCTTCGGCCGCCCCGCCCACGGCCTTGTCAGGTCCCGCCCCCCGCGTGAGTGGACTGGCGAAGATGTGGAATTTCCAAAACTTATTGGATGCTTAGTGGCGTCACTCTGGAGGGCGGCGGGGCCCGGAGCGGCGAGGGCCGCCGCTCTCGGACGGTGATTGGACTCGCCGGAGTAGACCGGGCTGGGATTGGTGTGAGGAGGGGCCAGAGCCCGCGGGCGTCCCGGGCCGAGGCGCGGGAGAGGCGGTGGACACCGAGAAGCCCGCCGGCGGCTTGCAATTCCCTCACCCGGCGCGCGCCTTTCGCAGAGGGAAGGAGCAAGAGGGCCCCTACCTCATCGTGCGCGGGTGGGGTCGGCGCTTGTCGCGTGTGGCGCGCAGTGGGGCGGGCGGCGGGAGGGGGGTGGCAGTGGAGGGAGCGAGAGGTGCAGGGGTGACTTTGTTGGCAGCAGGACTAGCTGGAGAGCTAGACCTGGAAGCGCATCCGGGGAGGACTTGCGGGGCAGAGGAGGGCGTGGGCGTGTCTGGTGTGGGATGCAGTGGAAAGGAGGGGGCCCTCCTGAGTAGATCTGTGGGTGATTCCTTCGAGGACGCCTCGTCTTCCCGTCTGCCCTTTTATTTGTCAGCGAGGGAGTCCCCATGGTCTCTGTTCAAGTTCTGGAGACTTTCTCTTTGGGTGGGCTTAATCACCTGCTACTAAATCGTAGAACTGCCCAGGGCCCTTTCTAATATTGGTCACAAACGTGAGGAGTATGTCAGAAAACAGAAAACCGCTGCTGGGCTTTGTAAGCAAACTCACTAGTGGGACTGCACTTGGGAACTCAGGCAAGACTCACTGCCCCCTGTGCTTGGGGCTTTTCAAAGCCCCCAGGCTCTTGCCTTGTTTGCATACAGTTTGCACCACGTGTCTGGAGCAGCTGGAGCCCTTCTCAGTAGTGGACATCCGAGGGGGAGACTCTGACACAAGCTCTGAGGGGTCAATATTCCAGGAACTCAAGCCACGAAGTCTGCAGTCGCAGATCGGCATCCTTTGTCCTGTATGTGATGCTCAGGTGGACCTGCCCATGGGTGGAGTGAAGGCTTTAACCATAGACCACCTGGCCGTGAATGATGTGATGCTGGAGAGCCTACGTGGGGAAGGCCAGGGCCTGGTGTGTGACCTGTGCAACGACAGGGAAGTAGAGAAGAGGTGTCAGACCTGCAAAGCCAACCTCTGCCACTTCTGCTGCCAGGCTCATAGGTAAAGATGGGACACTCCATCAGGTGTAGCTTAAGAGCAGATTACAAAGAGGTGTCAAGACAAATCCCTCGGTGAGCAGATGAAAAGGAAAGCCTTCTCAAATACCGTGGAAGGTCAAAGAGCAATATAACAATGCAATAGCAAATACTCCAGTACAACAGTTAACCCGGTTAGCCTAATATAGTACCTAATATATAGCCTAATATAGCAATAGCAATAAACCCTTTCAATTTACAAAGTGCAGCTACAGTTTCCTTCAGTCATTCGTGTAGTGAATAATTGTACTGGGTGCTGGAGAAACAGGAGAATGAATATAACAGCATAGATCCTGTTCTTGATCTCCTTCGATCTTGCAACTCTTACAGAAAAGCAGGCCCTGTTTTCGCCCCCATTTATTAATTGGGGAAACAAGCTCAGCAATATTATGTGATTTGCCAAGGTCCTACAGTTGGTAAGTGTGTAACAGAACTGAGTATTAAATCCAGATCATTTTGACTACATTCCAGTAACCCATGCTGTGCTCCTAGAATAGGTGATGATGATTGGCCGGACCTCAGCTTTTGCTTTGTGTACCTTAGAGTTACTCTGGAGCTTGGTGAGGTGGGCTGGTAGGTGTTAATTGGGGTGCAGACTATGTGTTTTATGGCATTTGGTGAATAGTTTGTCAGATGGATCACTTTTGTCCCTTCGTACTCTTACCTTACCCCATCCTAGGACACCAGAATATAAAATGACCACAGTTTTAGGATTAGCCTAAAATAGGTTTCGGGTTCTACTTCCATTTGTTTTCTGGCTACACTAACAGAACAAGTTTGTAGACTTCACTCTATTTTTAACTTGTAATTATGTGATAGTCCCTGCGACTGTCTTGCTGCCAGCCAAACCAGCTAACCCTATTTTCTCTGCAGCCACTCTTCTGGTGCCAGAATAGGCATATAAGCTTCAAATTGATACAATGCTAATGGAGGAACTCTGAACAGTCACCATGTTTTCCTAAGGATTTCCCTACATCTCTAGAGGGCTACTATAGGAAAGGAATTAGAAAGAGAGCTTTGATTCTACTAACCATTGGTTTCACACTTTCTTTTCTCTTTTTTTTTTTTTCTGAGATGGAGTCTGGCTCTAGTCGCCCAGGCTGGAGTGCAATAACACAATCTCCACTCACTGCAACCTCCACCTCCTAGGTTCAAGCGATTCTCCTGCCTCAGCCTCCCCAGTAGCTGGGATTACAGGCACATGCCACCACGCCTGGCTAATTTTTTGTATTTTTAGTAGAGACAGGGTTTCACCATGTTGGCCAGGCTGGTCTCAAACTCCTGACCTCAGTTGATCCGCCCACCTCAGCCTCCCAAAATGCTGGGGTTACAGGCGTGAGCCACCGCGCCCGGCCGGTTTCACGCTTTCTAATGATGTTGACGATGTCTCTTGAAAAAAATTCTAGCCTGCTGATTTGGGTGATACAGGTCAACAGAAATGCTTCACCAAAATCTTAGATGCAAGCTAGATGAGACTTGGTGTCTGCTTTTTAATTGCTTGGACTTTATTGCTGTGTTATCTGGCATGGTTTCTGTTTCTTGATGCTGGTTTTCTGCCATGCCCTCACTGCTAGCTTACCTTAGGAAGCCGACTGTGACTCTTGTCTAAACTCTTTGGGAAAGTTCTAGCATGCAGTCATAGTCTTGCAACCTTCTGCATAGGCATGTAGCCAGCCAGAGCCCTAGTCTGTTCACACGTTATTCTATACAACAGCTCTTTCAGGTAGGTATTGTCCCCACTGTACAGATGAGAAACTGGAATCAGAGAGGTTCATGCAATTAGAGATTAGAGCAAGGAATTGAAATCAGGTTTGTTTAACTTCAGATCCTGTGCTCCTAAAATCTCTCTGCCCAACTATTCCCAACAGAATTATCCCCTTATTTCCTGTTACTGATTCTGTTTGCCCCTAGGCGGCAGAAGAAAACGACTTACCACACCATGGTGGACCTAAAAGACTTGAAAGGCTACAGCCGGATTGGGAAGCCCATCCTGTGTCCTGTTCACCCTGCAGAGGAACTGAGGCTGTTCTGTGAGTTCTGTGACCGGCCCGTGTGCCAGGATTGTGTGGTGGGGGAGCATCGGGAACACCCCTGTGACTTCACCAGCAATGTCATCCACAAGCATGGGGACTCTGTGTGGGAGCTCCTCAAAGGTACTCAGCCCCACGTGGAGGCCCTGGAGGAAGCCCTGGCTCAGATCCACATAATAAACAGTGCCCTCCAGAAGCGAGTGGAGGCAGTGGCAGCTGATGTCCGGACATTCTCGGAGGGCTACATTAAGGCCATTGAGGAGCATCGGGACAAGCTGCTGAAGCAGCTGGAAGACATACGGGCCCAGAAGGAAAATTCCCTGCAGCTGCAGAAGGCCCAGCTGGAACAGTTACTGGCAGACATGCGGACTGGAGTGGAGTTCACCGAGCACTTGCTGACCAGCGGCTCAGACTTGGAGATCCTCATCACCAAGAGGGTGGTGGTAGAACGGCTCAGGAAGCTGAACAAAGTTCAATATAGCACCCGTCCTGGAGTAAATGATAAGATACGCTTCTGTCCTCAGGAGAAAGCAGGCCAGTGCCGTGGCTATGAAATTTATGGTACGATTAATACCAAAGAGGTTGATCCAGCCAAATGTGTCCTACAAGGAGAAGGTAGGAAGGCATTTCCCATTGACATTGAGAGGGCAGTGGACAGGGAGGTGGTGTGTGAAGATTGGTGGCTTGTTCTGCTAGGAAGCATGCCCTACTGACCAGGTTACCAAAGGTGGGGAGATAAACTGATCTGAAAGACAGTGACCCCCACCTTTGCCCTTTCTGGTTTGTTCTGGCTAGGGTACAGTTAATACAGGAGTGAGGCTTGACCCTTTTCCAGTTCAGAGAAGTAATAATGGCTGAGAAACACACAGATCATGTTTTGTTTCTATCAGATGGCAGAACAGAGACAGTGCCCGTTGGAGGTAACAGCAGTGACTAGGGCCAGGTGAAATTCTGCCTGCTCAGAGAGGAGCATGGCAGGCCCTGGATTCCTAGATCAAGTTCTGAAGGGAGTTTCAGAGGAATGAGGAAGATGAGATTACGGTTTCCTTTCCTTTAGGCCCTTTTTGGTTCACATCAACTTTACTGGCATTTAAAAGGATATGGTAGGTGTTTCATTTAATTGGGGGAAAAAATGGTTTTTTTTAACGAGTGTTCCCTTTCTAATGGAAGCATATTATTAAAACATATGTTTCACAGGTCAGTAGGTCAGTCCTGATAGGAAGATTGCATCTTAATGACACAGGCATTCTTAACTGTTTGGAAGCCATAGATCTCTTTGAGAATGTTCTCTCCTACAGAAACACCCAGTAACTTGTGCATACAATTCCAGATTTTTAGACTCTTCATAAGCCTTTCCATAGACCTCATAGTAGTTCATGAACCTCAGGTTAAGAAACCCTGTTTCATCTGAATGCTGGAGTAGGGGCTGTAGCTACTGGATATCCCCCCAGTACCTTGGCATGAGCTACCAAGTTGCAGAGGATCTCAAAACATGGAGGGTCGTGAGGCTGGTCAGCTGTACTCCCTGCCTAGCCCAGCAGGATCTGGAGCTTAGGGAGGGTGGTTTTGGGGTTACTATCCTCTCTCACAGGGTCTAGAGGTTTTCTTTAAATACCTCGGTCAGTCGTGAGTATTTTTAAAGCATAGGACCTTCAGTCCTAGGACTGAAGGTAAGGTCCAGGATCCTGTGTGATCCAAAGCAGCTGCTAGCTGAGAGAACCAGGCCAACCAGGAAGGACTCCCAAGAGGCGTACTCTGGGAGGCAGAAGGGGAAGAGAAAACAAAGGGACCCAGGGTGGTTACAGTAAAGTACAACCCTTTGTTCTGAAGAGAAAAAGCAAGATGGAGATGTAGTCACTGCAGTTTACATTCGAGGTGAGGACCGAGTGTTTATCTTTTTCAGACCTCCACAGAGCCCGGGAGAAACAGACGGCCTCTTTCACCCTGCTTTGTAAGGATGCCGCAGGAGAAATCATGGGCAGGGGAGGAGACAACGTTCAAGTTGCCGTTGTCCCTAAAGATAAGAAAGACAGGTTTGTATGACACAATTAGGTGTCATGGATAACAGGCAGTGAGAAAACTGGAAACATGAGGTCCTTTAAGATATTGGAGCTGGGCACAGTGGCTCATGCCTGTAATCCCAGCACTTTGGGAAGTGGAGGCAGGAGGATCGCTTAAGCCCAAGAGTTCAAGACCAGCCTGGGCAACATAGGGACACCCTGTCTCTACAAAATTAAAAAAAAAAAAATTAGCCGGGAGTGGAGGCATATGCCTATAATCCCAGCTATTCAGGAGGCTGAGATGGGAGGATCCCTTGAGCCCAGGAGGTCGAGGTTGCAGTGAGCTGTGATTGTGCCAGTGCACTCCAGCCTGGGCAACAGAGCAAGACCCCAGGTCCAAAAAAAAAAAAAAGATATTGGAGTGTAACTCACTAGTTACGTCTTACCTCCCCATAATACTATGAAACGTTACGTGACCAAATGTGTTTTCTTGTGTGGGTTTTGTATTCAATTCTCTCTCAAAGCTATGGTCTGCCCCTCAGATTGTTTTCATCTCAAGCTTTAGAATAAGTTGAAAAATATTCTGTGTTAGACTGAATGGTACCCTTTTCAAAATTCAGTCTCCCTTTGGTACTAAATTATGCCTGGAGCATGTTTATATTTCTCTGGAATTGTAGAATGGAGGAGGGACAACAGAGCAAGAGGGTTCAACAGAAGCCTGTTGAAAAGGACACAATAATATATTCAAGGAATTTGTCTGAATATCAGACTAAATTGGAATTTATGCTGTTTACCTTCTGTTGTAAAATTAACTTCTGAAGCAAATGGAAGAAGCATCCTGTTTGGGTATATTTAACATTAATACTGAATGGGATGGTGTAGAGTTTACATTCTGAAATAGTAGCAACTGAAGCCAGCTTGTGGAAGTGAGTGGTGTTTTGACTCTTATCTCCATTCAGCCCAGTCAGAACAATGGTCCAGGATAACAAGGATGGGACATACTACATTTCCTACACCCCCAAGGAACCTGGCGTCTATACTGTGTGGGTCTGCATCAAAGAACAGCATGTGCAGGTAAGACTGGTGCACGTGCTTCCCTGAGCTCCCTGGATTCTACTGTCTTAGGATCTGGAGACATTTCACATAGGATCAGCTATACAGAGAGATTGAATAGAATCCCCATGTCTTCTTCTTCACTTTAGAAACAGCCCAGATTTTGCTACTCTTATTCTTCCTGGAGGATGCTGTTGACCATAAGAACCCTGTATCCCTGTGTCACCTCCAGGCAGTTATGCTTATAGCTTATCATTCTCCCAGTTGGTTTCTTAGGATTCTTAATATGGAGAAGATGTCTTGATCACAGGGGGTGATCTGCCAGCAGACAACCATGCATATTCAAAAAATATAATCTAGCTCAGGATTTTCCAGTTTTGTCCAGACTGTGTCTGGACATGAACACAGTTGAGAGGGTTATGCCCCCTCCTCACAATTGACTAGTCATCTATCTGCCTAACCATCTGCTCATGTAATTTTCTACTCTGTTTTACATATAGGTTTTTCTGTTACTATGGTTCCTATAAACAAACAAATATACCAAACAAGTTACGTTACCATGGTTTCTACAAACAAGTATAACACAAGTAGAGCACTTTCTGCTTTAGAGAGTATGAGTTTTTAAAAATTGGGTGATACTAACAGGTCGAGCAGAATCTCTCTGCTGACATTGGAGTAGTCAGAGGTTTCCCTCCACAGAAATCAACACTGACAGGGACAGTAAAATACCATATAGCATCATGATATATTAGGCTTATGATTTGTGCACTAAGGAACATTCATATTTAATAGCCATTTATTGTTTACCTAATTATGGTATGTCAGGAACAGGTTAGGTGTTTTTACATACATTATTTCAATTTGCCTCAAAACCCTTCAGGCACAGGGATCAGTGTCCAATTAGACTGAGACACCAAACTTGCATTAAAATACACAGCAAATGTAGCAAAATAGGAATTTGAACCCATTTCTTTGAATGCCAAGTTGTTTTTTAACTGGATTGTAAACTCTTTAAGATGGGAAATTTAACATCTGAAAGACTTCTAAGGTGCTAGGTTCTCTGTTTTGCGTTTTCGCAAACAATGTGGCTCTCACATAAGGATAGGCACATTGCAACTTATTAAATATTTAAATTGGGCATGATGGTGTGCACCTGTAGTCCCAGCTACTTGGGAGGATTGCCTGAGCCCAGGAGCTCAAGGCTGCAGTGAGCTATGGATGTGCCAGTGCACTCCCGCCTGGTGACAGAGTGAGATCCCATCTTTAAAAAAATAAATAAATATTTTTTGTTTAACATGGGATATAAATTAGAGAACGAAAGTTATCCTTAAAGGAAAGGGGGCAGATGGGAGAGTTACTAATTTGAGAATTATTAGCTGTACACATTTTAACCTTTCTCCCTTCCATATGTCTTTACAGTCCCAGAATAAGTGGGTGAGTAAACAGATAAGTCATGTCCAGGATGGAAGGAAAGAGGCTAGCTTGGTATGTGAGAAGAGGTACATGGCTGAGAAATTGGAGAAGGGACCACAGAATGTCCTATCTTTGTGGTTGTGACATTCTACTTATTATACCTGAGGTTCCTTAAGAATTGAGATTGAGAATCCCAGAGAAAAGTCAGTCTGAGATTACTAATGTATTGAATGATCTAGGTACTTATACTTCATACAAGGATAGAGTGAGGCAGAATCCATCAAGAAAAGCTTAAGCTTATTGTGGCATGGGCTTCTGCTTTTGCTGCCATCTTGCCAGAACAATTATTCCCAGCTAATACAGATGTCACTGAAAATGGAGCTGACTGTGTGACTCCTTTCAGTGTCCAGCAGGTTCAGCTACATGGAATAAATCAGTACCTACGTCTAGTACTTAGCATCTGCGGTGAAAAGCATGGTAGGAGGGCTGCATAGACCCTGTGATGCTTCCACTGCATCTGTGTCTGCCTCCTCTCAGCTGAGCAGGGTTCTTGTCCTCTAATCTGTTTCTTTCCTGTTGTCCTTGTCCATCCAAGGACAGGCCCTGTGCCTCAGACTCTGTTTAGCACATAGTGATGCGCAGCACATCCTGTTAACTCGTAAGATGCTGTTCATTGCTTTTGGTCTGAACACTGCAGGGCTCGCCATTCACTGTGATGGTGAGGAGAAAGCACCGCCCACACTCAGGCGTGTTTCACTGCTGCACCTTCTGCTCCAGCGGGGGCCAGAAAACCGCTCGCTGCGCCTGTGGAGGCACCATGCCAGGTAAGGAGAAAGCACTACCCTCTGGGCCTTTCTGCCAGCAGTGGGAATCAAGCGACGGGCCCTTCCCTACCACACAGCCACTAGACATTTGGACTTAGGCTCTGTTTCTAGGAAGCACAGTCTGTGATTGTAGAGACACCACTGTTCTAAAAGTGTCACTTAAAGCTTCCTTGTTCTGAATTGAAATAGCAGACTTAAAAGCTCTCAGTTCTGTTAGTTTTGGTACAGCTCCTATGAGCCCTGTGCTTCTATGTAGGATTCTCAGTTTGTCTGTCCCTTTCCAGCGGCCTAAGCAGTGTGAAAACTATGGACCCATCTTATTCCTTTTAGAACCTTAAATAAATTCCAAATGAGGCATGGCTAGGGGAGTGGATGATTAAACCAATTGAACAAGGTCTGGGTCTTTCGGGGGACAGAAAGGATAGGGAGTCAGTTTAGGTTAGGGATCTAATTACTTTAAAAAAAAATTATTGTGTCCTTACTCTAATAATGGGCCATAAAATGGGCTTTTGCATCCTTCTGTATAAACACTTGAGGATCTACCTCTATTTTTTTAATGTCCACCAACCTATCCTTTTTTATTTCAATGATTTTACAGTTAAAATCCAAACCAATTTATTTTACAGTTAATGTGCAAACTAGTTCGCCTCCTTCAGGTGGTAAGTTCTATCACTACAGCATTCTTAGAACTCCGGCTAACATGAGTTGATTTGCTGTGATCAATTCTCAGGGTCCTCCTGACTGCACAACAGTCAGACAGCTTGTTCCTCTTGCCAAGATTTTCTTAGATATTTTCACTCCCATGAATCTGCATGTTGCCAGGAGGTCTAATTTCCATGATAATGGTAACTGCTGGCCTCCACGCTAATGGTTGATTTTTGTCCTTTCCTCTTTGTCCCATGTAGGTGGGTACCTAGGCTGTGGCCATGGACACAAAGGCCACCCAGGTCATCCCCACTGGTCATGCTGTGGAAAATTTAATGAGAAATCTGAATGCACATGGACAGGTGGGCAGAGCGCACCGAGGAGTCTACTTAGGACTGTGGCTCTCTGATGGGTTTGTGCTCAGCCTTTTAAAGCTGCAGGCAGCACCACTTGAGATTTCCAGAGGACCCAGACCTTCGTTCATTCTAAAGAGACTGATAGAATTAAAAACAAAGTGCCTTATCTTGCACTGGAGTTCAAGTGCTCTTTTGTTAGTTATTCACTGATTGTACTTGTGGATGGTTGAGCACAAAAAACCACCTCTACATTTCTCTTAAAGGTAGGTTGGCAACGTTCTTTTTCTACCACAGGATACTCCTTTTCATTTTGTACAGTATGGAGGTATCTATTCCATTGGCACTGAAGGGTCTAGGTAGTTTAGTTCCTTTCTGATATAACCCTTTTTTTTTCTTTTTTTTTTTTTTTTAAAGACAGAGTCTCACTCTGTCACCCAGGCTGGAGTGCAGTGGCATGATCTCGGCTCACTGCAACCTCTGCCTCCCGGTTCAAATGATTCTCGTGCCTTGGTGTCCCGAGTAGCTGGGATTACAGGTTCCCCCCCACCTTCCCCCACACCCAGCTAATTTTTGTGTTTTTAGTAGAGACGGGGTTTCACCATGTTGGCCAGGCTGGTCTCAAACTCCTGACCTCGTGATCCACCTGCCTCGGCCTCCCAAAGTGCTGGGGTTACAAGCATGAGCCACCACACCTGGCCTATTATGACCTTTTTCATTTTTCTCTGAGCTACACATTATTTAGATATTTCCCCTAGAGATTAGAAACCTCCTTTCATCCTGTCCACTTTTTGTTAGCATACTTTCATTGGATTTACTGGTACATGTTTTGTGATCATGATAATGTGATCTTGTTTTGGTGGTGTCCCCCTACTCCGTCTCTATGCCATGACAGCCTTCTGCCCCAAAGCCTGGAAGATTACTCTTTGGTCAAGGGCATACAAATAGAAAGTTAATAAAGGGGAATGGTGTTGAAATAGAACCTCATACATTTATTACAGTTCTACTTATACAGAAAATCTAGACACCTTCATCCTTCTCACAGCTCTGTTTTTTAGTAGAGTAGTCTTTAGAGTAGTCTTCACTGTTATCTATATACCTAGAAAGTTAACTGGGAGCTTTGACTCTTACTGTGCCTTCACTCATAGTGTGCCTTCTTAGCTGCTGGAGAATTTGGGGAGAGGATGTACACAGCACTGGTGCCTCAGCCCTGCCAAGGTCTTCACTGTATATATTTTGTGTGTTCTTCTGAAACTCTTGATTTCTTATATGGCAATAAACTCAGCATGTATTAAATATAATTATTGAAATCTGCATTGTAAGATCCCTTAAGAAGTGGATGACTCACTTGGCGAATTGGGTCAGGTAAAGGAAGTGAATGATTAGATGATGACTGTCAGATCATTGTGGAATACATTTCCTCCTTGAGGCTGACAGACATGGGCTACATTATAGCCATAAATACTAAGATGTTCTCTGCGTTCTCACCCTTTTCTGGAAACATTCCCTTCAGCCTCTTTCTGTAACCCAAATCTGATCTTCCCAAAACACATTCCTGCCTGTCACCCTCTCAAATTATTAGCTATTTGCTCTTCCTCACTCCTTCTGTCACTCAGCCCAGAAGTATATGTCCTTTTAGCTTATTACTGCTGCTTTGAGATGAGTGGTTCTTTTTTTTTTTTTTTTTTTTTGAGACAGAGTCTTGCTCTGTTACGTAGGCTGGAGTGCAGTGGCACGATCTCAGCTCACTGCAACCTCCGCCTCCCAGGTTCAAGCAATTCTCCTGCCTCAGCCTCCCGAGAGTAAGCTGAGATTACAGGCATGTGCCATTACGCCCGGCAAATTTTTGTATTTTTAGCAGAGACGGGGTTTCACCAGGTTGGCCAGGCTGGTCTCGAACTCCTGACCTCATGATCCGCCCACCTTGGCCTGCCAAAGTTCTGTGACTACAGGTGTGAGCCACCATGACTGGCCGAGATGAGTGGTTCTTAACCAGGAGTGACTTTGCCCCTAAGAGGACATCTGGCAAAGTCTCAGAGACATTTTTAGTTGCCACTACTGGGGCAAGGTGCTACTAGCATCTTGTGGGTAAAGGTCAGAGATGCTGCTAGTCATTTTACAATGCTCAGGACAGCTTCCTGAAACAAAGAAGTATCCAATCCAAAATGTCAGTGGTTCCGCTGTTGAGAAACCCTGTTCTAGAGCATTAGCCCTACTTTTTTTCTAAAAATGGCCAGCCTTGGAGCTCATGCCTTTCAGCTATACAGCTTGCTATTCCTCCATGGTTCAGCCATCTACTGAGCCCCAAATTGTTCCCCTTCGTTCCTTGAAGATTATAGCATTGAGCTTGCTGTGACTCTGGTACAACTCCTTATCAATCTTGGGATAACTCATTGTCTACACAGACTTCTTAGTTCTGTGATCATTTCCCCAGTGTTATTTTTTCCCTACTTAGCCTTACATACCCTAGATCTTGATTCCAACTGCACCCTCTGCATAGTCTCAATTTCAGGCATCCTGCAACCACAACCTCCCACCTTTCCAGCTCACCCACTGTAATAACCTGACTACTAATTCTACCTCTTTGGAACCCACAATGCAGTGATTCTGCCACCTTCCTGTTGTTTCTCTCACCCACCTCAGGTCCTTCCCTTCATCCTTCCCAGCTTAGATTCTATAGACCATCACTATAGTCACTCTATTGCATAGTCTCCCTCTCATTCTTGCCTGGCAAAACTCCAACCCAGGTTAGATCCAACCTTCCATCTAACCCAACTGAATGATCCTGCAGAAAAAACAAAAGCGTGATGACTAGTCTCACTTTAAATGTATGACCACTAACTTCAGTGGGCTCTTAGCATTGCCCAATAACCTGAAACATCTCCCCAGTCCATTTATTCTCCCATGCTTCTAGACAATTCATACTTTCTTCCCCTCAAACTCCAATTTCTACCCCACCTCTACTCTGCACTTATGACCTTGCTTCCTGTTTCACCAAGAATATAAAAGGATTCAGAGAATTTCCCTAGCATCCCTACCACATGTACACATCTACCTAAATTCCTATCAAGAGCCAACTCCTGTCCCATGTACTAAATCCCATTCTATAGCCACTGCCCAAAAACATTGCGTCAGTAATTTCCCCCTCTCCCAGATTGCTTACTTCAGAAAATAAACATGGTACAATATTCCCTCTTAAAATACGAATTTCCCTTTTGTATTAGTTGGCTAGGGCTGCCATAACAATACCATGGACTGGGTGGATTAAACAACAGAAATTAGTTTTCTCACAGTTCTGGAGTCTGGAAGTCCAAAATCTAGGTGCTGGCAGGGTTGTTTTTTGGTGAGGACTCTGTCCTTGGCTTGCAGATGGCAACCTTGTTTTCACATGGCCTTTCTCCTGTGTGTATGTGCTCCTGGTGTCTCTTCATATAAGGACACCAGTCCTATTGGATTAGGACCCCACCCACATGATGTCATTTAACCTTAATCACCTCCTTAAAGGCCCTTTCTCCAAATATAGTCGCATTGGGTGTTAGGGCTGAGTTTTCAAGAAGAATTTCACATCCCCCTTTAGCAACCTTTCCCCTTTTCTGCTCCTCTTTAAAAGGACCTCAAAAGAATTGTTGTTTGGTATCTCTAGTTTCCCTCCCACTCTCTGTAAGATCTAATCCAGTCAGTCTGTCATCCTCAAGACTCCACGGAATAGCTCTTGTCAAGGTTACCAGTAAACTCCAGGTTACAGAATCCAATGGCCAATTCCCAATCTTTATCTTTTTTGACCACCCAATATCAGAGAAATCTTTTAAAATATGTCAGCTCATGTCACTCTTCTGCTCACCACTGTCCATTGGCCGCACATCTCAGAAAAGTGAGTCTTTACATCAGCATGTAAGACCCCGCATGATCTGGATCCCTGCTCTTACTGCCCACCCATCCGCCTCCATCACCCTATTCCAGCCAAACTGGTCTGCCTGGTGCTCCTCAAACTCCAAGCACTGTCTTGGGGCCTTTAGAATCACTGCCCCTCCATCTGAAATGCTTTTTTCACAGATACCTTCATGATTCATGTTCCTCTCAAGTTCTCGCTCCAGTATCAAAAATCACCCTATTAGCTAACTACCCTGTACAAAATAGCAACTTCCCACCCCAGAGTTGCCCAGTTTCATCACCATCTCACATATATATATGTTTTGTTTTGTGGTTTTTTTTTTTGGAGACAGGGTCTCTCTCTCTCTGTTACCCAGGCTGGAGTGCAGTGGCACAATCTCGGCTCACTGCAGCCTCTGCCTCCCGAGGTTCAAGTGATTCTCCCACCTCAGCCCCTGGAGTAGGTGGAACCATAGGCACACCACCCCCCCGACCCCATGCCTGGTGAATTTTTTGCATTTTTTGTAGAGATGGGGTTTTGCCATGTTGCCCAGGCTGGTCTCAAACTCCTGGCCATCTCAGCCTCCCGAAGTGCTGGGATTACAGGCCAACATGTATATATTCTGTTTGTTGTCTGTCCTCTCATATTAGATTGTAAGCTCTATGAGGGCAGGGATATTTTTAAACTACCATACTGTCCCGATGTAGGACAGTTCCTGGCACATAGTAGAGACTTAATATTATGATCAGTGAATAAAGATCTAATTGGTAGAATTTTTAGTTTGGATCTCCTTGGTATCTGTTTTTATAAGCCAGACTTCCCTTCTCCCGAACCTCAGTATTTGTCATTTAAACAAATACCACTTGGAAAAAAAATCAGCCTTATCTCGAGTCTGTTGGATAAATTATATGCACCTGAGAGACCAGCCTTGAATTTTCCAATTACCTCATACATCTAGGGAACTGCTTCCCATGAAGAAGCCTGTTGTATTATATCATCTATCCCCATGTGCCTTTTAATGAATCTGATTTCAGAATTGAGAACAAAAAGCTTACCATTTATTTCAGTTGGAGGTTTCAGTGATTGGACAACTTTATGTAGATGAAGTAACATTGCAATAAAAAATTTCCAGAAGACATCTAGGTTCTGGCTAATGTGTTAGCCTTTAAGCAATATTAATGGTAACAATTCTGTTACAAATATTTAAAGTTTGTGTGTGGGTGTTGGGGATTGGGGGTGCTGTCTCATGCATGCACTACAGTGGAGTCCAAACTCAATTTAACTGAGCTGTCTTGCCTGCTGAAAGACCTGGCAGAGTCAGTGATCAACAGAGCCCAAGACTCCAAGGTGAGGCAAAAAAAGAGTGGGAGGATTTAGGAGCTGTCCCCAGTGTAACAAAGTGCTTCAGAAATCACCTTTGAATTGTGAGCATTGAAGCGTCAACAAGATGCAGCATTATGATGTACGTTATGCCTCTGGTGTTACAGGTAAGAAAAAAGAGTCACAAATAAGAGCCTCTGTCCTCTGGGATGTTGTAACAGGATAAACACCTTGGCTGTCTTGGATAATAAACATACACATACCTGTCAGCCCACCCATACTCTAATGTCCCAAATGCAATAGTTGCTCAACTTTCCTCCAGAGAATGTATCCCTGTATGGTAGGTTTGGCTCAATGAAGAGGTGGTTCAATGAAGTGGATGCTCATTAGAAGCAGGCAGTATAGGAAGAAACATCTCACTCTGACTTGTGAGCTCTTACATATTGATTTCCATTCTTTCATCACTTCCTCAGATCTTCCCTAACTAGGTCAAATCCTGTTATAAGCCCTCCCAGCCGCACAGTCCTCTCTTGTAGCACTCAGCATCATGGCTGATTCACAGCCACACGGGGTTGACTAATGCCTGTCTCCCTTAGATGCTAAGCCTCAGGAGGACAGGATAGTTTTTCATTTTTGCTTACTTTTATATTTCCAGTGCCCAGCAGTGCCTGGCATATAAAAAGTGTTCAATATACATTTCTGAATTACTGTGTGGATAATTAAGCAAGAAAATAGTCTCATCCTTTCTGAAGTAGTCTCTACCTATTAATACATCTGGATTTAGCTATGGAATCTGGGTAAAAAGAACTCAAGATAGTAAAAACATTGTGTAGCTGCATATCTGTCGCCCCTCTTCCCTCCCTGGGAGTTAGGCTGGGTTTGCTTTTTTTTTTTTTCATATCTATCTCCATCCCCTAACTACTGACTTCTGTGGTAGTTTGTACTATAAATGACCCTGATTTCATTTGTAGTTATGAAGACATTTTAGTCTAGGTCATATGCCTAGGAATTCTGAATTTCTATTATAATTCTCTTTGTGCCTACAGATGTGCTTTTAAATTGTTCCTGCCCTTTCCTAAGTCTAGATGCTATATCACAAACAGCAGCACAATATCCCACTTTGGAAACCTAATTCTTTCAAGGTATTAGAGTTGACAGCAAAATTTCAGACAACCAGAGGCCACACTGAACACTGGTGTCTCCATGCTTATCCTATTAGTGCAGGAGAATCTGGCTTCACCTTTGAGCCCTGCTAAAAGCCATTTCATTGAGCAACAGACAATCAGAGCAAGGAAACAACTCAGTGTTCATGAATTGCCATGCTAAATCACTCACAGGATTGATAGAGAAATAAGTCACCTCCCATAAACAGAAAATTTTTTTTTTCTGTTTTTCCTTCTTTTCATTAGCAATTGTTCCAAAAACACTTACTCTGCTAATTTCTGCTAGAAAGAATCACCGTTCTTTCTCTGTGGCCCAGGCTGGAGTGCAGTGGTATGATCTCAGCTCACTGTAACCTCCGCCTCCTGGATTCAAGTGATTCTCCTGCCTCAGCCTCCCGAGTAGCTGCAATTACAGGCACCCAACATCACGCCTGGCTAACTTTTGTATTTTTAGTAGAGAGGAGGTTTTGCCATGTTGGCCAGTCTGGTCTCGAACTCTTGGCCTCAAGTGATCTGCCTGCCTCAGCCTCCCAAATGCTGGGATTACAGGTGTGAACCACTGCGCTGGGCCTGCAATGGGAGTCACTGACAAGGTTTTTAAAGGGCCCAGGACTCTGTCTAGCTGCGGCATGCACAATACTCCTATTTGATCAACATGGCTAAGGCAAAGTCAAACTACATACCTTCCATGAAGTCAATTCTGTCGAGTAAGAAATGCCTTATAAATCCGGTGCTCAGGAATGTTGCACTTTGGAGACAGATGTTCACCATCTGGTTCTCAGCTGCACCCATGCTGCTGCTGGTTCTCATATTCCCAGACCTTGTCCCACAGCAATAACACTAGCACTTGTGTGGCCCTTCATGGTTTTCAAAGCATTTATTACCTCATATCATCCATGCCCAAGTCAGGTGCAATAGGCAGATGTAAAAAGCAAATCCAGCAGCAGTATTGTGACATGAAGGAAGGCTGGTTAACACAGGCAGGACTCATAGTGCAGCACCTCAATTAGACCACTGTGTTGTGGGATGCTGCCCATCGCTAGAAGGTGCAAAGACCCACCTTGTCATACCTAGACTTGACGAAACTGATTTACACTAAAATGAATATGAGGCTGAGACAGATACCAGAATGCCACTTCTGTTAATTCATGCCTGTCTCCCTTAGATGCTAAGCCTCATGAGGACAAAACAAAAAAAACCAAACAAACCCAGCCTAACCCCCAGGGAGGGAAGAGGGGAGACACATATGCAGCTCCACAATGTAATTCATGTAATCCATCCCAGCACTAGGATTTAAGAATGCATGTTTAGTATATTCCATCCCATTAAGGCAGTGGTTCCATTTTTTTCTGCATCCACCTCAAGTCAGTAGCATCTCACGGCTATAAGAACACCTACCCAAGACATAACTAGGTTGCTTTGCTTATGTACAATAACATGAGAAATTAGAAAAGCTGTTTTAAAATACCAGGAGGCATCTACCTTACAGTAGATTACTTGTCAATGGCCTCAATATCTGAAGATTTTAAGTTACAATCCCTGCATCCCTCTCCAAACTAAAAGCCAGAATGCTTGAACCTGAAAGAATTCCTCTCCCCTAAACAATGCTTGATTGGAGACTGACAATGTTCATCTAATACCTTCTAGTTGACATTACTGATCTATCTGGTCAACCATGTTGTAGTATATATATTTGCTATGAAATTCCCAGTGGAGCATGAGATACATGCTAATCCACACATTTTACAGATGAAAGGATTGAGATGTCCAAGGAATCTGCAACTTGCCTAATATCAATCAGCAAATGGCAGAGCCAGGTTTGTACATTCTTGCTGGCCTGGGAGCCACTGCTTCTCAGGTGACTCAATCTTTACCTTGGTATGTCAATCTTATAGCAAAACTTCAAAAAGGCAATGTTACTTCCTTTGCTTCTTGATTTTATCAGAAACCTTATTGCTGCTAAGTTCTGAAAACTGCCCACCTTACAAATGAGGAAATCAGAGTGTAGAGAAAGTAAGGATTTTTTTCTCTCTCTTTTTTTTTTTTTTTTTTTTTGAGACGGAGTCTCGCTCTGTCACCAGGCTGGAGTGCAATGGCGCGATCTCAGCTCACTGCAACCTCCACCTCCCAGGTTCAAGCGATTCTCCTGCCTTATCCTCCCCAGTAGCTGGGACTACAGGCGCACGCCACCACGCTCAGCTAATTTTTGTATTTTTAGTAGAGACGGGGTTTCACCATGTTGGCCAAGATGGTCTTGATCTCTTGACCTCGTGATCCGTCTGCCTCGGCCTCCCAAAGTGCTGGGATGACAGGCCTGAGCCACTGCACCCGGCCAATTTTTTCAACGTTACACACCCAGCTAAGATGAACCTAGAACTAGAGTCAAATCTCAAACGTTCTAGACTAGAATTCTTCCCACCAGGCCATTGTCTTTACCTTTGTAAGCCTTTAAATCTTGTCCTTATAGAAAACTTCTGCTTAAATAGGCTCCGAATGCCTCAGTCCACACTCTGACTGGGTTAACATAGGGTCTTGTTTCCCAACTCAAGGGACAGAAATGTTTCTGTGTTAGAAGAACTGTGATTCTTTCTAGCAGAAATTAGCAGAGTAAGTGTTTTTGGAACAATTGCTAATGAGAAGGAAATCTGAATAGTTTCCTGAAGTATAAAATCTCAAGTGTTTGTTTAGGGTACAAACTGCTATGTAAACAACACAGAAATCTCAGTAGCTTAAAAAAAAAGATTCCTTGATCATGTCATAGTCCAGTGTAGGTGAGCTGGGGCGAGGAGGGAAGTGTACATGGGGAGCCATCCTGGGACTGAGGCTTCACTAGTCTAATAGAAGGGCTGATGGCCAAAAACTAGGCTAAGAACTGCTGAGCTAGTGGCTTCACCTTCCCTAGGGCCTTGTAATCTTCCATCAGTTCCTTTGCATCCCATAGGCTGAGGAGGGAAGAAACAGCATGAATGATCTTTTGGAAAGTGGTAGAGGGCCACCTAGAAGTGACTTACATCAATCGCTTCTCTCCACAGTCCATTGATATGGACCCCGTCAAACTGCAGCAAAAACTGGGAAATACAGTCTCTCTGGGTGCCCGGGAGGAAAAGGAAGTGGGTTTGGTGAACACATAGCATTATTTCTGCTACACTGTCAAACACATTATTTATTAGATTGTATCAATACTACTGTTAGTATTATTAGTATTGGATTGTACCAATAGTATTATTAGTATTGGATTGTACCAATAGTATTATTAGTATTGGATTGGATTAGTATTGGACTGGATTAGTATTTATTAGATTGTACCAAATACTAAATGAAACAATGATACTAAATGCTACAAATACTGCAAATTTGTAAAAATACAAATACTATTAAAAATGACACAAATATTATACAAATACTACAAATAGAAATGTTATAATAGAAATACTAAACGATACAATGAACCAAATGATACAAATATTAAACTGTATGGTGATAACCAATATTAAATGACTGAGTGATATACAACACTAAATGGTACAGTGATACAAATACTAAATGATACACTGACACTAAACAATACAATGATAACAGATACTCAGCATCTGTTCATGTACAAAGCATCTCCTTGATCTTCAGCCTGAGAGGAAGAACTGCCTGCACTGAGAGAACTGCAGAGATGGCTGGCTGCAGGGTGGCTGCAGGGATTGACTCTCTGCTCCACCCATAAAAAGATGGTTACAGGTGCAACATCACTGGCAAGAAGAGATGAAGAGATAGGATGGAGCCTGTGTTAGAGAAGGTAGTAACTGGTTCTCCCATCATCAGCTAAGAAGAGAAAGGCAACACAGAACTTTTTGAGCTTTTTTTTCCTTTTTTTGAGACAGGGTCTCACTGTATTGCCCAGGCTGGAAAACAGTGGCACAATCACAGCTCACTGCAGCCTCAACCTCCTGGACTCAAGGGATCCTCCTGCCTCAGCCTCCCAAGTAGCTAGGACTACAGGTGTGCACTACCACGCCTAGCTCATTTTTTTATTCTTCATAGAGATGGGGTCTTACTATGTTGCCCAGGCTGGTCTTGAACTACTGGCTTCAAGCCATCCTCCTGCCTTGGCCTCCCAAAGTGTCGGGATTACAGGCATGAGCCACCACACCTGGCCCGCTTTTTGAACTTTACTGAAGCTTATATACAATTCTGCCAGAGTTGTTTTCCAAAATCATCCAACTCTAAAACATATTCTTTTATCTAAAAAAATCAATTGGTTTCCATACCACTCATTAAATAAATTATTAACATAATTGGTTAACTAATTGGTTAACACAACCCCTCCTCAATTCTGGGGATAAGATTATGCCTCATTTTGAGGAAGGTGAAAGGCTTGACGGTGAAATTGAAATGCAAAGAACAGAGTTCAAGGCTCATGGTTAGGTTGTTATTCCCAGATCCTAATACAAACCAGCAATGGTGCTATTCTGAGCCCTTATCCACAGGAGGTTAGATGCCAAAAAGGACTCTGAGGTCAGCCAAGGTGAGCTTGGTGACAGATTCTCCAGACCCTGATAGAACTTGTTTGGCCAAATCTTTCTTTTTTTCTTGGAGCTGTAAGATCTTTTCTTCTACTGTTCCCTCACAAACAAATCTAAAAAACAAAAACAAAAAATAAGCAAACTATCAAAAACCCTAAGCAGCACATCTAATAATATATTCAAACTTTTATTATGCTTTCATTTTTAATGAGATTTCTTCCTTTAAGTCTTCTTAGGTCCAGTTAAGAACCCTGTCTGAGGAATCCAAACAACCTTGACTAGATATATATCCCTTTAAAAGGATGTGACCCACATTGGCATTTTAATACTTTCTGAAGCTAAGGTAATTGAAACAAACTCAAAATAAGCAAAAGATATCCCAATCCAAAAAAGTATAGAGATCCAGCTTTTACCCAAAAAGTTCTACCTTGGTAAGTCCATAAGGCCTCAAAGGTTATCAAATTTCTGCTAGTTTAAGTAGAGTATTTCTTAGTGAATTCACAATAAAAACAGGGTTTTCAAACCAAGTAAATGGCACTGTTGTCATTCATTCACTCATTCAAAAGTATTGATTAAGCACTCACTACACTATGCTAGGTGTGGGGATGGAGAGATGAATATAGTCTTGCTCCAAAGCAGAACAAAAGCGAGACAAACATGAAAATAAACAATAATATGACCTGGTAAGTGCTATAATGGAAGTATGTGCCGTGTGCAAAAGGAGGAGAAGGAAATGTGTCCAGGGTAGTCAGGGAGGGCCCCATTAAACAGTTAACTCTTAATATGAGACTTGTATGTTGGGCAAGGGTTTGCCAGAAAGAGCAGTGAGGAGAGCACCCCAGGGAATGGGAACACGTGCAAAACCATGGCTGAGTTTCAGAGCATGGTGTATTGGAGGAAGTTCACATTGACCATGTTGTCCACAATGGCAAAAGCTCAAGAGGCTGGTAGGGCCAGATCACGGGTGGTGGTGCATGTCATGCTAAGACATTTTGATTTGATCCTATAGGAGGTGAGAGCTACTGAAGAATATGAGAAGTGGATGACACAATCAGATGGATTAGCTAGGAAGAGCCCTTCGGTGGTGATGGAGAGAACAGGATTCAGCAGAGTGGGAAGGGGGGACCTGGCAGTGGGCATGGGAAGGAAGAAATGGTTATCAGAAACATTTAGAAAATATAACTAAAGGACTTGGTAAGTGGAAAAGCGAGAAAGGTAGGAGTCTAGTTCTGGCTAGATAATTAGATAAAGAGTGATACTATTCACAAAGACAATGACTACAGAAGAATAGCAGATTTGAGATAATAGGAAGAGAAAATCAATTTCTATTTGTAACATTTGAGTACCTGAAACATGTAATTATACTTGCTACATAGTGGGTGCTCAAAAGGTATGTTTTATGGGCTGAATGCTCAAAAGAACAATGAATAAAAGAAGGAATAACAGATGAGTATGTGGACACTCGGATTCAGATATTTAGCAGGGACTGCGATAGGTCTGAAGTTTAGGAGACCTTGGAACTAAAGATACAAATTTTGGACTTACTGGAGTGCACAGAATTTGTGAAGGAAGGAATGTACAGAATGAGCAGAGAAGAGAGCATAGGAAGACTATCATAATCACTATATTTAGCAAAGTCTGGAAGTCATTGGTGCCCCTTAACAAGAGCAATTTCAGTGCAGCAACAGGAGTAAAAGCCAGTTTGTAAAGGCTGAGGAATGAATGGGAAGTAATCAAGTAAAGATAGGCAGTGATTCCTAATTCTTCAGGAAACCTGGTCATGAAAAGGAAGGCAAAAAAGAGGGCCATTGTGAGAGGGGATTGGCAGCATTAAGGCAGGTTTTGTTGTTTTTAAAGACAAGGGGGTCCAAAACAGAGGACATTTTGCAAAATAACTGGCTCATGCTCATCAAAATGTCAATGTCATAAAACACAAAGACTGGGTACTGTTCCAGATCAAAGGAGACAAACTTATGAAAACTGCGTGCTACCAGGATCTGGGATTCTTTTTTGCTGTGAAGGACATCACTGAGACAAGTGAGATTGAAAAGATCTGTAGATCAGATAATAGTGTTTTATTAATTTTAATAACCTGATTTTGATGATTTTATTGGGGTTACGTAAGAGAATTCCCTTAATTTTAAGAAATGTACACTTAAGTACTTAGGGACAAAGGAGCATCAGGTCTACAACTTGTTCTCAAGTGGTCCAGAAAAATGTTTCTACCCACATGCACACCATAATATATGGGAACTTTTTGGTACTATTCTTGTACGTTTTCTGTATGTCTGAAATTATGTCAAAATAAAAGTTAAAAAGAAAAATAAAAGATAGGAGCATCCTTTCATGGACTGCCCTCACCATATACACAAATTTGCTCTTCTTTTGCAGTGACCAACTTCAAGCTTACCCCAAATTGCTCGTTTTTCTCCTGACTGTGGTTTGCCTGAAGGTATGCCTCAGGGGCATCATCAGTAAAGTCATCACCAAATACTTTAAATTCTATGAAAACACTACCTAAGAAAGAAAGACTTTCACAAAGTACAAGTTGAGAAGGGTCCTGGGTCCTGGGGACCATTACTTACCTGTGTATGACAACATCTTTCTGCTGCCCTACTCGGTAAATTCGGTCACAAGCTTGATCTTCAAGTGATGGATTCCTGTTAGAAGACAGCTAAAGCTCAAAGGAACTGACATACTAGATCAGAAATGGCAAACTATGGGCCATGGGCCAAATCCAGCCCACAGCTTGTTTTTGTAGCTAAAAATTATTGTTACAGTTTTAAAGGGATTTAAGAAAAGAAAGCAAAGCAAAACAAAACACACACATCATGTGACAGAGAACTATGTGGCCTGAAAAGCCTCAAAGAAAAAAAATCTGTCGATCCCTGTCCTAAGCTATACTGGCCTAAGACAAGCTGGTGCCAGATACCTTCTTGCCTAGTTTCTAGTGAGAAACTAGGGTCAGACTGTTAATAATAGCTCTTAGCACTATCATCAGTTGACAACTCTTAAGTAACAGAGGTGAAACCAAAACTCAGGTCTGGTCTCTAGGTAGCTAGATGTCCTTGGGCAAGTTATTTAACCTCAGTCCTCTAGGCTTCAGATTGCTACTTGGAAATTGAAGGGCCAGCTAATGATCTTGACTAGCTGCCTTTTTCAACTTGAATATTCTGTGATTCGATTAAGGAGACTTAATTTGTTTCCTTCTTTATTGATTCCCATTGTAACTCCAAATTAGTTTCTCATCTTACCTCTTTAAAATCTTGGATAACATTTCTCTATCTCTGAAAAAAAAAAAAAAGCATGATTCCTAGTATGCTTTCCTCACTCACGTGTACAGAGGAGTCCCAAGTAAGAACTAAACCCGTTCTCCTGGAAGATGATAACAGGTTGACCTATTTGTACCCATCTGGGCTGTCTGGAGAATTGGACCAATGACAATCCCCAGCAGCAATCCTTGATTGGCATAACTGGAAAACCAGAAACTGGTACTCATTATGAGATTTTCTGTTAGCAACACACTAACTCATTCATTCTGTAGCCACGAAAGATGTGGTTGTACTCCTGGTATTAACACTACATACAATGAATCCAAGGGTGAGGTATTAAGTGTATTTCTAACATAATTAGAAAATCCCTATTCCTTTTCTTTTTGGAGTAATGCTTCTCCCTCTTTTCAAAGGTTGAAATTTCCTTGGACCCCAACAAGTGTGTCTGGAATACAGTATTCTGGAGAAGAGGTAAAACTGAGCAAGGTTAACTCTTAGCCATGAGGAAAAGCTATGCTCCCCGTTTCCATGGAAACAGATGTTAGACTAACAATAACGTGAATGAACTATTTTGAGTAGTCATTTGAAGGCTTGCTAGCTCAGGAATTCAGGGGAGTCAGCTAGCCCTATACCCTGCTTAGATCTGTATCTATAGACACATACAAAGCAAGGCATCTCTGCAATACGAACACAGCAATCAACATAAGAAGTCAGTTCTTGCTGCCCCTGTAGCCCACTGGCCTCCTTGATGTGCTGTGACAACCCAGGACAAATCCGGAATCATTACCAGTGCATGTCCAAAAGAAAGAGGTGATTTCCTCCAGTCAGGTTTAGACCAACACCTCCGGCCAAGAGAGAGATTAGCATTACCTTCAAAAGGAAACACAACATTAACTTTAAACAGACTTGGTCTCGTAACACATCTCGGTCTCAGGTTTAAGTCCACAATCAATACAGATAAGCACTGTGTTCCTATCAAATTTCCTTCTGCTGTTATAAATTGTTTTTTTTTTTAACATTATAATGCTATCTCCCATGTCTCACTTTTGAGAAAATTCTCACATCACATTTTGTGTGTGTGTGAGTCAACCTCAAAAAATTAACTGAGTGCTTGCCAAAATATATAAATACTGTAATTTAGAACCCTGGGGATGGTCAGCTCAATAAACTTTCAATTAACCAGATTATGTTTATTTCATCAGTCCCTACCCCTCCATTGCTACAATAATTCTCCTGCCTATCATTCTACTAATGCTTTCCAAATCTTTATTATCTATAATTAGATGCCTGTGTTCTTTCATTTCCTTCCATATTTCCTCATACCAAAACCCCACCTATCCTTCAAAGCTTGCCTCCTCTGCAAAGATTCCCCTCAACCTAACCAGCTCTGCTGTTAATCTCCTTTTAGTCCTCATATTTGATTCTTTTTAGAATATTTGTGCTCTTTAAAAGTATCCCAATACATGTCTAATAAATTCTAAACACTCGGAGGAATCAAGGCTGTAAATATTTTTAAGTTGCCATATCAGAATTCTCTTTATATGGCTGGGCACGGTGGCTTACGCCTGTAACCCCAGCACTTTGGGAGGCCAAGGCAGGTGGATCACCTGAGGTCAGGAGTTCAAGACCAGCCTGGCCAACATGGTGAAACCTCATCTCTACTGAAAATACAAAAATTAGCCAAGCTTGGTGGCAGGAGCCTGTAATCCCAGCTACTTGAAAGGCTGAGGCAGGAGAATCGCTTGAACCCGGGAGGCGGAGGTTGCGGTGAGCCAAGATAGCACTATTGCAGTCCAGCCTGGGCAACAAGAGCAAAACTCCGTCTCAAAAAGACAAAAACAAAAACCAACCAAACAAAAAGAATTCTCTTTGTATAACTCAGAACAGTTAATTATGCGGCTCTGATGTGACCAGCTTGTACCTGAGGGCCTCTGGAGTGGTTAAATGCCTCTACCAAGTCCATTCTCTGCTTGGGATTGACAGAGCCATCGATGGTGGCATAAGTCAGTCCATGCTTCTTCAGGTGCAATGCTACAACTTTCAGCATGTTGGTCCACTGAGAGACAATGACACTGGAAAGAAGAATAAAATAAAAAAATACCCTAACATAGATTAAACAGACTCATCTGCAGGGCTTTAATGCCCTCATCATTCTTAAGGTTAGCTATCAAATGTTGACAAGGAAAGGCCTTCTGCTACCTAAGGGAGAAGGCACACATTTAGGTCATATCTGAAGATTATAATGCTTCCAGTTATTTCTAGGTCCTTTCTACAATTTATTTAGTGCTAAATGAAGTCAGAAAAAAATGGTAGCTAGAGTAAAGTGATGACTCCAGCCTTCTTTCATTTGGGGTCCTAGTGCTCATCCAGAAATCTGTGGTCCTGCACAAAAGGGACACACTGACCACCCTTCTTGTGCCAGCCAGAACAACAGGCTCCTCCCTGCCCCCACGCTGTCTTAATTCGAGTTCTAAATTTTTATATTGAATTATTTTATAAATAATGCAGGTGTATAGCACATATGTCAGGTATAACAAATGAGTCCTTGTATCCAAGTACTCAGCTTAAGAACGTTATCAGCACTGCTGGAGCCTCCTCACTCGCTTGCTTTTCTTTATATGCTTCTCTACTTTTAAACACTTTTTCAGATGCTTCGCTTACCCTGATCCTCTAGGGATCTCCTTTTCAATTTGTACCACAAATATTTTAATTAGAAATCACAGGGAATGTGTGCTATAACCTCAGTGCTTTCTGCTGAGCATGACTCACAGTCCTTGATTTATAACTCTTGGCAATATCAAATTTTCTCACATAATTATGACCAATACTTGGATAATGAGAAAACGCAGTTACCTCTTTTGGGATGCTGAATTTCTTTGAATTGCCTCCAATTCTGCCAACAGAGATGAAATCTGGGAAAAGGTTACATCAACATTGTATGTTTAAGCAATTCACTTTTCTCCATCTCCCCTCACCTGCCATGCGAAGCAGCCTCCTACATGGCGTCTGTGCTCTGGCCTCACCTGTCTTTATTCCACCCTCCTCTCTGCAGCCAGAAAGCTCTTTCTAAAATGTGAGTTTGTCACTTCACCCCTCTGGCTAAAGCCCTTCCATAGCTTCCCACTGAGGATAAAGGCCAAGCTCCTCAAGGCAGCTTGCCGGATTCTTGCTGCTCCAGCCTCTGCTTCTCTGGGTTCGTTTCTCACCATGCCCTCCTCAAACGACACAGCAAGCACACCAAAATTCTTCCCATAAATCACACACTGGCCATCTTGTCCATTCTGCTCCCTCTGCCTAGAACACCCTTTTGTGTCAGCTTAATGTCACTTCTTCTTGGAGGTCCTCCCAACCCCCAAAGTACAGGTTAGGTGCCCACTGCCCAAGTACTATCATAGCACCTTTTGTTTCTATTATCACGGTCCTTGTCATACTGTATATTAATTGCTTATTATCTCTTGCTTCCAGGACTTGAGACACTCCAAGGAGGCAAATATTAGGAAAGTAACTTCTCTGTTTCGGCCATGTGTGAGGGGCTGTGAGTACACACATGGCCAAAACAGAGAAGATACTCTCCTAATGTTTGCTGAAGAAGAAAGTGAAAGAGCTTTACCCACTTTATGGCCTGCTCCAAATGTTGTTGAAAAGGACCTGTCCAGACGGAGGAACCATTGTTAAAGCTTCCGAACAGGCTCCCTGGGTATTCCCCAAGAACCCTTAGGGTGCACTTGAGTCCACAGGGGAGCTGTCAGTAAGAACACGTGGGGCATGACTTTGGAGTGCAGCTGGGCTCATTCTTCCCAGCTGCTCATGTGAAAAACCTTTCAAGAGCCTCTAAGGGCCCCAGAGTTCACCCCCAGAATGCTGGAGAAGGAAGAAAACTGGGCTGTAAGTCAATCAGGAGACAAATATACAGAAGTTCTTCCTCTGTCCTCATATGGCTGGACCACTTTGGGACTCAGATTCCTCATCAGTGAAAAGAAGGACTTAGGCCAGATAAATTCTGAGGTGCCCTGAGCTCCCACATTCTAGGATGTCATTACAGTGGTCACCACATGGGGCTGCTTTCCAATCTTAACAAACATTCTGGTGCCTAGGCAGGAAGTGAGTCACAGAACTGTACCATTCAAATTAGCAGACAGAAAAGCAGCTACATCTGTTATTTAGTTAACAATAGAACAGAGACACTGATGTGCCTGGTGTCTTGGCAACTTGAGATTGTGGAAGGCGCTGTGACTCCCACATGAAAAAGCTAGCCATGGTGTTTTGAGAAAACTGCAGCAGGAGGGCTGGATTTATGGCCCACGAGCCGGGGTCAAATTCCAGTAAGAAGCCTCCTTCCCTACTTGAAACAACCGTATGTGGTTTGAACTATTAATGGACATATGTTAAGAAAACTTGTGAATAAATATTACCTGCATTTAATTAAACAAGGAACACAAATGATTAGGAATTTAAATTTTAGCCCAATAGCTCACTCTGAAGGCACTAGCATGTGTGTTCTGGCCACATGGGATGCTCTTCTTATGTTTCTCTCAGCTATCAGTGGTAAAGACCTAGGTAAATGTTTTCAAATTTTAATTAAAAGGCAGCATTCCTTTTAAAAAATAATGCCATTCCCCTGGAAGTGACCTTTCTAGTTATTAATACACTTTTTCAAAAAAAGCCTTTGAAGAGAGGTTGAGCCCAAGAACGGCAGCTTGAGATGCTAAGAGAGAAACAAGCCTCACTTTCAAGACAGGCAGGATGATGAAGCACATTCCGAGCCAGCAGACAGGCAGGATTCAGGTTACGGCATATCTAAGCCTTCCTCCAGCAGAATGTTTCTGCCTTAAAAAGCTCTGACGAAAACAGAGCAGAATGACTAATGAAGACAGAAGGCTATGTAGGAAACACTACTCACATGTGGAAGCCTTTCAAAGTCAGAGCAATTGGCGCTCGCATGTATGACACAGTCTCTAGAGTCAAGCCTTTGTTTTCCTTTTAAGCTTTCTCTAAACAAATTGCTCACTTGCATAGGCCCCGTCCCTAGCACAAACCTGGCAAGCTCCCCAGTGACCCATGACAGAAAACCCACTTCAGTGCAATGCTGGGGTTGTCCCAAATTACTCTCTCAAAGTCCCCTATGTAGTAAGGCTTTAGTGTTATCTGTGAAATAAATGAAGCTTTAAGACTGGAGGGAGAATCTGATCAGCTAGAATTTAACGGCTCTAGCTCTGCTGGCAAATGGCTGTTCCCACTTGGACAAATGAAGTGCTGTCACACAGGAAAATGTGTGAGGAATCGAAGTCTCTCGACTACTACAGAGGAGACAAAAAGTACCTTGGTGCTCTCTCGCATGCCTTCAAAAAGCTCCATCTTGAAGAAGGTGCCGTTAAGGGAAACAGTGGAAGATGGCTCTGAGTCACGGAGTTCTGACAAGGTCAAAGCACTGAGCTGTTCTTCCAGGGAAAGGACAAGACCTTCACCCTTCAGTTCCATTGGATCCAGGGCCTGAACAGACAAAAAAGGACAGGAGCAGCTGGGAGTCAAGGGAGCAAACCTTGTTACTTGTTGATGATGTTTTGATTGTTTACCACTTCACAGAGCAAAATATCTTGTAATTTGTCATCAGTAACTCCTCAAGACACCTTGATTAAAGTGTGATCTTGCAAGTTTTTTCACCACATTAAAGATAAACCAAATGATGGAACTTTTTAAAGACTTGCCAGGCAGATGACATAATCATTCTATTTTTTCCAAGCTAGAATATAATTGAGATGTTGATAATCAGAATACATTATTACAGCTCCTTAAATGAATAGAATACTCCTCTTAATTTTGGATGTGCCTCTATCCAAGGTAGGGGCAACTTTTCAGTCTGTATAACTATCTGAGTTTTTATAACTGGAACCCAAAACCCCAAAACTGCCTGAAAGCAGAAAACCCCAAGAACTAAATTAGCTTTATGACATTCTGAAGTACCAGAGCATTCACAAATGGCTTCTTTTTAAACAAAATATCATTTTCTTTTCTTAAACAGTTAATCTAAAACAAAATAAACAATAGAAATACACTATTCTTGATGCCATAGGAATTATCAAGATTAATATGAAATAAAGCAAAATAAATAAGCCCCCTTTTCTCCAACCCACCAAAAAACAAAAATAGAAAAACCGAAACAGCATTTCCTTTGATCAAGCAGACTGGATTCCAGTTGGAGGAGAGTGAAATTGACTTCTCAGGTGGCCCCTCTGGAGCACTATATGACAGCAGGCTGAGGGCTTTTCTTACCGACTTCAGTAAAGAAAGATGACAGCAACACTGGCGGAGTCTCAGCAACTGGGACAGTATGTGGACGGTGCTGGATCTCGGTGAGTCTGCTGCCTCCGAGTGTCTAGGCTCCTCAGACCCAAACTCCAGTGCCACTTCCAAGAGGGAAGACAAGCCACAGGATGGTACAGGATTTAAAAGAGAAATACGGAGAGAGCCAGGAACTACATGGGGCTACTTTAACCATGTTTGATCTCAGACTCAATAATATAGTTACAACTCACTTCTATAGGCCACTTCAATTAGGCCAAATGAAATATCGGTTTTTCCTTATAGAACTACCTGCATTTTAATAAAGCAGATTTAGGAAACAATTAAAAAGAAGCTAAATAAACACCAGATCTCGTGTTTGCAATCAGTAGATTTTACTCTGGTTTGAGGGTCTTAGTTAACGCCAAATCTCTGATACCAAGGATTCATAACCTCACATTTCTGTGTTTTACTGAATCCAAATCCCCATTTTCACCAGTCATATGTATTTATGAGAGTCCTACAGCTTACCTCTACTGAATGGATTATTAGGGCTTCTTCCAGATTGGTTGCCTCTACTTTCATGTCTTTTTAGATAGGATTGCAGAGCTGACCTGCCTCAGATTAAAAAGAAAAAAAATGCATGTATAATGGTCACTAAGACCTGCTTAACTGTGCCTGCAGTGGGATCTTGACAAATTATAGAAGACTTGTTAAATGATGCCAAGCTCATAAGAAGCAATGGCCAAAGGTAATGCAAAAGAAACAGTTATTTTAAAAAACCAATCTTTTTTTAAAATAAGCTAACAAATATAAGGTGTAAAAGAAGAAAAAATATATTTACATTAGAAATGTAAATGAGAGGTACCAAATAGGAAACAGTAAATCTGGAATTCAGGGAAAGATAAGAGTTCAAGAGAAAGTGCAAAGAACAGATGACACAAAGGATTACAAAGTCATCTTCTTAAAGTTCCGGTGAGATGCTGGATGACAGGTCAAATGTCAAAGAGATATTATTATTCAGTACAGCCCCATGAGGACCAGACAGATTCAGTATATGGTGACCACACCCTATGACTTCTATGCAAGGAAGCCAATGAAGAGTAGGTTCAAAATTTTGCCTTCCATGTGTGTATGAGACAGAGGTAAGCTGGGGAGGGGAGAAGGAGAAAAATGGGGTAAAAAAAAAAAGGGAATACAGACATCCAACTAATCAATAATGCCATAAAGTTTGTGGAAATTTGACCTTCAACTCACTCCCAAGAAAAGACAGGAATAAAACAATGTGTGTGAGAAGGTGCTTCTTTAATACACACACCTTGATCTTGCAAAAAACACATTGTAAACAGTCTCTTCATCTTCAGAAAGCTTTAAATGGTGCAACTGAAATTTACGCTGGGGCAGTATCACCTGGAAGAATAAAAAAAAAAGCTGGCATGAAGCTATACAAATTAACTGCCTATTATAGAACAAATTCCCCATACTGACACTGCATATCTAGTCAACCCTGGAATGCAGCTTCCACCCTTTCTTAGACACAGGACTGCTCCAACATACAGTACAACTGGATTGCTATGACACTAGGCATGGAACTGCAACCCTGGGGCCTCCTCACAGGAGGATGGGAAACTCAGAGGCTCCTGAAGCAAAGCAGATGGCTGTTCAACCCAAGACAAGGACACAGTCATGTTCCTTCCCTGGCCTCCCCCAGGGACAGGTACAAACTTGATTACCAAAGGTCTGCCAGTAGAGTCCAGCTGGTCTTTTGTTCTCCTCAGCAAAAGGCTCTTGGTTAAAATACTTAACCGTTCTCCTCCTTTCTTTGAGCCATTGTCAACCTGACTCCTCCACAGATTGAACTCATCAAATGGAGAGCAACGGAGAAACCTTTTTTGTTGAGGAAGAAGGGCACAGAGTAGGGAAGGAAAAGTCAGGGAGAATGGAATAAAGGTTCAAAGTAAGATATAAGATGACAAATCAGATTTTCTGTTACACCTGTCATCCAATCACTTTTAAAAGTGAATTTCATAGCAAACCTTTGCTGGACAGATCAAAAGGATGTAAGTCAATAACAAAACCACATTATAAAAATGTGAGTTTTCCTATTAACGATGCCTACGCTGTCACAACAAGACATATAACCAACAGCTAGAATTTGTTCCTAAAGCTACAGGAGCTAAGAAAGAAATTTCACATCCTCTTATGGCTGACTCGAATAAAAATAAGTATTTTATTTTTAATTTTTTTCTTTAGAGACTGAGGTCTTGCTCTGTCACCCAGGCTGGAGTGCAGTGGCATAATCATAGCTCACTGCAGCCTTGAACTCCTGGGCTCAAGCGATCCTCCTGCCTCAGCCTCTCGAGCAGCTGGGACCACAGGTGTACACCCCTGTGCCTGGCTAATTTTTTAATTTTTTGTAGAGGTGGGGTCTCATTTTACTCCCCTGGCTAATCTTGAACTCCTGGCTTCAAGCAATCCTCCCACATCAGCCTTCCAAAGTGTGGAGATTACAGGTATGACCCACTGCACTCAGCCAAATGGAAATATTTTAAAATCAACATTCTTTTTTGTTTGCTTCAAATAAATTGTAGTGCTAGCCCTAGACCATATGTTTTAAAGCAGAAGTAGCCGAAAACATTCACTGGACTTAAGAATAATTTTTGCATATATATATATATATAGCATATATTTGCATATATTTTGCATATATTTTGCATATATAAAGTCCTATATTTTTGCATATATATATAAGGGCTGAATGTAATCAAAGTCCTATATCAACCAATCAACAGCTATTTTCTCATAAATATTTATTCTTTTGTCCTTTAAAGGTTGACAGGCCTGCCATCTCCTAAACAAGATAATCTGGCACATACTAAGGCTTTATTATGAGACATGAAATAATGATGAAGGGATACAGACAGGGTTCATATTTACACAATCACGAGAAGTTACTCACTTCAGCAGCGAATACATATCCAATAAGTTGTTTTGAATGGGGGTTCCAGTGACAGCCCAACGGGCACAGGCTTGTAGCTTACACACAGCTATGGAAGTCTGCACTCGGGGATTCTTAACATTGTGAGCTTCATCCAATATGATTCGAGCCCAGGCTATTCGAAGCAAAGGTGTTGAGGTGCCCTGGAAGAATCACAAGTGAAATCCAGCCACAATATGGGAAAATGTACATGTCCTTAAGGACACAAGGGGAAATAGCAGGCAAGCATGGAGGACCCACATTTACCTTTAAATTTGCTTAGCTCAGGTACACTGAAATAAGAATTAAGAAACCCAAGAGTAAAACGTCTCAACTGGTTCAAATAAGTTATTTGAGAGTCTCAGTCTTTGAACATAAGATGTCTAAGAGTAAAATGTTTTCAAATTTGGGTTTCCTTTTTTTTTTTGAGATGGGAGTCTCGCTCCGTCGCCCAGGCTGGAGTGCAGTGGCGAGATCTCGGCTCACTGCAAGCTCCGCCTCCGGGCTTCACGCCATTCTCCTGCCTCAGCCTCCCGAGCAGCCGGGACCACAGGCGCCCGCCACCACACCCGGCTAATTTTTTGTATTTTTAGTAGAGTCGGGGTTTCATCGTGTTAGCCAGGATGGTCTCGATCTCCTGACCTCGTGATCCACCCGCCTCGGCCTTCCAAAGTGCTGGGATTACAGGCATGAGCCACCGCGCCCAGCCGACTTTTCTTTTATTCTTTAAATACACACTTAAGCAATGGCTGTAGACCATGACTACACCAGGCATTGAACCTGCAAATTCACTCACTCAATAAAACATTTACTAAATTTTACTAAATTTACTAACAATTTTCCAAAAGTCTACTTTTAGATGTGAGATGCTAAACCAGATATAAAAAACAGTTCCTACCTGCAAGAGCTCAAAATCTAGCAGGGGAGAAAAACAAGTGTAAAGATAATTACAATACGATATAGATATAGTAAGTCCCACTGGCTAGTTCAATACCTGAAGTGGGAATCTGGCTGCTCTTGACGAAACAGCACCTGACCCATAGTGGATACTCAACGTCTGCTGAAGAAACAAAGTGCTATAACTTATGTAAGCACAAGGTGCTGGCAGAGGCATTCAACCAAACCGGGGGAAGGTGGGAAGGGAGTGGTCCAGAAAAGATTCTTGAAGCAGGTTTAAAAAAATTAACCTGGGAGAAGGAGTGGAGGCAAAGCGTTTCATTCGGAGGGAGAACAGACACAACACTGTGACAGAGCATGGTGGGAACTACAGATCCCTTGGTATGACTGAGCAAGAGGTGCCCCAGGGAGGGGCAGGGTGTCATCAAGAGATGAGCGACATACAGGTAGGGCAAGATCATAAAGAGCCTAATATGGCCAGGCATGGTGGCTCATGCCTATAATCCCAGCACTTTGGGAGGCCGAGGCGGGTGGATCACTTGAGGTCAGGAATTCGAGACCAGCCTGGCCAACATGGCGAAACCCCATCTCTACTAAAAATACAAAAAATTAGCCGAGCATAGTGGCGGGCACCTGTTATCCCAGCTACTTGGGAAGCTGAGGCAGGAGAATCGCTTGAACCCGGGATGCAGAGGTTGCAGTGAGCCAAGATCGCACCATGCACTCCATCCTGGGCGACAGAGTGAGATTCTGCCTCAAATAAATAAATAAATGAAGCCTAATACATCATGAAAAGAAATTTAGGGTTTATCCCAAAAGCAATGGAAAACCAGTGAGCAATCTGAAAAGTTCATCATCTATAAGTCAGAGTTGGTTATAAGCTGGAGAAATGTTCTAGAGATCTCTCCAAATACAGAAACCTGTGAATATCCCGTTGGGCTAAAAGGA
Source organism: Homo sapiens (assembly GCF_000001405.40). NCBI lineage: Eukaryota > Metazoa > Chordata > Mammalia > Primates > Hominidae > Homo > Homo sapiens. The sequence goes on along the minus strand of NC_000001.11, from coordinate 117,087,119 downwards.
TAACATATAGAAAAATGAGTTCTTGGGATAATACTGTATTTTCAGAGTATAATTACATGATAAAGCCTCTACATCACATAACTGAGGCTGCCCTGGACACCCTAGAAGACCATCACGTATTCACAATTGTCACTTAGCCTCTGGCCTTATTATTTGCAACCCTTTTTTTTTTTCTGGGAAGTAAAGGGAGGCAGGGAAAGATGGCTTAAAATCAAAATACTAGTAGTAAAATACTAGTCTGCACAATAAATATTAAAAATATCATGAGTATATACCCCAAATACTCTAAAATAAAAATAGCAACAAGTAAGGCTTTTATATATTCAGGTGATTATTACCCCCACAAATACAATGCAGTCATCTTTCATTCTAAAAGGCAGCTGAATCCTGTGGCATAGGTTGATCTTTATCACTGAGGTGGTTGTCTGGAATAAGGGTGATGGGATAGAGGAAAGAACAATTCCTTTCCACATGCGGATCATTTACAGCATTCCTGACCTCCAGGGAGGTCCTCTTGCTATCGTGGAGGCTGAGAAAGACTCCCATTAAACCATCTGTGGCTCCAACTCCACTTCCCTGGCTGCCCCCCAGCCTCACCTCCACATTGAGGTTTGCACCTGGGATCTCTGCCTCTTGCTTGTTTGTGGGAATCTCCTTGGCCACGAGGCTATAGGTAGTGATCACGATGTCATATGTAGAGAGGCTGCGTAGACATAACAAAGAAATCAATAAATGGTCCCACTATAGAGGGACAATGAGAGAGGCAGAGTTGATCTTTCAATAAAAATGCCTACAAATGGAAGGACAAACAGCAGAACTCATTAACTTGTGTCCTTAACACACACACGCACACACACACACACACACACACATTTTGGAGGTAAATTTTACCCACTTGGGTTTCCCTATCTCTTACCTCTGATCATTTACCGTCTGCTCACTATAGCTACCACAGCCTCCCTCTTACCATCCAGTGAGTCAGAAAGAAAATTCTCTGGCTGGGATAATATAATGCTTAATATGATCTGGCCAGAACAGAAAGTAGGATAGAGTTGGGAAATAACAGAAAGTAGGATAGAGTTGGGAATTAACATTTAATAATGATTTGAGATGGATGACACCAAAGTCCCAGGGGAGAAAGATAACTTCAAAACACTGTTCACCTTGTATCAATGGTGCTTTCCTCCCACCACTCTATAATGGATTTGTGAAAATTCACTGATCTAGTTTGACATTAAGATATAAAAATACATGCTGTAAGCTTTCAGTGTATCTTGCTTATACTCCTTACATATAAAGATTATTAATGAGAAACACAAATCTTTTTCCAGTGAAGCTTAATATTGTGAGAACTTCAATAAATACTTTATTTTATTTATTTATTTTTTGAGACAAGGTAGGGTCTCACTCTATCCTGTCTCAAAAGTAAATAAAATAATAAAATAAAATAAAGTATTTATTGAAATAAAGTAAAATTCTGCTAATCATAGATCAAGCCAAGTTTATATTAAAAGGGAAAAATTATCACTTATAATTAGCATACTCAGCATCAGAAATGATAATAATAGGTGAGTAACCTACCCTGGTCATCCAGACTGGAGTGTAGGGGTGTGATCTTGGCTCACTGCAACCTCCACCTTCCAGGCTCAAGCGATTCTCCCACCTCAGCCTCCCAAGTAAATGGCACTACAAGTGCACACCACCACACCCAGCTAATTTTTGTATTTTTGGTAGAGATGGGTTTCACCATGTTGCCTAGGCTGGTCTCGAACTCCTGAGCTCAAGTGATCTGCCTGCCTCGGCCTCCCAAAGTGCTCGGATTATAGGCATGAGCCACCATGCCCAGCCCCAAGAGAACCTCAATAAATACTTTTGATAAAAATGATATGCCTAATTCAGAGAGGCAGCAGTGTCTACAAGTTACCCTACTATCATATAAAGAAGTATAATTCAGAATGATTCTAATCGGTCAACTAGTACATTCTAAATACCAAACAAGTTAGGCTCAAAGTACAAATCAAGTGAGATTCAATTTATTTCTAAATAAAAATTTAGCACAAAGGCAGACAACTCACAGTAATCTATGCCAGGGAAGGCCTGCAGGCCTGCCACTGCCACCCTGATGCCTTTTGCCTGCAGAAGCGACTCTCAGTCATGAGAACTGGCCTGTCATAAGACAGAGGGGCACCAATCTAACAACTTACTCCTGAAAGACTGCCGCCCCGTTCTTTAGGAGATAAAATATCCAAATTGGAGGCTGGGGAGAGAAATTACTTAGAGGCAGAAATAACTTTGTTCTCATCCTTGACTACAGCAGCCAGTATTCAATCTAGATCTTCACTCCGCAATTAAGAACAGAAAACAATTCCTTTAAAACCAAAAGACAAAGACTAGGACTAAGATTGCCATGTGGGGAAGCATTTTCTTCCCTCCTTCCTGAGCATCCCTCTTCAAGAATTTATAGTTAACTCTAATCGTCCTAAATTATTGAGTCTAAAGCATCTTAGATGGTTCATATATTAAAAAGTCATAAAAATATAATCAACCTATAGCAACTAATCATTAGCATTCTATCAAGATGCTCTGTAGAACTGGGCTGGTTCCATTCACACTATGTACACCTGGAATCAGAACTCCAGCAGCCATGAGGGCCTTGCGACACATCTCCTTGACTAGGGGAATGCTGCTGTCACCTGAATGGCAGCTCCGGCATCTCAGGCCTCCTCACAGGGCAGCTTTCATTGAGGACAATGACAAGGACACAGCAAAAGATCACCAGTAGACCTCAGGATACAACGCAAAGGCTGTATGGTGACGAGACTAAAGATCTGTCTTTGGCTTTCACAAATACGCGTCCTGATTAAGTGAAATCTCAGGGATGGGAGCAAAGGCCCGTGGGCCCTTGGGCAGAGGTGCTGAACGCCCCCACAACTGCGTATTCCTGCACTTACACTCTGGCACGTGAATCCCGGTTTGGCCCATGGTAGAGATAGACTCTTAGTTTGTTGCTGTTCACCCGTTTCTCCACCTCATTTTTCCAATGATGGATCAGGGAGGCAGGACAGATGATTAGTGTTCCATGGGAAGTAAAGTCACAAGAGTCTTGAGAAGGGAAAAAAATCAGTGCCTAGTTACATTCACCAAATGGCTTTTAACTTTTCTTTTTTAATATATGGAGACACGGTCTTGCTGTGTTACCCAGGCTGTCTCAAACTCCTAGGCTCAAGTGATCCTCCTGCCTTAGCCTCCCACAGTGGAATTACAGGTGTGAGTCATCGTGTTTGACCGGCCTTTAACTTAAAGGCATTACCTCTTCCTCTTGACTGACTTTACTCCTTCAATTAATATGTTTAACCATTGCTCTTATTTCTATACAGAGCCTATAGTGAAGTAGGAAATGGAAGAAATGGTCTTTTAAACTGAAACACTTGATTACTTATTTTCTCCACTAAAAGTACAGGCAGAAAGAGAGGCTAAACAGGGGGAGGAAAGTGGGTGGCACATGACCTCAGTGTGAAAAAGCAATGTGCTTTCACAGAGTGGCTGGAAGTGAAAGCTGGATCATTTCCTAACTCCTCTTGAGTTGATTCATTATAGAGGCGTATGGAGTATTGTTATACTTTCTGAAAAGCATAACTTAATGTACTTCTACCTTAAAATTAAGTACAGAAACCTTTTTTAAAAAATAAGCAAACATTGGTTTGGAACCAATTAGTGATGGTTTGTTTATACCATGGCCCCTCATCTCTGCGTGTGTGTGCCTGTGCTACTTACACATACTGCTAGTACACACAAAGGGATATAGGACCCAGCTGCAACAGTGCTCATTAGAGGCCCTGAGAGCAGATGCCACAGATTTTTTTTTTTTTTTTTTTTTTGAGACGGAGTCTCGCTCTGTCACCCAGGCTGGAGTGCAGTGGCACGATCTCGGCTCACTGCAAGCTCTGCCTCCCAGGTTCATGCCATTCTCCTGCCTCAGCCTCCTGAGTAGCTGGGACTACAGGCGCCTGCCACCATGCTTGGCTAATTTTTTGTATTTTTAGTAGAGACGGGGTTTCACCGTATTAGTCAGGATGGTCTCGGTCTCCTGACCTTGTTATCCGCCCACCTCAGCCTCCCAAAGTGCTGGGATTACAGGCGTGAGCCACCATGCCCGGCCCACAGATTTTTAATCTATCTAAGCAACTGAGAGCTGTACTTGAATACATGGCAACTTACATGTAGTGTTGTCTATACATAACATATTCAATCTTTAAAGTACTTATAAAGTTATTACTTTTTATTTAATTTTTTTTAAGAGACAGTGTCTTGCTTTCTTGCCCAGTTGGCCTCAAGCTCCCAGGCTCAAGTGATTCTCCTGCCTCTCCTCCCTCAATTGGGACTACAGGTGCATACCACTGTGCCTGGCTAAAGTTACTACATTTTAAAAACATATGTTAAGATAGAAAGTGTCTATAATCTAGGAACTTCTAGAATTTCAGAAACATGGAAAATAGCTTCCACTATAGTGACTAAAATGTGAATTTGTGACAGATCTTCCTTTAAAAAAATTAATTTGAATCTACCCTGTAGTTATTTCCCCAATATTTCCAAAAATAATAATTATTGGCCAGGCATGGTGGGTCACACCTATAATCCCAGCACTTTGGAAGGCTGAGGCAGGATGATTGCTTGAGCCCAGTTGTTTGAGACCAGCCAGGCAACATGGTGAGATCCTATCTCTACAAAAAAATTAAAAAATTAGCTGGGTGTGGTGGTGCAAACTTGTGGTCCCAGCTACTTGGGAGGCTGAGGTGGGAGGATCGCTTGAGCCAAGGAGGTTTAGGCTGCAGTAAGCTGTGTTCATGCACTGCACTCCAGCCTGAGCAACAGAGCGAGACCCTGTCTCAAAAAATAAGAATTATTATTATGCTTAAATTAAGTGTTCTAGAGCCTCAGCTTTCTCCATAAAATTCTGCCTAGTTTATAGGCAAATTTATACGGAAAAAATGATCACTTATAATTAGCATACTCAGCATCAGAAATGATATGATAGGTGAGTAATCTAATACTGGTTTTCCAGTAGAGTAATTAAATATGACCAAAGGTGTCCTTTTTTAGCTGAAGACGTTCCCCTCTTGGGTGGCTCAAATGACGTAGGGAATGGCAGGCTATTAAGGCACTTCTGTCTACCATCTTTGGAGAGCCACGTCAAAGCTGTGCTTTTCTCCTTTTCTTCCTTTTTCTCTTGATTCTTCTGGGTCAGGATGAGCGCAATCATTGTCAGGGTTTTTCCTAAGCCCATATCATCTGCTAGAAAATAAAAGCAAAATTAAGAGAGTTAATTGCTTAGGGCAAATAATCAACCCTAGTTCAAGAGGAGAAACCACTGGCAGACATTTCCCCATTGTTCTCTGTCAGTGCCACTCCGTCACTACTCTGTGCCTACCTTAATGGCTCCTTTATCTTCCTTATTCAGCAGAACCCTAGCACTTGCTCTTTACTTTGAGATCTAGGTCCAAGACATTTACTATGACTCTTGTAAAATTTAAAACTTACAATTTGAATATTATTCTAGTCCCTATGTTATGTTATTACCCGCACAATGTGCTGACTGATATCTATTACAGTTTGATGATCCCTTACCTCCAAAAGCAAAAAATGTCCAGTAGATATATCCTACTACTTACTTTACCAGTACCAGAACATTCCTGGAGTTAAAATAGCCTTCCATTCCCTTAACTTATTCATCAAAAGAGGACATAAATGAACATTTCTTGGGTACTGTCATTGTACCAATCACTGAGCTTATCTAATTTATTATTTATACTCTACAGAATACGGTTATCCTCATTTTAACAGACTGCAACATTGAGGCTACTATAACCCATTCAAAATAATCATTCTGCCATAACAGAAGTGGAATGTCAGAGCATGGGCTCTGATTTAAATTCTGGCTCTGCTACTGTCCAGAAAAATAATTAACATAGCAGGCCCATAGGCCTGCCTGCTATCCTTTGAAAGGCCTGCTTACAAGGTTGCCTCTGGAAACTCGGATGTAAGGTAAGAGTTGCTCACTCTGCCTAAATTGTTTTGTACAAGCAATATGGTTTATGTTGAACACCTGCTTTCCTTCTAGGAGTAGGAAAACTTGGTATATACCAGGCTGAAGCCACCTGTGTAACCAGCTGAAGTAACCAGCCCCCAATAAAAACCTTGGGCATTAAATCTCTAATGAGCTTCCTAGGGAACCTTTGACGCCTGTTGTCACAACTCCCTGCTGGGAGAATTAAGCATATCCCATGTGACTCCACTGGGAGGACACTGGAAGCTTGTACCTGGTTTCCCCTGGATTCTGCCCCTGTGACTTTTCCTTTTGTTGATTTTGATCTATAGCCTTTCACTGTAATAAATCACAGCTGTGAGTATGACCATATGCTGTGTCTTACTAGCAAATCATCGAACCTGGGGGTGGTTTTGAGGACCACTGACACAGTCACTTACTAGCCATAGTGGACATCTATCATGGTTTCTGAAAATTGAACACCTTAGAAAATTTTAGCCTGACAAGTCCCCAAAGCAGAGTGGAAAACTTGCTTTCTGGTTTCTGTTGCAGCTAAGGCACTGGCAATATGACCTGGCTCTATATATCAGATGTACTCATAAACATCTTTAATTCAGGTATAAGCAGCTTTAGAAAGAGACTCCCTATGAAATCCTTTCTGCAGGAAACAGTGGCTATAGAAACAACTGACTTTGGGGTGGCACTGGTTGCCTCTAGCACTTGGTGAAGCAAAGTAGCTGTGATGCTTTTTATAGACTACTTTTAGGCCAGGTGTAGTGGCTCATGCCTGTAATCCCAGCACTTTGGGAAGGCCAAGGCAGGTGGAGCACCTGAGGTCAGGAGTTAGAGACCAGCCTGTCCAACATGGCGAAACCCCATCTCTACTAAAAATACAAAAAATTAGCCAGGCGTGGTGGCATCTGCCTGTAATCCCAGCTACTGGGGAGGGTGAGGCAGGAGAATCACTTGAACTTGGGAAGCGGAGGTTGCAGTGAGCCGAGATCGCACCACAGCACTCCAGCCTGGGTGACAAGAGCGAAACTCCATCTCAAAAAAAAAAAAAAAAAAGAGGGAGGCAATAGACTGCTGTTTGTGTGTTGGCTCTAGCCATGGCTCCTGAAATTGGCCTCGAGCCTGGCACTCCGTATCTCCTAGAGATTGTGGGAGCCACCAAAAAATAAACTCCTCCTCTCTTTAATCAGCCAGAGTCAGCTTCTACTGCTGGCAACCAACATCTTTGATCCTAAACTGTGTATTCTTGAGCAAGTTGCTTAACACTTCCATGCTTCACTTTCATCATCTGTAAAATGAGGAATAATAGTACCTGCCTCATAGAGTTCTTGAGAGGAATAAATGAAACAACACTACGTGTTTAGCACAATGCCTAAGCATTCAATAAAGGCTGACTCTTATAATACCACACTTACCCAGAATTCCTCCTTGTGGCTTCTGACTTTCTCGCCATAGTAACCAAGCCAATGCCTGCTTCTGGTGTAGTAGCAAAGGGACCTGACAAAGGTAATAACCAAATGCTAAGCATAAATTCCTAATGAGAGGCTATGCCGAGCCTGGCTACACGAACTCTACACTCTCCTATTTTCTACAAATGATTCCCTCAGTATTCTGTAGACAGTTCATTTCACCTTGAAGTCCTTAACAGCACCCTCTCTCAAGGGTAACCATACTGTCCTGGTCTGCCCCTGTTTGTTTTGGGTTGCATCTAATGTTCAGCATTTCTATTAAGAGTCCCCCCTACACCCCAAGTGAGAGTCCTGATTTGTCTGCTTAATCAGTCAAAATCAGTCTCTACAGCTTTTATTTTTTTATTTTTATTTTTTTGAGACAGCCTCGCTCTGTTGCCCAGGCTAGAGTGCAGTGGCGTGATCTCAGCCCACTGCAGCCTCCGCCTCCCAGGTTCAAGCAATTCTCCTGCCTTAGCCTCCCGACTAGCTGGAATTACATGCGTATGCCACCATGCCCAGCTAATTTTCTTATTTTTAGTAGAGATGGGGTTTCACCATGTTGGCCAGGCTAGTCTTGAGCTCCTGGCCTCAAGTGATCTGCCTGCCTCGGCCTCCGAAAGTGCTGGGATTATAGGTGTGAGCCACTATGCCCAGCTCTCTGCTTTTAACCAAGACCTCTGACCCTATTTTCAGCAGCCATTACATTGGCTTTTCATTATTTCCTCATTATCTCTTAAATTTGCCTCTCCTTTCTGCAGCCAATGTCCCAGTCTGCACTACTGGTCATAAATTTCAATAGCCCTTTGACCAGAGTCCCCCTTCTAGTCTTCTGTACTCCAGTTTATCTTGTACTCTGTTAAGAAAAACTAATCTTCATCAGTCATCCCTGCTTAAATGCTACAGCGATTCCATACTATCTCTTGAGTTATTCAGATCTAATCCTTCATCAATGCCAGGCTCCTACTCAGTAACATCACCTGCTACTGCTGGCTCAGGTACTGATGACAGCTGATCACCACTTCTGAATACCAATCTCTTTATCTTCCCACTAGTCACCACTCCCTCTAATTGCAGCGTTTTATTCCTTTCCTCTCTGCTATCTAAAGGCTTTCAACCTTTAAGGCACAAAGTAGGCAGACAACAAATAATCACTGACCTAGAGTGATGTTTCCTTTATTCTGAATCCCTTTTGTACTTTATAGTATATTACAAGGCACCCCTTATTTCTGCCTTAAAGCCTTTGCTAATTGTTTTATTTACATTGTATATGTATTTTCACCCCAACTAGTTCATTACAAGCAACAATTCCTTCACATTCTTGTGGCACCTACCAACTCAACAAATGGATCCTTTACTGCTACAGAAATAAGTAACTTTATGACTTTTTAAAAAAGGGGTTTTGTTGTTATTGTTTGCACTGTTAAGCATAAAAGGAGAGGATGCTGCAAGGGAAGCCATTTAAGCATCTGTCTGTAGGAAAGGTATCTCAGAAAGTCTCTCTGCCAGCAGTTTCATGGGGCTGCTGGAGCACTGTCATAGAGGACTACACCAGGAGTCTTCCCTGGCTCACCTTCAGCCCGGCGGGATCTTCTGCCACAACCGTCTCACCAGGACATGACTCAAGTGAGCGATGCAGTTGACCGATGGCTTCACTTGTGATTTTCCACACTGCATGAACGTGATCTTGGTTTGTATGGCCTGCATACAAATAGGTGTTACCTAAAAGATGTCACAAGTATGTTTTCTTTATCCCTTTAGAGTGAACTTAGCTACAAATGGCCCTGTATCTGTTTCTTACCCTCCTTGTTAACTACTCTCCTCAACTTTCCATGTCTCTAGCAGTTCTCAGTTGGGAAACAAGTGGCTTTTGCTTTTCTGGTCACTGCCAGCCAACCCAATCTCCAAGCTCCTATCTCCTGATCAGTCTCCTGTCAACTGATCCTATTACACATTTCAGGCTCCACTTGGAATCTTCATTCTGCAGTTACCTCTGAATTCAAAGTTGCCTAGAAAGTTCAGGAAGGAAACACTTAGCTAATAGGGTGTTATTGCTCTCTGTGGATCTATTAGTCATCAGTCTTGACTCATGTCTCTCCTCAGTCTTACACACACTTACACACACACGAAAGAATAAGAGCATATCTGCAGGTCTGCCTACCTCATAATGATGCGAGCTAGAGTTTTCATCCACAAATGCTGACTGGATGACTCCTATGTGCCAGCCACTGAGCTGACTAATCAGCATACAGTGGTGAACAAGGTAGACACAGTCTGTGCCCTCACAGAAAGCTAAGTAACACGATGCAAAGCTCTACTGAGCTGCACAATCTTTATTATATGGGCAACTTCTGACTTAAGAATGGCTTCTCCCCTCATGTGGGCACAAAGACATCTACGGTAGTCCCTCCTTATCCACAGGGCGTATGTTGCAAGACCCCCAGTGGATGCTTGAAACTGGATGGTACTGAACCCTACACATACTATGTTTTGGCTTTTTTTTTTCCCCATACGTACATACCTATTTTAAACTTTAATACATTAGGGACAGAAAGCATTTAACAATAATAATAAAATAGAAGAATTATAAGAATATACTGTAATAAAAGTTATGTGAATGTGGTTTCTGTCTCTTTCTCTCTCAAAATATCTTACTGTACTGTACTCACCTTTTTTTGAACCACAGGTGACTAAGGTTAACTGAAAGTGTGGATAAGAGGTGACTACTGTACCGGGTGGCACGTAACTCACAGGGGTGGCTATTCACAGCAGGGTCAGGCCCTTGGGTCTTACCTCGATAGCACTGACTGGATCCTCCAGCAGTCACCTGGCAGGCAGACTTTAGTTCTAGAGAACCCACAGGTTGGGTACCACGACGAGGAAGGGGTTGGGGAGGCACCAGGTGGGGAGGGCCAGTGGTAGTTTTGGTGAAGTGACTCTGCTGTGGTACTTGACTGTTACTCTTCTCATTAGTTCCTGCTCAGAAAACAAGGGAAGAGCAGATTAAAGTTCAGCAAACTAAGTGAAGGGACCATATGTGTGGAGGTGAGGTCAAGAGAGAGGGATCATCACCATTCCGATGAAGGATTCCTAGAGAAGGTAGCATTTTAACAGTTGCTTAAACAATGGGGAAGAAAGTAGAGTCCACAGGAAACAGGAGAAAGTTTTTTATGAACCATAGGTGTAATGTGAAAGAAGTCTCAGAAGCAGATAATAAAATGGAAAAGTGAATGAATCAACACATTCTTTATTAAAAGGGCTTCCCGAATGTCTCTTGTAAAGTCGATGCAAACCCGGAGTTCTGAGGCATAAGCCACTTTACCTTGCTCTGGGGAAAGGGTAAGACCACTGAGTACTTCCTCCAGCTCCTGGATTTGTTTGATCAACTTCTGACCCTTGTCTGGAAGAGCCTGGATGTTCACTGATGCCAGTGTGCTCTGAAAAACAGATTCCATCAAATGGATCTCTCCTCTCACACTGTTAGATGAATAGTTTCAGATTAAAATAGCCTGAAACACCCAAACTCTGAAATTATGGTCTTTTAAATATGTGTGCAAAAACCAGAACCTTTTTTAAATTTTAACCCAGCTGGCTTACCAATCTTGAAAATATAAATAGGGGAAAAGGCAGAAACTGAACATGCACCTATAAAACCTTCACATGAACATATTTAACCCTTCTGTAGCAATGAGATCTCATATCTGCCCATAACAAGCAATGCTCTGACCTCAGAAACAAAACACGAGTCAATAGTTACCTTCTTTTGTTTCAGTTGTGTTGTAAGGTAGACACGCCGGGCTACTGGGTCTGAGGGTTCTACCTTCTTGGAAACACCTGAGGCAGGAGACACCTTTCTTTGCACACTTCGATCAGGGAATTGGAGGTTTTCCTTCGTCTCTAAGTCCAGAGTCGAGTCAAAGAGTAGGGGGCTCCCAGGCTTAGAGGAAACAAAAACAACATCATCTTCCTCCTCGTCGTCACTGCTTGTGGCAGCTTCACGGCCCTCACCCAGGGAAAGCCCTGGTGCTGCTGGTGCAGCCTGAGCCGCTGGTCCTCCAGGAGCAGGCACACTGTGGGTCTCCGGCCGCTCTTGGAAATGCCCCTGAGGCAGGCTTTTCTGGGTGGCCTGTATGCTAGGGCCATCCTTTGCCTTTGTTTCTTTAGCCTCCCAGTTCGTGTACTCCTTGTTGAGGGGTCCCCCTTTCTGGGGCTTGCTTATTGAGTTGTGACTGTGAACATTTTGAGGCAAAAGCTGGGTAACCTTTTCTCTCAGAGGTTCTGATTCTCTTTGGACATCTTGACTCTTACCACTTGATTTCTCCTGAGAAGATGCAGATGGTCTTGTAAGCTCATTACCTTGGCACTGTTGAGATTTAATTTCAGAAAAGTCTCTTTTGTGTGTGCCTCCAGTCTCTGCCTCACACTGAATCTCTGCTCCCTCTTCTTGCTTCTTCTCTTGAACTACAGATTGTTTTTTCTTTGGTACCAGGCCAGATGAGAGGTCTTTCTCCATCATTTCAGGCTTCTGTTCTTTCTTTTGATCGAAAAGCTGATCTCCCTTTTCTCTTTGCTTCTTATCAGCCTTCTTTTCCTCACCTTCACCTTTGATGAGCTGTTTCCAGAGAGCTGGTTCTTGATTCTTGTCAAGTACCTTGAATGGATTTCTCAGCCAGTTGGAAGAATGATGAAATGTCTCAGATGCATGCTGAGACTTATTGGATACAGAATGTTCTTTGGAATCAGGATCCTAAAGACAAAATAATTAATCTTCATATAAAATATTAATACAAACTTCGTATCTAGAATGCCTTTCCTTTTCATCTCAACTTTTATTTTATATACAGGGGGTACATATGCAGCTTTGTTATATGAGTATATTGCACTCAGGCAGTGAGCATAGTGCCCAATAGATAGTTTCTTAACCCATGCCCTCCTCCCCTCTCCAGTAGTTCACAGTATCTATTGTTCCCATGTTTATGGGTGCTCAATGTTTAGCTCCTGCTCGTGAGAACATATGATATTTGGTTTTCTGTTCCTGCATTAATTCACTTAGGATTATTCTGCAGAAGAAATGGAAACACAGTAAAAGCAGTCCAATATTTCCTGAACATTCTTGGTACCATTTCCACGTCTAGAAAAGATGACGTGCCAAACCCACAAAGGACTCATTTCTTCACGATACTTTCGAAGCTTGGTTCCTTCTCTGTCCATGATCACTCTTTTCCAGGCCTCAAGGAAAAGTAGTGACAAACCAAAGTGCTTTTACAATCACAATGGCCACAGTGTATACTTTTCAGGAAAAAAACTATTCTCTTAAGATGAACTTTTCCCCAAACCTAAACATTGTCTTAAAACACTTGCTTTGATTTTGGCTTTAGGAGGATTTTACTGTGGTAATCTAGAATCGTAAGTTCAAGCCACACCTCTGCCAAAACAAGTCTTATCACCTCCCTACTTCTAGTTCCTCACGTACTGAATATCTGTAGGGCTTCTCCTATTAGGAGATGCTCCTCCTAGTTCTAACATACTAGGAGCTTATGCTTATACTTAGCTTATACCAGTATCAAGTAGAAATTCCTCTATAAAAAGATACAAGAGTTAGTCAAGGAAATCTATTTTTTTCCTTGAGTAAAAGAATACTGACTACATTTAAGACCTCAAAAAATATTTACTAAGTGAAATAGGATGCAAATAATTAATCTTGATTACGACTAAATGATCCTTTGAATAAAAGTCCCAACAGGGCCTACCTTGCTTAAAGAAAACTATCTTTCGGAGACAGTCTGATGAAGACCAACTCATTTACGTGAACTTCAAGGTATTTTCAGGTGATGCTGCATATTAAAAGTCTTAACACAGCAGGTTTGAAAACAGATGAATAATTCCTACCTGCCATGGAATACTTCCACACCAGCGTTTCCCCTCTGCCTTACTTCTAATGCATCGGAAGAACAATCTAATGAAGTATAAAACACAAATAATCAAGGCTATGAAAATCCATTAGAACAAGAGATAAGCTTATTTTTAATCCAAGAAAACATCTTGCAACTATTTGAACCTGGCTTTGGGAGGTCACTTGAAACCAATTACTTTTATATACACATTTAAAAATTATTTACTGCACAGAACATTTATAAGGGCTAGGAAGTCCAAGAATAAATATGGCATGGTAGCCAGAGAATGCACACAGGTTTATTCTTTTTAGTCTGTAACGAATGACTGAAATAGAAACACTGATCAGCAATGGCTACTAAAATCAGAGAAATGAGAGACAGCCAGACACTGTGTGTCCCTGAAGGGGGGTCACAACACTAGCTACAAAGCAATGTTGCCCCAAAAAAAACCCCAAAACAACGAAGCCAAAACAAACAAAAAACTAACCTCTAGATCCAATTACCAATTTATAGGAAATAGAAACAACAGAAGAAGGCGTAAAACTATACTGTGGAGAATATAACCTTCAAAATCTTGGCAGTGGGAAACGCTATAGGACAAACAACCTGATCCCTTCCACAAATAAGTTACGAGGGAGAAAAAAAGATGAAGGGAAAACTTCAGAGACTTAAAAGACATATTAATCAATTCCAATTTGTGAACCTTATTTGGATCCTGATTTAAACAAATTAAAACTACTAAAAAAAAACTATGACATTTATGAGTCCACTGAAAATATGTAAACCAACTGGTATGTTAAAAGAGTGCAGCTGGATGCAGTGGCACACACCTATAGTCCCCTCTACTCAGGGGCCTGAGACAGGAGGATCATTTGAGGCCAGAGGCTGCAATGTGCTAAGATTGTGCCTGTGAATAGCCACTGCACTCAAACCTGGGCAACACAGCAAGACTCCCTTCTCTAAAACATACAAATATTTTTTAAAAAATAGTTCATATCTTGGCCGGGTGCGGTGGCTCACACCTGTAATCCCAGCACTTCGGGAGGCTGAGGTGGGCGGATCACGAGATCAAGAGATCGAGACCATCCTGGCCAACATGGTGAAATCCCGTCTCTACTAAAAATACAAAAATTAGCCCGGCGTGGTGGCACATGCCTGTAGTCCCAGCTACTCAGGAGGCTGAGGCAGGAGAATCGCTTGAACCCGGGAGGCGTAGGTTGCAGTGAGCCGAGATTGCACCACTGCACTCCAGCCTGGCGACACAGTGAGACTCTGTCTCAAAAAAAAAAAAAAAAAAAAAGTCCGTATCTTTTAAAGCTACATACTAAAATATTGACAGATGAAATAATGTTATCTGGGATTTTTTTCAAAATAGGGCAGGAGTTACGGGGTGAAGTGGATAGGATACATATAGAACAAGAGTAGCCATGAGCTGGCAATTGTTGAAGCTCATGCTACAGTACCCTATCTTACTTCTGTATATATTTACACTCTTCCACCAAAAAAAGAAGGCTGAATACAGATTTAACATCCCAGTGCAAGAAAGTTCCTGCACACACAAACACAGCCCATACTCCAGCTATCCAGAGGTGTCTAAGCTGTTCCACTGCCGAACTAAGCCATGCACCCTCCAGTCTACTAGACTTTGCATGGGTACTACTCTCCATCCAAAGGATATCCTCATCATCCCAATCTGTCTACCATCTCCCCCATCTCCAGCTACGGAAGTCCTACTGGTCCCTCAAGGCCCATCTTAAGTCGTACCTGCTTGGCAAGGTTTCCCCACATTCCCTTCCCTGTTTAATCCATGAACTGCCTCTGTGCCATTACTTTTAATGGCAAAAAACACAATTACATTTACACCAACCTAATAAAGCTGACTGTCCAGCTATAAAATATAGCTGACTGTCCAGGTATATTTTCAGCTACTAGAGGGCAAAAACCATACATGATCTCTTTATTCCCAACTATGACTTGCCTGTTGTACGTAATTAAGTATTGCTGCATAAAATAGAACTGATTTATGTAATTACCTAAAATAACTCCTCAAAAACTTTTAATTGATTAAATAAGAGCTTTAAAAATATATATTTTGTCTGCTGAAATAGGTAAAGTATTCAATCAATAAGTATTAAAAACACAGTGAGAAGCCCCCTCATACCCTATCTGCCCAGTTCACTTCTCTCCCAACATGTAACTGCTCATTAGTTTTTTGTTTACCTTTCCAGAGATTTTTAAATGCATATTCAAGTCAATATACATTCTTTCTTCCTCCTCTACACAAATGGGTAGCATAACATACATACTGCTGAATACCTTGCCTTTCTTTTTTTACCTAATACCTTGAAAATTTTTCTATAATAACATATATGTAAGGAAGATCCTTGTTTTTATTATTTTTTTCCAGTTGTGGTTTTCCACTGTATGGGATGTTGCATTATTTTTAACCAGAACCCTCTTGGTGGGCGGTTCAGCTGTTTCTTATCCTTTACTATTAAAAGCAGTGGCACAAGGAGTGAAACTGTGCATATGTCATTTCATGTACATTTCAATACATCTGTGGTGCAGCTCCTTATTTCTCATGTTATGTATTTGTGCTGTTCTTCTTGACCAGGTTAGCCTCTGATTTTCTTTATTAGTTATCTATATGCTGCTTTCTAACTCATTAAATGCAATTTTTACCAACATTAATTCCTTCCTTCTGCTTTCCTTCAGTTTAATTTATTGTTCTTTTTCTAACTTCCTAAATTAGTCCCATGATGTACAACATGAATCACAACAGTCTGCATCCTAATTCAGGGGTCCTGAGCAGGTCCTGGTCCCTTGATGCCACTACTTCACCAGGACACATAAACAAAGATGAACAAGCCCAAATGGACAAGTTGTCCATAAAAGTTAAGCTAAAAAGAAAATAGGTCCAGCCCCTCCCTCTTGTACAAACACAATTTTCCCATCCAAGTTCACAATTTTTAAAATCTTACTGGTTTCTTTAATTTTTCTCATTGCAATAGGATATTATATTAAACATATGTAATACAATTTCTGAAATGCTTTGAATGCATAAAATTCAAAGTAACAGCTGCCATCAGTGGGTGCTACTACTTACAGAAATAAATCAAGAACAAACTCCTGCTGTTGTTTAAAGCATATCAAGTACTTGAAATCTTTACTGAAAGAATATTTCATAAGTACAGTCCCGTGCTGCATGATGATGTTTCAGTCAACAGTGGATGGCACATACAACTGTGGTCCCATGAGATAATACTGTATTTTTACTGTACATTTTCTTTGTTTAGATATACAAATACTTAGCACTGTGTTACAAATGCCTGCAGTATTCAGTAAAGTAACACACTGTACAGTTCTGTAACCTAGGTATGTATTAGGCTATACCAAGTAGGTTTGTGTAAGTTCACACAGTGACGTTCACACAAAAATGAAATCTCCTAATGACGCATTTCTCAGAATATGCCCCCATTGTTAAATGACTCATGACTGTAGTGTCTACTTTAAAACTCATGCCATGTAGACTTTCAGGAGAAGGGCAAGATTTGCAGAACTAAGGAAAGAAACACACTGAACATCTGCTATGTGCTAGGCACAGTGCTAAAAATGCTTTCCCTTACATTTTTAATTAAAATCAATCTGGATGAGCTTTTCTGATTTTAGGATAATAAGTTTGTTTGTTACGTTTTATTATATTGTAAATCAACAAAGAATGCAGTGGAAATATATTTTCGCAGAGAAAGCAAATATCAATTCCACTATAAGAAAAGCATTAATTTCTGCAGTATGTTTATTAATTGTTTTCCAGGACAGAGGTTATAGGCAATAACGATGAAGGGACCAGCTAGAAGAAGCCAGACCTCTTCAATCCTGACTTCTTCACCAAAACACAAATCCTCCCATTTTCCTAAAGGTAATGTCCAACTCAACATCACACTGCCAAGTGCATTCACTTTAGCAAGGCTACAGTTCTCTCAGGCTCCAGAACTATTCTCCCTTGGTTCAAATCCCAGCCCTACCACCTAATTAGTTCTGAAACATCAGACACCTTAATTGACTGCCCCCTGTGGCAGTTTCCTGTTCTGTAAAATGGCAAAATGATATAGTCCATACCTCATACGGTCATGATGAAGACAAAATACAATCAGAGCAAAGCCTGATACATACCAAGGTCTTAAAAGACAACAGCAATGCCAAGCTCACACTGGCTGATCACTCTGCTTATTCCTACATCCACACTTCTGCTGAAGCTGTTCTGCCTCAACACTTCCTTGTCCTTTCCTCCATCAAAATTGTCAAGGTCATTCAAGGACAACTTCAAGTCTCAACTCCTCTACTTTCTCTGTAACCTTCCTAGCCCTGAACTGTATGTCTTAGAGTCACAGAACCATCTCGCATCTGAACGTCTTCAATTTAGCGCTCTAATGTGCAGAGGAGACTGCACCCCAATCTCAGTACATCTAACTCTTATTCCAGCTGTGTCAAAGGCTCCTTAGGGATTATGAGTTCACATCTTTACATGGTCCAGCTCTGGAAAAACATAAAGCCGAATGTCTACCTCATTCTTTTACACGAACTTTCAAGATGGAAAAAAATGTAAAAGTAAAAAACAAAATTGTAAATGTTCTAGGAAAAAAAACAGATATGAATATTCTTGTAGTCCTAAAGTGAAGAAGGCTTTTCTAAGCCTGGGATAAAACTCTGAAGCTGAGAAATAAAGAATTTAGTAATTTTTAAAAGTTTACACTACCATATGATGAAAATACCATAAGCAAAATTGTAAGACAAAAAGCAAACTGGGAAAACGTAACTACCACACATATCACAAAGGGTTACTATACTTTATACAAAGGGATTGCTCGCACTGCACAGTGCAGTGCATGGTACTGTACACCGCCTCACAAGTATGGCTTTATTCAGTGGTCCTTCACAGCTGGTGGGGCCTGAGGTTCTGGCTGGGTCTGGCGCATGCCTGGTTGCCTCTCTATCACCATCCTGCTCACTATACTAGGGCTAGATAATCTGCAGGTCAATTTCACCCAATAGCCAACAACACGAGGAGTTTTCTAGACATGTGAAGTTTCAAGGGTTATTAAAAGTAAAATATTTTGAACATCTACCACAACCAATTAATTTTTTTTTGGAGGTGAATATTTTTCTTTTTTTTTTTTTTATTACACTTTAAGTTCTAGGGTACATGTGCACAATGTGCAGGTTTGTTACACATGTATGCATGTGCCATGTTGGTGTGTTGCGCCCATTAACTCGTCATTTACATTAAGTATATCTCCTAATGCTATCCCTCCCCTCTCCCCCAACCCCACAACAGGCCCCAGTATGTGATGTTCCACGCCCTATGTCCAAGTGTTCTCATGGTTAAGCTCCCACCTATGAGTAAGAACATGCGGTGTTTGGTTTTCTGTCCTTGTGATAGTTTGCTCAGAAGGATACCACAACCAATTATTTAAAGAACTAAAACTTGTTATACCCACGTCTAAGCAAAGAAATATTTCCATTTATTTTGACCCTGTATCCTTGAGTGAAAGTTCTGTGAGAAACAGAGAGAAAGGAAAATATGAACTCAGGAGCTCAGTGACAATGCCCAAAATTTGTATACCAGGGTGTACCACATCGTTCATGTCAAGGCAAGATTTCTTCCCCCTGGTTCTACTGAGATTATCAGTTTTCTTTACTGCCTGTACACAGAGGGCCATGGCCGAATGGCTAGTCAAATGCTGGTCAGTGGTGCCATCTGGTGTTTCAGTTAGAGATCTGCACACAAATGCAGCTACACTGCAAGAGATGAAAAATGGGCATCTTCGCCTCAGTTTACACCTCCCTTCTATTACTCTGTTGCACCTGTCTCCTGACTACATTCAGCCAAACATAATAGTATTAATTAGAGGATGTAAAATATTTAAGTTATTAAAAAGAAAACCCAGAGTATGTGAGGGAAAGGCTGTACTCTCATAGGTCACTCTCCAGGGGTTCTGGCTGAACACCCTTAATGTTCACTAAGGAAGCCATCATCCATATATAGACTTATCTATTTCTGTTTAAATTCCCAGTCTATGCTACCTATCAGAGTACCTGGTTTTCTGTTGTTATTGTTTTTTAATGTGTTGTGTGTTAAGAACTGCCTTTTACTTTTATTTGTCCTAAGACAACTTTTTTTTTTTTTTTTTTTTTTTTGAGACTGAGTCTTGCTCTGTCATCCAGGTTGGAGTGTAATGATGTGATCTTGGCTCACTGCAACCTCCGCTTCCCCGGCTCAAAGTGATTCTCCTGCCTACTGAGTAGCTGGGATTACAGGCACACGCCACCATGCCCGGCTATTTTTTGTATTTTTAGTAGAGAGAGTTTCACCATGATGGCCAGGCTGGTCTTGAACTCCTGGCCTCAAGTGATCCGCCGGCCTTGGCCTCCCAAAATGCTGAGATTACAGGTGTGAACCACCATGCCTGGCCCTAAGACAAGCTTTTTAAAGCTCCAGTAAGTACTTCCTAGTAATAGTGCTCTGAATTTAGGCTAAGAGAAATACATGTAACATACTTTTTTGTTCTATTTTAAAATAATAAACCCTTCTCAGTCTTATCCATCTAGTACAAAGAACGTTAACAGCAAGTTCTCAAAATTCTGACCTCAGTCAGGCCTTTCTTCAGAGCTGCACACTCATTTTTCTAGCTGGTTTCACATGAAAATAAGACACAATTTGGCCAGGTGAGGTGGCTCATGCCTGTAATCCCAGTACTCTGGGAGGCTGAGGCAGGCAGACCACTTGAGGCTAGGAGTTTGAGACCAGCCTGGCCAACATGGCAAAAGCCCATGTCTACTAAAAATACAAAAATTAGCTGGGCGTCGTGACACACACCTGTAATCCCAGCTACTCGGGAGGCTGAGACACGAGAATCACCTGAACCTGGGAGGCAGAGGTCGCAGTGAGCTGAGATTGTGCCACTGTACTCCAGCCTGGTTGACAGAGCAAGACTCTGTCTTTTAAAAAAAAAAAAAAAAAAAAAAAGACATGATTAGTCCAAAGCTGTATGTGTTTGCCACACATCCCAATACTCGACCAACATTACCTTTCTTCCTTGTCCTGCTTAACGTAAACACATTACCCAGAAGCCCCACCTTAGCAACCGTTTCCCTACTGAGCACTGACAATGTGCCAAACACCAGACCGAGGCCATCACACACGTTCTCTCTCCAAGTCCTCCAACCCAGGGAAGTTAGGGCCATGTGAGCAATATTCCAGATGAAAAAATGGAGGAAGGAACACGTTTATATGCCCTACCAGGAAATACATCTCATCAGTGCTCTTTCAGCAAGTTTTCATTCTACTTGGACCCAATTCCACTGCTGCTACTTCAATTCAGGCCCATCACCTCTCACTTAAGAGAAAGTTGGTGTGTCTGGAATCAGTTGGACCTGGGTTTAAATCCCAGCAATGCCACTTCATAACCATGGGTCCTCAGATTCCCTTTCTGACCTGTTTCAATGGTAGTTTCTCCATCTTTCTGGTAAACACGGATATTGAAATCTATCACAACAAATTATATGAAGGTAAAAGATAATGAACAGGCTGGGTGCAGTGGCCCACACCTGTAATCCCAGTACTTTGGGAGGCTGAGGTAGGAGGATTGCTTGAGCCCAGGAGATTGAGACCAGGCTGGGTAATACAGTGAGACCGTGTCTCTACAAAAAAAAAAAAAAAAAAAAAAAAAAAAAGGTATATAGTGGGCTTTCAATGGTAGCTATTATTTCAGTGGTCTCTTTGCCCTATTTTCACTTTCTAATCTGTCCTCCATAGTTCTTCTTTTAATGCAAATTGGGTCAAAAATCCTTCAGTGGCTTCCTAACAACTACCACAGTATGTCTGTATGGTAAAGGTCCTCCAGTAGTATGTAAATGGTTTTAAGTATCAGTAGAATATAACTTCATGCAATAAAGGCTTACCAGCCCTACTATACCAGCAGAAAACAATCCAAAAACAAAATTAAAAAAAATTCCATTTACAACAGCACTAAAAAACACAAACACTGAGAAATAAATTTAACAAAAGATGCATAGGAACTCTGTAATGAAAAGTATTAAACAATGCTCAGAGACATTTTTTTTTTGAGACAGAGTCTCGCTCTGTCACCCAAGCTGGAGTGCGGTGGCGCGATCCCGGCTCACTGTAAGCTCTGCCTCCGGGTTCACGCCATTCTCCTGCCTCAGCCTCCTGAGTAGCTGGGACTACAGGCGCCTTCCACCATGCCCGGCTAATTTTTAGTATTTTTAGTAGAGATGGGGTTTCACCTTGTTAGCCATGATGGTCTCGATCTCCTGACCTCGTGATCCGCCCGCCTTGGCCTCCCAAAGTGCTAGGATTGCCGCGCCCAGCTGACATTTTTAAAGTCATAAATAAATGCACTACATTCATGGATTGGAAGCCTCAATATTGACAATTCTCTCCAAATTGATCTATATAGATTCAATGCAATCCCAACAGGGTTTTCTGTGGAAATTTTTAAAAGCTGATTCTACATTTTATATGGAAATGCAAAGATCCTAGAGCAGCCAACGCAATCTTGAAAAAGAATAAAGTCAGAAGACTCACACTATTTTATCTGATTAATTATGTAAAGATAGGCAAATGGATCAATGGAACAGATTAGCAACCCCAGAAATAGACTTACATATATTGGATCAATTGAATTTTTACAAAGACGCCAAGCATTTCAATGGGAAAAGGAAAATCTTCAAAACATGATGCTAAAACAATTGGTAACATATGCAAAAATAAATGAACCTCTACCCTACCTGATATACTACACAAAAGTAATTTAAGATATAGATAATAGACCTATATGAAAAAGCTACTAAAAAAAAAAAGAAGAAGAAAAAAAAAAAACAGGCCAGGTGCAGTAGCTCACACCTGTAATCCTAGCACCTTGGGAGGCCAAGATGTGTAGATTGCCTGAGCTCAGGAGTTCGGGACCAGCCTGGGCAACATGGTGAAACTCCGTTTCTACTAAAATACAAAAAAATTATTGGTGCACACCTGTAGTCCCAGCTACTTGGGACTACTTGGGAGGCTGAGGCATAAGAATTGCTTGAACCCAGGAGATGGTGGTTGCAGTGAGCCAAGATTGTACCACGGCACTCCAGCCTGGAAGACAGAGTGAAACTCTCTCTCTCAAAAACAAACAAACAAACAAACAAAAATAAAACTATAAAGCTTCTAGACAATTCTTGGAAATATTTGTGATATTGGGGTAGGCAAAGATTTCTTGGAGATCAGACAAAAAGCACAAACCATACAAAAATGATGAGCCTCCCGAGTAGCTGAGACTTCAGGAGTGTGCCACCAGGCCCAGCTAATTTTTTTTTGTTTTTTCACTTTTTTTTATTTAGTAGAGATGGGGTTTCACCATGTTGGTTGGCCAGGCTGGTCTCAAACTCCTAATCTCAAGTGATCTGCCCACTTCAGCCTCCCAAAGTGCTGGGATTACAGGCATGAGCCACCATGCCTGGCCTAACTTGTATAGAGAATTTACAAAGAACTCTACCAACTCAGTTTTAAAAAAAGACAAAAATTTTAAAACAGGCAAAGATCTCCAAAGTTATACTTTATGATTCCACTTATGTAACAATTGTGCAATGACAAAATTTTAGAAATGAAAAGCAAATTCCTGATTGCCGGAGTGAAGAGGGCAGAAGGGAGGGAAGGGGGTATGGTTATAGAAAGGGCAACAGAGAGATCCTGTGATGGAACTCTTCAGTACCTTGACTGTAGTGGTAGATACATGACTCGACAGGATAAAATTGTATAGAATATACACACACACATAAATTAGTTCAAGTAAAACTACCTTTACCAATAAAACTGGTGGGTTGTACCAATATTAATATCCTGTTTGTGATATATTTCTAAGCCTTGCAAACGTTACCATTGGGGGAAACTGGATAAAGTCTACAGGGGATAACTCTGTATTATTCCTTACAACTGTATGTGAATCTAAAACTACTTGATAAAAATTTCAATGCAAAAAAAAGGATAAAATATTTAAACAGATAACGTCGAGATTTTCTGATGGCAAATAGGCACACCAAACAAAGTGGTGCATTTATAAATGAAATTCAACTCCACAATAAAAATGAATGAATTACTGATACATATTATATACATTTCACATACTGTTAAGTAAAAGAAGTCAGACACAGAAGAGTACATGCAGTAGGATTTCATTTATATAACGTTCAAGAACAATCAAAACACATCTAAAGAGATAAAAATCAGAACAGTGATTGCTGACAGGGGTGGAGATGGGAGGGGTGAAATTAACTTGAAGGGGACTGATGGCACTTATTGGGGTAATATTTTGACTCGGATCTTGGTTTTATGAGCAGGTACATGCATTCTCAAAACTCAACTGGTTGAAATCTTAAGACTTGTGTATCTTACTATACATATAACTAAATTAAGAAAAATAGAAGTATGAACAGTACTCAGGTATATAAAAATTGTAGGTGGTACTCAAATGCCTTTAATTGGGTGGGGGGATCTAGAATATATAAATTATGAAGTGCATAGAATATCACACAAAGACCATCTATCACATCCTGACCCCTACCTTCCTGGCCAGCCTTATCGCCTAAAGTCTCTGTTTAAAGATATGTTAAACTATTAACAAATCAAATTTTCCCTGAAAATGCCATGTTAATTCATGCCTTAGTACTCTAATGCAATATATTAGTCCATTAAATATGACCTCTCTCTAACACTTAGGGAATTCCTACTTTATCTTTGAATACTCGTGACAAATATCTCCCAGCTCTATAGACTTCTCTGCCCTTCCCAAATTCCCATATAAAGGAAAAGAAACTAACATTTATTGAGGACTAAATATGTTTAGCCATTTTTACTCACTACCTTGTTCTATTACCAGAATTAGAAGATTGACAAGTTAAGGGCAAGTTAGTGGCCAATGGTCAGCTGTCATTATAGGCTACCTGACAGTTGGAGAGGGATGATTGTGGAGCCATTTACGTGAAAATTACTAGAAATCAGACTTCTCAGATTAACTAGCTGCTTGGTATTTAGGTAGTGACAGCCAAAAGACACTTAATACATATACAAATTTTGTTTTTTAAAATGACTTTTAAAGAACAATCCTAATACATACCTGGCTACAACTCTTTCAGGGAGAAAAAAAAAAAAAAGCAAATACACTTAGATGTTCCTTTTGGACCCTTACCTGTATTCTTTCTTGTCCTGTGGCAGAAGCAAACCCTGAAGCTCTACCACAAAGTCCTCATGCAATAAGCAATGGGAAACAGGAATGCTAGAGAAAAGAAAAAAGTTGAAAACATTTTTAGGTCAGGAACAGAGATCAATATCCTAAAGTCAAATCAAAACTATGGGTTTTTACACCAAGAATCTATGTATAACCTCTACTGGGTTTGTAATTCCCACACATTATCACAGCTATGGGCATTCCTTTGGGGAAGAAGTCCCTAGCTTTCATCTTTACCCACTTTCTCAAATAAAGCATAACTGTTTCTTGATGACTCAAAAGTTTAAAACCACACTGCACTGTGTAATCTCTACACTGGGATCCCCCTACGAATGACATAATTAGGGCTGGCTGTGAGGCCCTGTATGAATTTTCCCCAGGCTCTTCCCTTCATCCTTTCCCTCTAACAAGCTGAGAGCTGTCACTTAGTGTTATTCACACGCCTACCTCTAACAATACGCCCTATATGCTTCTTGTTTTGTGTAAGTTTTTAATCACTCCCTTCCAACTTATTATGAAAAAATTTAAATATATATAACATTTGAGAGTAAACAGGTTTGAGTGAAGGTTTAAAGTACTCTCCTAAACCTGTGGCACTTTTTTTGGCCTGTATATTGGTTATCAGATATAGTCCAAATAAATCAAGTTTATCAAATAATTGTCTTCAAATACCACTGTGCTAGTTTGTATAGCAAAGCATTTGTGTAGATGGGATCCTAAATAAGAGTGTTTCTCTTAATGTAAAACCAAATCTTATGCCACCATTAATGTTGAATTCCTGCAAAGGTAAAAATGCTTCTATCTCACAAAACTTGACCTGGGTACTATATCTGAGAGGCTCAGTGTAAATCATCTAACTCATGAAACAGAAACATGGGAAGTTAGTATACATGTTGAAAGGGCACTTTTCTAATACTGATATCCATTATGTACTCTACATCTGACACGGAGAAAAATAACTTTTCTCTACCAAGTTTTGCTGAATAGAGAGCAGGAGATGTTTAATGATGTGATGATAGTTTTAAAATTCACATAGAAAATGTAGACACTTGGTACTGTGAAAACATTAACACTTGACAAACTATTAACTTTCCTCACTTTAGAGAAGATGCTTAACATTTCTGACTCTCTCCTCCCACCTCAGCCTCACGAGTAGCTGGGACTACAGGCGTGTGATACCATGCCTAGACAATTTTTTTTAATTTTTCGTAGAGACGGGATTTCACCATGTTGCCCAGGCTGGTTTCGAACCCCTGGGCTCAAGCGATTCGCTCGCCTTCGCCTCCCAAAGTGCTGGGATTACAGGCGTCACACACCGCGCCAGGCCCTCCGTTGTTTCTTCCAGCGCTAATTTCTTTGAATTATCAATTTCACCATTTAGATGCAGAGAATCCTACTTAAAAATAAGAAGGCTAACAACTAATCACTAGAGTGTTTTAAGCTCAAACATTTAAAAAAAACCGTCGGGCCTAAAACTAGTGCAAAACAGGGACAAATTATTTTCCACTATGTCTGCTGTGTGTCCTTACTCCTTTAAAGGGGGAGGGACTGTCTGGGCAGGAGAAGGGAGTGGTTAAGGCCTGTCAAGTGAATAGAAACCCAGAGCTGGAAAACACCGGATCCTCAATTTTACAGGTAGGGGAACCATCGGCCCAGAGAGGGGGGTAACCAGCCTCGGGTCACACAGCCAGAATTAGCTGGGCGTCTTCCGAACACGCCACGCTGCCCTGGGATCACCAATTGCTTAAAGGGTCCTGACACCGCAAACTAGGGCCCCACCACTCCTCGGCCCTGTGACGCCCGACAGCGGGGAGCGGGAAGCTCCTCTCGGGAGGCCCCGGGCAGCCACAGGGAGTGGGGCCCAGCTCCAGACCTACTCGGTGGCCCGCACGAAGCTGCACGTGTCTGCCCGGCACACGTAGAAGCTCTTTCCTTTATTCGGGCCATCGCGGACGCCGGTCTTAAGAAAGCAGAAAGTCCCTGAAGAGAGAAGAAAGTGAACAACGATTACGCCACGCTAAATCAACAGGCCCCGGGACGCTGAGACCCTAGCCCCTTACCGTGCTCTGGACACCTAACTTCTTCCATTTCGCTGGGTCCCCCAAGTTCCACAAAGCCCCGCCCCCAATTCTGCTTCCGCCTTTTACTCCGCCCTCTTTGTTCAGGAACCAACCATCACTCAGCTCTTGCAGTCTTAATCCCTCCCATAATTCTCCGCCCTTGGCCTTCACCCGTCCTAGCCGCTATCAGCCAATCATATAGGAACTTCGCTCACCTCCAACCAATCACAGCTGCCCTCAGGTATGGCGCGCGCCGAAATCAAATACGGAGCCAGGGGGCGTAAAGGACCCGGCTTTTGCAGGCTGGGGCGTGGCTGAGGCTGGGGAGAAGCTTAGAAGGTGGCGGGGCTTCTGGAGGAAAAGAAGCTTCGATTTGCAGGTCTTGGAAGACGGAAGGGCAACTCTTGTTTACGTTTAAAACCGAGAGGCGGCCCTAGGGGTAGCGCCAGTTAGCAGGCGCTGAAAGGCCCTGGCTTCGTGGGTGTCTCTGAGCCAGGCTGGCGCTCGTGCGCGCTGGGCTCCGCGCTCAGTCGCTGGGGTGGGAGGCCAGGGGAAGCCGCCGCTGCAGGCCGAGCCGCGAGATTTGCAGTGCAGGAGCCGAAGCGGCGGGCATGGTGGGAGGTCCTTGGAAGCTGCTGCGGGGAACTGAAACGGCTCTGATAGGCAGGCACAAAGACTTCTCTAGGACCCCCTACAATGCTTTACGTTTGCCTCGTGCTTTAGATTTCACAAAGTGCTTACACATAACACGACCCTCCTCACTCGACCTGGTGAGATGGGTAGCATTTTGTGGAAGATTCCGAGACTCAAGTTTGAGAGACTCACCCAAGGTCAGAGTTGGCGAGTGGGCGGTCCGTGGACAGGTGCGCAGGTCTCAGCGCCATTTGGCCCGCGCTGCTGCTTCCTGTGTGTACTGGATGTTCTCTAGGCTCGCCCAGCGTGGAAGCCCCGAGTTACCAGCCGCAACGTGGAAACCACAGAAGGGGAAATAGATGACTTTTGGTGAAGGCGAATTTTACTTTATCATTTTGTATTGTCAAACTTTTTTTTACTATTATGCTTTTGTAATTTTAAAAATCGAAGACGAGGTTAAATAGAAGAAAGGGGACAGTTCCCTTCTATTTAACTTCATCCTCGATTTTTAAAATTTGAAGTTGTAATCAAAACTATTAGTAAACAGAGAGGAATAGATATTAGATTTATTGCAATAGAAATAGTTTCATATTGCAGCTATTGAGGACCATATGTCCCAGACATATGGTGTGGCACCTGCACTGTTCTTATGGGGGCCGTAGAACAGAAAATCTGTAATGTCTAGGAAATCTGGGCGATGTGATAAATGTACATGTTATGGGGATCCGGAGGAAGGGAGACAAACCTGAGGTATCATTTATTAATTAAACAGTACTTACTAAATAGCTTTTTTGTGCCCGTTGTGGACTAGGTGCTTGAGAAATGTAAAATTCATTCATTCACACACACAAAGTTTGAAACAACTATTCTAAGCACAAGGAACTTACTCAGTATTTTGAGGAGACTGAACTAGTACATGTTGAACACTTAAATAACAATATAAAATAGTATTTAAATGTCAAAATGAATGGAGTTAGCAGTAACTCTCTAGGACTAGAGAAAAATGGAATTTCCAAAGTGAAGTTCCTTTATACATAACTACCCTTCCGAAACTTAGATGAACTTAGAGATAAGACAGGAACAACAAATAGGTAGAAGCATTTTCATTATTCCAAGATTGTTATTCTTGCAAATGATGTATTTGTACATGTTTAATAGATGCTGTATTGGAGGTAGTATACCATGAATACAGGATTTGCAGAAAGAGGGGCATGGTAATTAATTATTTCTTGAATAATTTTCGAAACAAGGCAAAATCGGGGCCTCTTAAATATCCCGTTAAGGAAGAAGCTCCTCCTCTGCAAGTACCCAAGTCGGTATCTCCAGTCCAACCTCACAAAAGTGTGCACAGCCAAATCACAGACAGGAGGAATATTTCTTCCATAAATTAAAAATATACTAGATCAAAATGTTAAGTCCCTGGACAACTTATTCCACCTCATCATATTTACAAGATTGAAAAAAATAAGTTTGAGATTGGACGAAAGATGGTCATAACTGGAAACATTTTTAAAATTAATTTTTATGCCCGTTGAGTATGGTGGTGGGCACCTGCGGTCCTAGCTACTCAGGAGGCTGAGGTGGGAGGATGGCTTGAGCCCACAAGTTTGAGGCTACAGTGAGCTGTGATTGTGCCACTGCACTCTAGCCTTGGTGACAGAGTGAAACTTTGTCTCTTAAAAAAAAACTTATGCCTATTGAAATAAATAATAATGAATTATACAACATACACTTTTCAAAATATACACATGTATTGGTGTATGTGTATTAATTTTTATTCTTAATTTATATTTTAAATTTATATTGTTAATTAGCCTACAGACCCCCGGAGAGACCTTGGGAGAATGTGCTTTATGGATCTCTATTTTGAGTAAAGTTTAGAGTTTGTTTTTCCTTAAAGCTTGATTTATTCAAAATAATGTCTAGGCTGGGTCCTAGATTTAGATGGCTTAAAATGCACAGGTTAATTATCCAATAAATTTGTTCAGTATGGAGCTGGTCAAATGCAAAGTATATGTTGGAATTGTTCTAAAACTGGATTGTGGTAATGGGTGCACAATTGATTAAATTTACTAGACTCTTTGAATTGTACACTTTAAATAGGTGAATTCTATGACATCTAAATTATACCTTAATAAGGCTGTTTTAAAAACTAAGCAATGCCAAAATACCTATCTGCTGCATTGAAAGTAATAACTAAAATTGGTCATCTAGATATGTTGACATCCTTAAGGAAACATCCTAATGGGTGAAGAAATAAAGTGGTAGTAGAAACCCTTCGGTTACAGAAGCAGACTGGTTCTTTGACCTGTGAAATATTGAATAAAATCCAGGGTAGGCCAGACAAGGTGGCTCATGCCTGTAATCCCAGCAGTTTGGGAGGCTGAGGTGGGTGGATCACTTGAATCCAGGAGTTTGGGACCAGCCTGGGCAACATGGTGAAACTCCATCTATACAAAAAATAAAAAAATTATCCAGGCTTGGTGGAGCATGCCTGTGGTCCCAGCTACTTGGGAGGCTGAGTTGGGAGGATCACCTGAGCCCAAGGAGGTCGAGGCTTCTGTGAGCCATGATTGAACCACTGTGCTTCTGCCTGGATGACAGAGTGAGCCCCTGTCTCAAAAATAAAATATAATTCTGGGGTAGCACAGACACTCATTTTATTTTTATTTATTTTTCTTTTCTTTTTTGAGATAGTGTCGTGCTTTGTCACCCAGACTGGAGTACGGTGGTGTAATCATAGCTCACTCTAGCCTCAACCTTTCAAGCTCAAGCAATCCTCCCACCTCAGCCTCTGGAGTAGCTGGGACCACAGGTTTGTGCCACCACACCTAACTAATTTTTTGATTTTTTTTTTTTTTTTTTTTTTTTTTGTAGAGAGGAGGTCTTGCTGTGTTTCCCAGGCTGGTCTCAAACTACTAGGCCCAAGCAGTCTTCCTGCCTCAGCCTCCCAAAGTGCTGAAATTACAGGTGTGAGCCAACACACCCAGGAACAAGTCCAACCCCACAAAAGTGGAGCTTAATTCCTAGGAAAATGAAAGAATTATACTTTCTGTGGTCAGCATTGTGCTGGCTGGCATACATTAAACATGTCAGACCTCCATAAGATACCAGTGGTGAGAGGATGAGCTAGAACATTCACCTTTTGACATCTCGGTCACTACCTTATTGTTTTAAAATAATCAGCAATTCCAAGTTTCAAGTGATTTGTAAAATTCTAGCGGCTATGCTTTATTGATTATTTTTTAAATTAAATTGTTCAAATTTATGTTTCAAATGAGCAGATCATTCTAAGAATCATATTTACTTTTCTGAACTTCTGGTGTTTTTGCTTGTTGCTTTGGGATAGGATGGGAAGGAGTAATTTTAATTGGCAGATAAAAGATTGTTCCCTATTAGGCACATTCTGAGAGGGAAAGTCATATTCTAACTTTTCCTGAGGTGTGTTCTGAGATAGTACTTTTATATGCATTGTCACATTTAATTGTCACAACTAGCCTAGG
Organism: Homo sapiens; assembly: GCF_000001405.40. Taxonomy (NCBI): domain Eukaryota; kingdom Metazoa; phylum Chordata; class Mammalia; order Primates; family Hominidae; genus Homo; species Homo sapiens. The sequence continues at coordinate 117,056,238 of NC_000001.11, read as the reverse complement.
GATGGGATTTTTTATCCCCATTTTTAAGATGAAGATACTAAAGTTTAGAGCAGTTAAGGAGGTGGCCCCAAGGCCAACTTACCTTACAGAGCTGCTCCTAAAACTTTGGAACCGGATAGTCCCCATGGATTAATTTTGACCTGGCTCAAAGTCACAAAGCTGACAGCAGCCAATCAGGGACTAAAGGCCATTTTTCAGAACTTTCAATCCAGTTCTTGCCACTATAGTATTTTTTCTTCTTCTTCTTCTTCTTTTTTTTTTTGAGACGGAGTCTCGCTCTGTCGCCCAGGCTGGAGTGCAGTGGCGTGATCTCGGCTCACTGCAACCTCCACTTCCCAGGTTTAAGCAATTCTCCTGCCTCAGCCTCCCAAGTAGCTGGGATTACAGGCACCCACCACCACGCCCAGCAATTTTGTGTATTTTTAGTAGAGATGGGGTTTCGCCATGTTGGCCAGGCTGGTCTCGAACTCCTGAGACCTCAGGTGATCCACCTGCCTCGGCCTCCCAAAGTGCTGGGATTACAGGCCTGAGCCACTGCGCCCAGCCTATAGTATTTTTATAAAGCATAAATTATTCAGCAATGCATTCAGATATTTAACCCACACATCGGTAAGTGTTTAGGTATTTGCTGTGGTGTAGAGACATGGCTCAACAAATCCAAGACAAAAACCAAAAACCCAAGTCCTGCCATTTTATAAATGACCACTAGGTAGCAGCCTAGTAACATAAAAACCAAACTGAGGCCCACCCTCCTCTGTTTCATTCTTTTTGTTTGAAGATATATAATGGTAATTCAATTTCATTTCATTTCATTTTGTGCCTTTCAAACATATGACTGTTTTCAACTTGTCCTTTGACATAGGCTCGATCAGGATGATACTATAGTGAGAACAAATGTGGTTATAATTTGTAAAGCCAAGAGACTTTACAAATTATTTTGTTATACCAATATTTTTTCAGTACTAGATTCCAAATTTCACTGTTCTTAAAATATTATTCCAAAAGTGGTTCAATGCAGGCTCTTTATCTTCTTCTTTTTTTTTTTTTTTTTTTTTGGTAAATGTACAGGTATTTTTTTCAGTTGGAGTCTTGTCTGTTACCCAGGCTGGAGTGGAGTGCAATGGTAGGATCTTGGCTCACTGCAACCTCCGCCTCCTGGGTTCAAGTGATTCTCCTGCCTCAGCCTCCTGAGTAGCTGGGATTATAGGCTTGTGCCACCACGCTCAGCTAATTTTTGTATTTTTAGTAGAGATGGGGTTTCACCATGTTGTCCAGGCTGGTCTTGAACTCCTGAACTCAGGTGATCCACTCGCCTCGACCCCCCAAAGTGCTGGGATTACAGGCTTGAGCCATCGCGCCCGGCCACAATTCTTTTTTTTTTTTTTTTGAGACAGAGTCTCACTCTGTTGCCAGGCTGGAGTACAGTGGCATGATCTTGGCTCACTGTAACCTCTGCCTCCTGGGTTCAAGTGACTCTCCTGCCTCAGCCTCCCGAGTAGCTGGGATTACAGGTGCCCGCCACCACGCCTGGCCAATTTTTGTATTTTTAGTAGAGATGGGGTTTCACCCTGTTGGCCAGGCTGGTCTCGAACTCCTGAACTCAGGTGATCCACCCGCCTCGGCCTCCCAAAGTGCTGGGATTACAGGCATGAGCCATCACACCTGGCCCACAATTCATTGTTTAAGTAAATTTATAAAGTTGTGCCATCACCACCAGAATCCAGTTTTAAAACATTTCTATCACTCAAAAACTTTCCTCAAAGCTGTGTGCAGTCAATCCCAACTGCCACCCCCAGCTAGTCCCAAGGCAACCTCTGATATGCTTTCTGTCTTTATAAGTTTGCCTTTTCTGGACATTTCATATAATGGAGTCATGTAATATGTAGTCTCTTGCCTCTGTCTTCTTTCACTTACATAATGCTTGTGAGGTTTACCCATGTTGCACATGTATCAGTATTTCACTCCTTTTTATTGCTGAGTAATATTCCATTGTGTTCATTCACCAGTTGGTGGACATTTGGATCATTTTCCCTTTGGAATTATTAGGAATAATATTGCTATGAACATTAATGTTAAAGTCTGTTTTATTGTTTTTGTTTTTGTTTTTTTGTTTTTTGTTGTTGTTGTTTTTGAGATGGAGTCTTGCTCTGTCACCCAAGCTGGAGTGCAGTGGCATGATCTTGGCTCACTGCAACCTCCAGCTCCCAGGTTCAAGCAATTCTCCTGCCTCAGCCTCCCGAGTAGCTGGGATTATAGGCTCGAGCCACCACGTAAGCTAATTTTTATATTTTTAGTAGGGACAGGGTTTCACCATGTTGGCCAAGCTGGTCTCAAACTCCTGACCTCAGGTAATCTATCTGCCTCAGCCTCCCTAAGTACTGGGATTACAGGCATGAGCCACCGCACCCGGCCTAACGTTAAAGTCTTTATATGAACATTTGTTCTCATTTCTCTTGGGCAGATAAACCTGTGAGTGGAATTGCTAGTTCATATGGTTAGTTTGTTTAACTTTTTAAGAAATTGCCAAACCACTTTCCAAAGTGGCTATACCATTTTATATTTCCACCAGCAACGTATGAGGGTTCCCAGTTCTTCATGTCCTCAACAATGCTTGTTATTGCGTGCCTTTTTTAGTAGGTATGAAGTGGTATCTGACTTTTGTTTGAATTTTGATTTTTCTATTGATGTGGCACTCTTTTTCGTGTGCTTTTTAGCCATCATCTTCCTCTTTTTAAATGGTCTTGAAAGTCTTTTTCCTTTAACGTTTGTATGGAACTTAAACCTAAGTTAAAATGACATTAATTGTTATTAATACAAAGACATAAAAAGACATAGTAATCATTTGTATAATGTTAAGTAACAAACATTATACAATGTACTATGTACTATGAGTATAGTCATGTCAATTTGTTTTTTTTTTTTTTTTTGGAGACAGGGTCTCACTCAGCCCCTCAGGCTGGAAGTGGTGCAGTCTCAGCTCACTGCAGCCTTGTTCTCCCAGGCTCCAGTGATCTTCCCATTCCAGCCTCCCGAGTAACTGGGACTACCAGAGCACACCACCACAGCTGGCTAATTTTTGTATTTTTTGTAGAGACAGGGTTTCACCATGTTGCCCAGGCTGGTCTCAAACTCCTGAGCTCAAGCAGTCTGCCGCGTTGGCCTCCCAAAGGGCTGGGATCATGTGTACACCATCACACCTGGCATCAAAACTATTAACTTTCAAGACTATATGCTGTATGATTCCATTTATATACCTCTGGGAGGTTGGGTTGGGAGATTGGTGCAGTTTTTATTTTCTACAACTAGCATGTATTGCTCTGTTACGATTTTTAAAATCCAATAAAGATATTGAAAGCAGTCACATAGAAAACAATAACAAAGAGGATGTACCAAAATAATAATAACAATGCTTATTTAAGATGGTAGGATTATTGGTGTTTTTTTCTTTTTTTCTCCCATTGTTTTATATGGCATATAATGTTATTATACTGTCAGCAGTAGAGCAGTCATAGGCCCCACGTCTCTGTACCTTCATCAGAACACCTCTTAAACTTGCCTAGTTCTCATCTTAGCTATTCAATCCTAACTTTCCTCTAATTAATCCTTTCTTTCTTATTCATGTCCTCCTACCCATTTTTTTGGTATCTAATTCAAGTTTTATACCAAGCTGTTTTTTCCCTCTTCCCCCTAACCCTATACCAGTTATTCTGCTTAATTCTAACCTTCTCCTCAACCCTCACTGCTCATTTGTTCCCTAAAACCTTCGCTGCTTTACACATTCAAGATAACCTAGAACCTGAAGACCTCCAGTGGCTATGTACTTGTTTTCTGGTGGCCATCCTGAGTTGTATTTCTTTTTTTTTTCCTTGTTTTTTGAGACAGAGTCTCACTCTGTCGCCCAGGCTGGAGTGCAGTGACATGATCTCGGTTCACTACAATCTTCGCCTCCCGGGCTCAAGCAGTTCTCCTGCCTCAGCCTCCCGAGTAGCTGAGATTACAGGCGCATGCCACTATGCCCAGCTAATTTTTGTATTTTTAGTAGAGACGGGGCTTCAACATGTTAGCTAGGTTGGTCTCGAACTCCTGGCCTCAAGTGATTGCCCACCTTGGCCTCCCAGCGTGTTGGGACTACAGGCGTGAGCCACTGCACCCGGCCTCTTGTTTGTTTTGTTTTCTGTTTTCTTTTTGTTTCTGAGTTGCATTTTTTCTGGAAAGCAACAAATGGCACTAAGGTGGATTCCAGGTTCTCAAGCTGAGCGTAAACAATACTACCCAATGCTCTGAAGACTTTTGCCATGAAGTTTTTAAGCCTCCTTGGATGCTGGGATCTTAGTAGCTGAGAAAACTCTGGCAGAGTTCTTCCTGGTTCTCCCTCCTTTTCCTTTCTGAGTTAACCTGGGAGCCAGAGCAGAGCAGCCTCTGGTTTTTGCTGCTATTTTTTAGTACTAAAATGGCCTTAAAGAACTCATCAACCTTTTAAAACATGAGTCAGGTTCTGTTACTTTGCCTATAACTCTTCAGTGACTTTCTGTTAAACTTAGAGAAAAAGGTTAAGTCATCCTTTTGGTTCCTACGGGCGCTGCACGGTTTGGCCCTTCCTGCTTTCACTCTCACAGACAGCCACGCCACTCCTCACCCATTATATTGCAGCCGCCCTAACCTGTTTTCTGTTCCTCAGTGTGCCAAGCTTTGTATTACCCTAAGGCCTGCATTCATATTGTGCTTTCTGCCTGGAATGCTTTCCTCAGTTCTTTAAAAACTTAGCCCTTCATCCTGTAGGTCTCAGCAAGCACCATCTCAGTGAGACTTGCCCTGACTACTTTATCTACAAAGGTTCTTCCTTGTTCTCTCTCAGTATCCGGTTTGCTTTCCACATAACATTTATTTCAGAGTTGTCTGTTGACTTGTTTATCGTCTGTCTTCTCCATGGACTATATGTGTAATTGCCAAGAAAGCAGGGACTTATTTCTGTTTGGCTCACTAATCACTGTATACACAGCATGTAAACATTCCATAAGTATCTGTTAAATGGAATGGATGAAATCATAGGGTAGAAGGAACCCTAAAGCCACCTAATGCATCCTCCCAAATCCCTTCCACAGCATCCCTAATGGATTCAGCATAGAAACTTCTGGTTATAGCAAGTTCTGTTTGGGTGTGTCGAAATGTTAGTTAATTCTAATGCATATTGAGCAGAAATCTTTCTGTCTGAAACTTCCACTTTCTTGTCATGTGGAATTAAACAAAATACACCTGATCCATTTTTACATCACTTTAAAATATATGAATATGACTATTTCATCCTCTCTGCACTTCACATGCATTCTCTTTGCCCAGAGAAACTTGTCCAACTGCATCAATTACTTTTCTCCCTCCGACACCCCCTCACCAGTATTTTGCTTTTTCTTTTTTGAGACAGAGTCTCACTCTTTTGCCCAGGCTGGAGTGCAGTGGCACGATCTCAGCTCACTGCAACCTCTGCCTCCTGGGTTCAAGCGATTCTCCTGCCTCAGCCTCCCGAGTAGCTGGAATTACAGGCACATGCCACCACACCTGGCTAATTTTTGTATTTTTAGTAGAGATGGGGTTTCGCCAGTATTTTTTGATGAATGTATGCTTAATTTGAGGCATCCCAAAGAAAATTCAATATGAAAAATGCCGTGGGATAATTATCTCCTTTATTTTGGATATGACCATTTTATATATGAAATGGAAAACTCTAAATCTTTTTCTCTGTTTTTTCAATAAGTATGTTATGCTAATAATATATATCAAGTGTGCAATCAACCAAAACACTGTTTTCATTTTTCATGCGTGAGCTCATCTCCCCTATCTGGTGCATCTAATTGCCTAAACTTAACTATGGATTCTATATTTCATGTTAATTTTGATTCATTATTCTAGGTTATCCAGATCTCTTTGAATCTTGTTCCTGTCAACTGACTTATTAGTGCCATCTCCTAATTCTGTGTCAACTTGACAAGCCTGCTGTCTTTCCCTTCATCCAAGTTGCCAATAAAAATGCTCAACAAGGCAGAGTGCTTTAGCAAGACCTGGAGAGATCTCCTACAGGTAAACACGTTGCCATGGTCTTTACACCTTGGGTATGATCATTCACCCAAGCATGGAGTCACATAGTGTCCACGTTGTTCCTCTTGTTCAAAGGCCTTGCTGCAGTTCATGCATGCGGAATCTATAGCTGTCCCATGACTTACCAGCCTAGCAGAAAGCAGCACATCAGAAAAGGAAGTGAGTTTAACTTGGCATGTCATTTTCTTTCTTTCTTTTCTTTTTTTTTTTTGAGACAGAATCTCGCTCTGTCACCCAGGCTGGAGTGCAATGGCACCATCTCGGCTCACTGCAACCTCTGCCTCCTGGGTTCAAGCGATTCTCCCGCCTCAGCCTCCTGAGTAGCTGGGATTACAAGCGTGCGTCACCACTCCCGGTCAATTTTTGTATTTTTAGTAGAGATGGGGTTTCACTGTGTTGGCCAGGCTGGTCTCGAACTCCTGACCTCAGGTGATTCGCCCGCCTCGGCCTCCCAAAGTGCTGGGATTACAGGCGTGAGCCACCGCGCCTAGCATGGCATGGCATTTTCTTGGTGAGCAGCACAGGAAGCAGCCCAGAGGCCTCAGTGGGGTGGCTCTTCAGAACAGAGGCCCTCGCCTCACACTAGGCTAGTGATTCAGTCACACCACCATCTCCTACGTCAATTTGTCTCACAACACTGTCATGTCTCACTTCTTATAGAATCTGTCGCCTCCTTTCTCTCCCTCTTGGTGCTCTCTCAAGGTTTACATGCATTTGGATGAAAGCTAGGAAGGTTCTAAGTTGTAAGTGAGGGATTTGCTGCGTCTCTCAAGGAGAAGAGGAAGTTACCTCTTTTGATGAAGATCCAAGGCATCCTCCACTGTCACGTGGTGCAGAAGCAGACATCCCCTTCAAAAGATCTAGCTCTTCCCAGCTCTTCTGTTCCTCTTTAGTACTTTCTCACCCTCCCTTGCAGACTGAACTTCCACCTAACTCTAAGCGGAAGCCCACACACCTGTTTCCACACACAGTAAGACAGGACTTCTCCTGTCTGCTGTACCACAGAGACAGGCCTTGCCTCAGTGTGGTGGGGCTTGCTGCCTCCCCTGGTGTCTGAAGGGTTTCTTCCTGCAAGCACTCAGCCTTCTTCCTTCTCTGGGTCAGCAGTTTCTTCGGGAGCTGCAAGCACTGCTGGCACGGTGGATCCGAGAGACCCACTTGAGCCTCAGAGCAGAGCTGGATGGGGCAGAAGCTGGTCAATTCTTTTTTCTCTGTAGTTTGTTGGCTTTTATTTCTGCCTTCTCACTCTTATGTGCTAATTGTCACTGTTTCTTCTCTCTGTTTCTCTTCTTCTCCTGCTTTCCCCACTATCCTCCCTGCTCGACCCTCCACATTTCTCCTTGAGTTCAGGGCAGACAGAAACAGCATTAATGATCAGCTGCAGAGGAGGAGGTGTCAAGGGTTTCTGTATTCCCACCCAGAGCTCTGCATGCATGTTTAAGCAATCCCTTTCCATCTTTACACTCTTTCATGATGACACTGTTTCTGACACTTCAGTGATCACCTATTTCTGATGGAAGAGCTGGAGCATTGCTAAGTGGCAGGTGGGGAAATTCTACTCAGTTCACTTGACTGGTTTTGCTCTTAAGTTGTAATCCTACCCAAGTGTACACATGCACAGTAAAAAATACCAAACCTGTAGCACTCAGATAACTTACTCCATCTGAACTATGTTAACAGACATGAAGAGTGCACACCTTGGATAGGTACAGGACAAGCCACAGTCCAGTTCATTAATTATGCTGTCAATTTGGCTATAGTCTGAATGATGTTTCCCATAATTCACATATTGAAGTCCCAGCCCCCAGTGTGTTGGTATTTGAAGATGGGGCCTTTGGGAGATAATTAGGTTTAGATGAGGTCATGAGGATGGGTCATGATGGTATTAGTGCCCTTCTAAGAAGAGACCAGAGAGTTTGCCTTCTTTGTCATGCCATGTGACTACACAGTGAGAAGGTGGCTTGTCTACAAGCCAGAAAGAGAGTCCTCACCAAAATCCACATCATCTGGCACTTTGACTGGGACTTCCAGCCTACAGAACTGTGAGAAAATGAGTATCTGTTATTTCAGCCACCCCATCGGTGGTATTTTGTTATGGCAGCCCAAGCAGACTAATACAGATTCCAAACTAATTATTTGCTATCTGCCATAATAGTTGTTTTCCAAATGTGCCATTTGCACTCAAATCTACATGTAAATTGAAACAGGTAATTAATATAGGTACAATGTACCTCAGAATAGGAGTCTCTGGTGATGCCATTTCTCATTAATTCCCATATATTACATATCTTTACTTGGAACTCTTGGGTTAAACTACCCTGGCTTTGCATTTAACTGTAAAGCACTCAGATAATTCTATCCACATGCTCCTCTGTTCACACTGCCTTGATATCCTGACTTCTGAAACTTTATACTTACCTATCCCTTAAATTATCCTTTTGAGCTAAGAACCCAAGCAATGATCCTATTTCGTGGCAAAACCCATGCTTGCATTCTATTTCCACATCCTGTTCTACTAGTGTGCTAAGAATTAAGAAGTAAAATGCAAGTATCTCGTTTCCTTTTCAGGAATGGCTAGCTTGTTAAGAATGATGATGACACCTAACATTTATGAGTTCTGACTCCCTCACATGTATATCTCATTTAATCCTCACAATCAACTCTGTGAAGTAATGGGTATTATCCCCATTTTATGGATGAGGAAATTGAGGCAAAGCAAGATTAACCAGCAAAGATCACACAGCTAGTGGGTGACATCGTCAGAGCTTGAACCCAGGCAGTCTGAATCCAGAGCACACATTCCTGAGTATTAATTTTTTGGATGTATTCATTGGGCACACCATCTAAAAGAAGCAAAAAAATCTAAGTAGAGGAATGTAAGAGATAGTAGTTAGTGGCTTCAATTTCATCTCATCGATAGATGAGGGCTCATATATTTACTGTTTCTTTTGTATGGAAAGACTACTATTAAATACGGAGTTGCCATTGAGCCTTCTGTTGCCAGGTGGAAAATCTACTGGTTTACTGCATTTGAATGATCCACATTTAATCCTAACTGAATGCCTTTCCTCAATCAATAAAAGAATTTCAAGGGAAATATTTGGACACCTGTGTGTGTTAGGAGCTGATGTTGGGCTGAGCCAGTAACCTTTATTTGATATTGAAGCTAAGCCCAGCCACTTTAGACTCCTGTAACACCACTCAATGTTTTGCTTCAATGTTTTTTGTTTGTTTGTTTTCCACACAGCAGCCCCATTTGTCAATTTTAGGGCTAGAAGGTATTTGGCCCGTGCTTAGAGAATACGGGCCCTTCTGCCATCAGCACCCGTTTATTGGGCTGGTCACATCTTGGGCATTAAGAACAGAAGAACCCTCAATTTCCTGCTGCCAGCAGAGTGGTACAAATAGCTGCTGTCAGACAGACCATTAAACAATACAAAGATTCCCTAAAGACAGACTTAAGAACTTGTAGCATCTGCCTTCAGTCAGGGGAGACCATAACAAAACATGCTCTTATATGTCTATTTGAACAGCATCAGAAGGCAGCACAGAGTGGCCATTCAATCAACATGTGTTGGGCTGAATGGAAATCTGTCAGAACGAGGGCAAAGAGTGCAAAGGGGTCCCTGCTCCTGAAGTCCAAATTTATCTCCCCCTTTCAGAACATGCTAGCACTTAGAGATCTGTGACAACACAAGCACATATTATCGTTTTCTGTCCCAGTGGTCCTCTCATGACCTTGTGTGTACAGATCTTTGCCCATAATGAAACGGTAGAATCTTTATGACTTGAGGAGGCTACTGTGATAGAAAGACCATTGCTTCTGGAATCAAAGCATCTGGGCTTAATGATCATGATCTTTAATGCCACTTAATGATCATGATATTTAACTGCTTTTTCCTGATTTATGGTTATGATGGCTGACTTTATGTGTCAATTTGACTGGGCTAGGGAATGCCCAGATAGCTGGTAAAATATTATTTTTGGATATATCAGTGAGGATACCTCACTGATGTGGAGACGACATCCTCCAGTTTGTTGAGGGCCTAAATAGAACAAAAAGATAGAGAAAGGGCAAATTCTCTCTTTGTTCTTGTTCTGGGACATCCATCTTCTTTCTGCTGCCTTTGGAGCTCTTTGCTCTTGGACCTTCAGGCTCCAGGACTTACATCCCCTCCCCACTCAGTTCTCAGACTTTCTGCCTCAGACTGGGAGTTACATCATCAGCTCGCCTGGTTCTCAGGCCTTCAGACAGACTGAATTACACCACCAGCTGTCTTGGTTCTCCAGCATGCAGATGGCATATCGTGGGGCTTCTTGGCCTCCATAATTGTGTGAGACAATTCCCAGAATAAATCTCCTCTTATATATCTATACATAGCCTAACAATATTCTATTGTTTCTGTTTCTCTGGAGAACCCTGATGAATACAATGGTTTAATCTTGGCTTCTTGACAATATTGTTGTAAGGATTCAATCCTTGTAACATGTGATGGCAGCTCAATAAAGTAAACCTTAACTCCTTTATCCTTTCTTTGTTGAAGGAAGAAACAATGTCAGTCATTTCTGCCTGCCTACCTCCTAACATATGTTTTGGCACATACTAAGTACCAGAAAAATGCTTGTTGAATACATAAATCTTACAATTTCCCATCTATATTAAAATTCCTCATTCTATATTGGTCATCTGTTTGGTTCTCAACTACTTTTTGAAAGAAAAATGCTTTACAAAAAACCCTCAGGTTTAAATTATTTACATAAAGTTATGTATTATTATTAACAAGTTATATGTTATTAAGTTATGTGCATACAAAAAATGCTCAAATCTTAAAGACAGCTCAATGAATTTTTACATATGTATACACCCATGAAACCACAACCTAGGTCAAAAAAACAACATTTCAATTACCCCAGAAGGTTCCTTCATGCTACTTCTCAGCTAATACTTCCTCTGCCAGTGAAATCCTTATTCTGACTTCTGTCACCATAGATTAGTTTTGCTGGTTCTTGAATTTTGTACCTTTTTGTGTCTGTCTTCTTTTACTCAACAAATGCTGTGAGATTCATTCATGCTGTCATTATGTCAGTAGTTTGTTCATTTTTATTACTGTGTAGTATTCTATGATATGTACAAACTATAATTTATTCATTCACCTATCGATAAACAAGGGGATTGTTTCTAGTTTTTAGCAATAATGAATAAAGCTATGAATGTTCTTGTATATGTCATTTGGTGGACATAAGCATTTATTTCTCTTGGGAAAATGGTAGTAGTGGAATTGTAGGTCATAAAGTAGGTATATATTTAGCTTTATTAGAAACTACCAAACTATTTTACAAAATAGTTGAATACATTTACCCTCCCACCTGCAATGCATTAGATTTCTAGTTGCTCCACATTCTTACCAGTGTTTGCTATTGTCAGTCTTTTATATTTTCTATCCTGGTATATGAATAAAGTTATCTCACTGTTTTAATTTGCATTTTTCTCATGAGTAATGACATTGAACATCTTTCATACGCTGTGGCCATGGAGCTGTACCACTCATATCTCCTTTCAAGGGAGCCTGCTGCAAAGAGCATAGCTAATTGACAACCTCCAGCATCCAGATCTTCAAATATTTATGCTAAGGCCACATTTCCCTTGGGCTGCTCCCTGCCAAGGACTAAGCATGGCAGAGTTACTAGAGCTGGGCAATGTCTGCCCCATGGAGTACTTCTTCAATAAGCAACCTTTGCTCAGAGACTCCTTATCAGCTTGAGCCAGATTATCTCAGAACTGCTGTGCAATCTGAAGACCTTCTTATATAAATCCTCCTTCCTTCCCTGTTTCCTTTCACAGAAGTCAGACCTGCAGGACAGTCAAGGGCTCTTCCCCTCTTCTGCTCCATCGCCTTTTTTCTTCACTGGCATTGCCCCCAGTAGATCCCTTTCATGTCTAATCTTGGCATGTGCTTCTCAAAGCACCTGAACTAACAGTATGCTTATTGGCGATTCTGAGATCCATGTTCAAGTCTTTTTTCTGTCTTTTTCAAACCATATTTAAATCTTTTGGCCATTTTTTTAATTGAGTTATGTGCTTCTCCTCTTTTAAAATTGATTTATAAAAGTTTGGTATATATTCTGGATATAAGCCTTTGTCAGATATGTTTTATGAATATCATTCTCCCAGTCTGTGATATAATTACTATTTTTGGAGACAGAGTCTCTCTCTGTCACCCATACTGGAATGCAGTGGCATGATGACAGCTCACTGCAGCCTCTACCTTCTGGGCTCAAGCAATCCTCCCATGTCAGCCTCCCAAGGAGCTGGACTGCTGGAACATACTACCAAGCCTGGCTTTTAAAATTTTTTAATTTTTTTTTGGTAGAAAAGATGTCTCACTATGTTACCCAGGCTTGTCTTGAACTGCTGGGCTCAAGTGATCCTCCCACCTTAGCCTCCCACAGTGCTGGGATTACAAGCATGAGCCACCACGTCCAGCCATCACTTTCTTAATATTGTCTTTTAATGAACAAAAAGTTTAATTTTAATGATGTCCAATTTTTCTATTTTTTTTCTCTTATCCTATTACATGAGATAGATGTCAAGGTTTGTTTTCCCCCCATATGAGTATCCAATTACTCTAGCACCATATATTAGAAAGAGCATCCTTTCCCCACTATAGTAGCACCTATAATGGAAATGTGTGTGTGTATATGTATTTCTAAACTCTATTCTGCTTCTTAGGTTTCCTTGTTTACTTGTGCACCTATTCCACATGGTCTTACTTATTATAGTTTGTAGAATGTTCTGGACTCTGAGAATATAATTCCTCCAAGTTTTGATTCTTAAATATTGTTTTGTCGATTCTAGATAATTTGTATTTCCATTTAACACTAAATGAGCTTGTCAGTTTCTAAAAAACACTTGAGATTTGCATTATGATTCCATTAAACCACAGTTTCTCAACCTGGCACTATTGAAATTTGGGGCCAGACAATTCTTTGTTGTTAGGGAGAGCCGCTGTGCTGTTTATTGTAGGATGTTCAGTACTAGACCTGGTCTTCACTCACTGGATGCCAGTAGCACTTCTCAAGTTGTAAAGACATGCCAAAATGTCTCCACAAATTGCCAGATGTCCTCTGGGAGCAAAATTGCCACTCCCTCCCCATGGATAACAACTGCATCAAATCTATAGATCAACTTGGAGAAAACTGACAACTTAATGATATTGAACCTTCCAATCCATGAAAATGGAATCTCTATTTAGTTAGGTCTTCTTTATCTCAGCAAAGTATTGTAATTTTCAATGTAGAGTTTTTGCACATCTTTTGTTAAATTTATTCCAATGCATTTAATATTTTCTATTAAATGTAATTTTCAAATTAATTTTTCAATTTTTGATTTTTAATATACAAAAATTAGTGCATTTTTGCTCATTTTTGATCAACATGTTCATCATGTATTCAGCAACCCTGTTTGGAGACACTTTTGGATTTTCTACAAATATAATCAAGTCACCTGCAAATAAAGAGTTTAACTTCTGTTCTAATCCTTTTACCTTATATTTATTTGTCTTGTTTTTTTGCATTGGCTACGACCTCCAGTATAATATTCAACAGAGAGTGATAGTTGATGTTATCATCTTATTCCTAACTATGGGGGAAATAATTTAATATTCCACCATTAATTATTATATACTTTATCAATTTTAGAAAATTCCCCTCTGTTACTAGTTTACTGAGAAATATTATTAAGAATAAGTGTTAAGGCTGGGTGTGGTGGCTCACACGTATAATCCCAACACTTTGGGAGGCCAAGACAGGTGGATCACTTGAGGCTAGGAGTTTGAGACCAGCCTGGCCAACATGGCAAAATCCCATCTCTACTAAAAATATGAATGTTAGTCAGGCGTGGTGACACACACCTGTAATCCCAGCTACTCGAGTGGCTAAGGCACAAGAATCCTCCCTTGAACCCAGGAGGCAAAGGTTGCAGTGAGCCGAGATCATGCTACTGCACTCCAGCCTGGGTGACGGGTGACAGAGCAAGAGTCTGTCTCAAAAAAAAAAAAAAAAAAAAAAGAAGTGTTGAATGTTATTAAATTCTTTTTTCTTGATCTGTTGAGATGATCAAGTGTTAATGTAGTGATTTACATAGATTAAATTTTAAATGTTAAACCAACCTTGCATTCCCTGTAAGAAATCATGCTCAGTAGTAAATTGTTATTAAATCATGATTGGTTGTGATTTAATGTATTACTGCAGACTATTGTGGATGGGCAAAGATTTCTTGAACAATACATAAAACCACTACAGTGGGGAAAGAATGCTCTTTTTAAAAATATGGTACTGGAGCAATGGGATAATCATATGGAGCAAATTAAACCGTGATCTTTATCTCACTTTTATAATGTGGTAAAATATATAACATAAAATTTACCATTTTAACCATTTTTATATGCTCATCTCAGTGGTATTAAGTTCAATCACATTGCTGTGCAGCCGTCACCACAATCCAGCTCCAGAAGTTTTTTCATCTTCCCAAATTAAAACTCTGTAAATCATTAAACAATCATTCCCTATCACCCCTCCCTCAGGCCCAGCAACAACTATTCTAGTTTCTGTCTCTATAAATTGGACTGGTTTAGGTACCTCATATGAGTAGAATCATATAGCATTTGCCATTTTGTGACTGGCTCATTCACTTAGCATAATATCTTCAAGGTTCATCCATGTCAATAGCATGTGTCAGAATTTATTATCTTATTAAAGATGACTAATATTGTATTATTTTTCATGTACCATATTTTCTTTATCCATCCATTTATCCATTGATGCACACTGGCTTTCTTCCACCCACCTTTGGCTTTAGTGAATAATGCTGCTATGAACAGGGGTATACAAATATCTCTTCTTGCCCCTACTTTGAATTATTCTGGGTATATACCCAGAAGTAAAATTTCTGGCTCATATGGTAATTCTATTTTTAATTTTTGAGGAAGTGCCATTCTGTTTTCCATAGCAGCTGCTCTGCCAGTGCTATGGAAAACAGAATGATTCCCATCAGCAGTGCACGAGAATTCTACCTCACATTTTATACAAAAATTACTTTATATAAAAATCAATTTGACATGTATTTTAGACCTATTTTTAAATGGTAAGACAATGAAGCTTTTAGAAGAAACCATAGGCCAATAACTCACAATTTTAAGATATAGGCATAACCTTCAGATGCTATTTTGGTGGCAGAGTTTTAGCATTTATTGATGGCTTTAGGATGTGATGCAGGGATTACAAGGAACAGAATTCCACCCCTAAAAGTGTTTTGATTACCTTGCACAATATCTTATATCTTATGTTGAACTTAAGTGCCTTTCAATAGATATGCATGCTCCAATTGCTCTAATCTTCATCCCTCCCTAAGGATTTCCTCCAGACCGATACTTTCTCTTCATTTACGTACCTTAGATGCTGAAACATCTAAGTTTATGATCCCTGGTCTATAGTATTATTGTACCCAAATAACTATTACTGATAGAAGTTTTGATTAGAAACTCACTGCATATATACATATGCGTGTCATCAAAGAACATTTATTGCTATTGTCATCGTATGTATTTGTTTTATTGGCCTGAGCCTCTCAATAATGACTGTTATCATGAGGAAAATGTTGAAAACCCCTCACACTGAAGAAGTACCTATGTAAATAATAAAAGGCAAAAGGTAGCAGGCTTTAAACTTGCACCAGTGGCATACAGTAGCTTCCATATTACTTTGTCTTTCCAATGTATTTGTGTGCCACGTGTGCACATCAGGCCACCAAGAAACACCTCCCAGCAGAGTGTGGTTTTGGGAGAGAGGAACCAAGATAAGATTATGGGAGCTCAAAATCTTATAATTACCAAAGGGCATGAGATGGGGTAGGGAGCTTTCTGAGATCTTGGTTTGCATCACAACTCTCTATATGAACATGATCCAGCCCAGAAGATGCAAACGAAAGAACAAACAGTATTGATTTTCCCTGGTATGTTATGTGGACACCCTTAGCAATAAACACATATTGAAGTCAATTGAGTGGGATGAACAGGATCACAAAAAAGGAGAAATTTTCCAAATGAAAGACACAAAATCAGGGGCATGTTTGGTAGACACCTGGGGAGTAATTACCTGGCAAGTAATTTGGTGTGGCTGGAGCACAAGGTACCCAGAAAGGGACTAGGGTGAGATAAGTCCACCAAGAATCCTATTGTTGAAAAGCCAGTTTAAAATGGAAGCACACACCCTCTCGGTTCCCTTGACAATGTGACCTTATAGGAGTAATAAATTTGGATTTTCCTATGCTGGTTATTTATACCATAGAAACTTCTTAATCACTGTCCTCATCCAATATAGTCTCTCGTCTCGGTAAATGGCTTAATGTGATAATTATGCTTCAACTCAAAACATCTCTATTTGGCAGTCAGAGCTGGTTCAGAAGGAGCCTTGGATTAAGAGACAATATGGTAGAAACTCCAAATTTCTAACAAGTAAATTAAATGTAAAGGTGAATAAATTTTTTAAAAAATGGAAAGCCAGTTAATATAATGAATGGATGGAACTGTCTCTTATCTCTAAACTTATCAGTAGAAAACTAGGTTAACGAGCATTTATTAGACACAAGAAGAGTCTCATCATGTGTCATTGTGTTTAATATACAGGAGCTACCTCTATGAGCTTGATACTTGAAACTTTCTGATAATTTTTTTCTATACTCAAAATGCTCACAAAATTGGTGTGATAGCCATTACACAAATTAAGAGAGTGAAGATGGTTTTCCAGCTGGCTTCCCTGCCTCACCTTTGTACCACTGCCATCCTCACTCCAACCCCACCTATCATCTATGCTGTTGCTTTTCAATTCTCCTTCCCTACTACATTACATTCACTGGCTCACTATTGTCCACCACATGAAGTCCAAGATATTATCCATGTTCAAGATCTGTTCTTCTGTCCTTCCCCAACCCCAGAATTTTGCTCTAACTACTTTTCCAGATTTATCTCCCATTGCTCCCCTTCATAGATCTGACACTTAACCCAAAGCTATTGTAAGCACTGCACTTTTCATGGGGCTTCCTCTGTCCAGACCTCTGCTTAACCCTTTTCCTGTCAAAATATTTTCTTATTTTTAAAGCCCAGTTCAACTTACATCTTCTTTATGAAGTTGTCTCTGATTTCTAAATGCCTGTAGCACTTTATTAGGAGTAAAAATTAATAGCCAGTTTGACAGAATTCCCACCTGAGCCTACAGGGAATGCAGACTTCTCAGGCTCTGTCTGCCAAGTGGTAGAGCTCCCCAACAGCACAATTGCATAACCTTCCTGCTGGAGGAAAAGAGGACCTGTGATGAGGAGGTTAGTGCAGAGGCTGCTGGGAACAGGCAATGGGAAATGGAGAGAATAGCATGAAGTCTTTCCCAGCCTGGCCGCAGACTTGCTGGTGTCTGGACTCTGGAGAAAGGAGATACTGGGCAAATGCTAATGGAACAGTTTTCACAAGAGAATCTTTAGAGACACGGGTGCAAACAATCTTGAATTTGTATCCTTACAGAAGAGTGTAATGTAAAGACAGAGAAAGAGTCCCTTTTCACTGCTTATCACTGAACACGACTCAGCTTGGCATCTCATGTGCTCTGGCATGCCAGCTGCGGTGGGAGCCCGCAGAGCCCAACGGAGCTGCAGGGAACCACATGGGAATGGACTTGCTTGTGAGCTCATGTGAATTCACAGAATCCGGGCCAGATGTGGTGGTGTGTACTTGTAGACCCAGCTACTTGGGAGGCTCTTGCAGGAGGATTACTTGAGCTCAGGAGCTCAATGCCAGCTTGAGCAATCTAGTGAGACCTCATCTCTTTAAAAAAAAATTTCCAGTTTTGGGAAATCCCCCAGAAATAGCTAAAGGACACTGTAGATGGCCAAGACCCTGTGTAAATATTCTGGGAGGGAAAGCCTGTAGAATTTGGATTATTACTATTGATTACATTTTATTTATGTACACGGACAGGTTAAGTCCTAGAAAAACTTGGGTTAATGCTGACATTCATTTATGACTTGATGTGGTTTTAAAACTTATCTCCATTGATGTATCTGATTTGATCACCATAACAACCACTCAAAGTGGCTATTATTATATCCAGATTTTCCCCCATAGCAATGGATTTGAGCATATTTTTTGTGTTTATTGTGGAAAGAGTGTTTATTGTGGAAAGAGTCCAGGACTTGTCAGCAGACCTAAGTTTGAGCTTTTACTCTTCTGCATATGGCTGGGTGATCCTGGATAAATCCCAACCTCTCTGAGCTATAATTCCTTACCTGTAGGACAGGAATAACAATTCCTTTTGTATAGAGATGCTGTAAAATTCTGAGATAATGAAAAAAATCCTGTACGATTGTAAGAAATTATTATGGCACATGACTTTATACCATTGCATTCATCTTCTGCCATAAATCGGTTTTTTCTATACATCTCAATACAATAAAAATAATTAACAGCAACCATGCCTTAATCATCCCTGTGTCATCTTATCTTGCACAGAGTAGGTACTCAGTATGATGGCGTGAAACGTTGCAGGGTGATAAACTTCCCATCTATAGTGTGAGGCCGGTACAGCGGAGTCAAACTTCAGAATGGCTGGGACTAGATGCCAATCCTGAAAACCTAAGATTATTTATTAGATTAATCAGATATAGAAGAGATTCAGATATAAGAGGTCAAATCAGTTTCCCAGGGACATAATACATGGCTAAGAGAGACAGAACATTAAAGGACAGCAGGGCTGGCAAATGTTTTCTGTAAAGGGCCAGAATAATAAACATTTTAGGCAATGTAGGTCCTATGGTCTCTGTGGCAACTACACAACTTTGCCATTTTTATCGTGAAAGCAGCCACAGACAGTATGTAAGCGAATGGGAGTGACCATATTCCAGTATATTGTATTTTAAAAAACAAACAGATGGTGGGCTGCATTTGGCCCATAGGCCCTGGTTGGTCAACTCCTGAGACAGAGGCTTGTCCTTTTGCCAAGGAAGATTTATAACACAAAAAGCCAAAAGTAAAACCAGGTGGTGGCATGAAATGGAAAAGCTGAAATCAATAAGTAAAAGTAAAGCTCTCCACTAAGTTTCAAAAACCAAAGGTAAACAGTATGTAATTGGAGAGAGAAGAGGTTTCACATAAAATGTCTGCTGAACTGGATCAGGGCAAATTTTATTCTGTAAATTTAAAAAGAAGAAAATACTGTGGGGGTGTTTTAGTTTTGGAGGATTTTAGTTGCCTATGGGACAAAGAGTGCCATGTGGCTGCTTAGACTATCAAAGGTGCTCTAAGTCCCATTAATGAAAGCAGAGCATCCAGGACAAACAAGGTGAGCATCCCAGGGGCATGGGGCTGTGTCTGAGTCACCACAGGGCCCCTTGCTCCTAGCACAGGGCCTGACATGCAGCAGGTACCCACTGGGAACTCACACTTCCCATGCTGTGCTCTGGCCGGAACCGTTTCATATTTGAGGGTCTCTGTTCCCTGAAAAAAACCAGCGTTTGTTTGCCTGGCGAGTAACAAATAACTCTCCACAAGAACATGAGTTTTGATGAAAAGGAGTTTTTTTTTTTTTTTACTTGTCACAAGCAAGGAGAGCGCTGGGAATACTCTCCAAAGCGGTGTCTCTGAAGGAAAGTGACAGGAGGGTTTTATGGGGTGATGGAGAGGGGAGAGAGTGCATTGGTGCATGTAGGGGAGGGGTCCCAGTGGCGCAGCCGCAGTGAGTCGTCCTGCCAGCACACAGGTCACATGTTACGGTCATGAAGCTATAGCTCCCCCTGGGGTAGTGACTTCAGGATGGTAATGAGGAAAGTTCACTTGGGTTCATCTAGAAGTTGCCGGGGTCTGTCAGGAGCTGGTTCCAGGTGACTAGGTCACCACATTCCACACGGGGCTTGGGAAGAAACAGGCAGCAAGGCAGGAAGCTGTAAAACAAGCTGATTGCTCAAGTTGGTTAAATGTCTGCTTTCCCAGGAGACCCTCCCTGTCTGCTTACATCTCCTCTGTGCTATCTCTGTGCTGGATTCAAAAGGGGAAGAGGTGTTTGAGCTAGAAGCTTGAAGGAGGTGTCCATGTGAGCAGAGAGGAGGGATGGGGTGAAGAGTGCTCCCACAGAGGGCTGCAGCAGAGTCCATCCAAGATTCTCTGCCCAGGCTCACTTCTGCTCTCTTTCCCTTTGAATTAAAATACAGGTTTCTAAAAAATAGGGGCAGGGGGTCATCACACTTTCTAAGAGTCTTCTGCCGGGCGTGGTGGCTCACGCCTGTAATCCCAGCACTTTGGGAGGCCGAGGCGGGTGGATCATGAAGTCAGGAGATCGAGACCATCCTGGCTAACACGGTGAAACCCCGTCTCTACTAAAAATACAAAAAAAAATTAGCCAGGCATGGTGGCGGGTGCCTGTAGTCCCAGCTACTTGGGAGGCTGAGGCAGGAGGATGGCGTGAACCCGGGAGGCGGAGCTTGCAGTGAGCCCAGGTCACACCACTGCACTCCAGCCCGGGCGACAGAGCGAGACTTCATCTCAAAAAAAAAAAAAAAAAAGTCTTCATTTCAGCTTTGTTGTTTGTAAAAATATGCTCCCTTACCTGGATGACAAGAAACAAATGTGCTGACATGTTTAAGGAAAGATTTGGAGTATTTTAAATCAGGCTATGAAGGGACATGAGTTTAAGGAACTGGTAGGTCCATAGTAGGAGTGCTCATAGCCACCAATAATCCCCTTAGGAAGGAACTAATTATGTTTGGAGAGGACGTGTGTGCCTGATCAAATAATTAAAACTAAATTGCTCTCCTTGGAAATGCAAATTAACGAGTGTTAAAGCAACTCGGTTGGTCACATAGATAATAAATAGATGTGTTTTCTCAAGTCTTTAGGTGGCACTGATTGATTTCCAATTCTGGCTACAACAGGGCCTGAGCGGCTTTTGAAACAAAGATGAGGGGACTGTAGGCCCAGTGGGGACAGCTGTTGAAAGCTTTAAGCCATTACACCCCACCCCCACCGGCTGCTTTTTGCTACTGAGAATAGGAGACCTTGAGGAACCAGACTTGACCTACTGCTGCCCCAAACCCCAGCCCTGCAGGCGTATGAGGGAACGGTGGCACTGTCAACCCTGCTCCTCCAGACAATACCTTCCCTACCACCCAGTGCTGTCAGGTCAAAGAAAATAAGGCACTGGCTGAGCACCAGGAGCCAGATGGACCTTTTGGTGGGGATATGGAGGTGTAGGGGGAAGCAGGGGTACGAGGCCTTGGGGGGCTGACTGGAGTACTGTTACATGAGTTTTTACAAAGTTTTTGCTCAGCAATTACTTAATAAAAAGTCTTATCAAACAATAAACAAAAAGCCCCAAACTCAGGTTACAAATGTTTTATCATTTTGTCAAAGAACCTGTATTAGTTAAGCACCTTTACACAGAACTTGCTCTTGAGTGGGCCTTTGTAGGTGGGCTGGGAGAAGAAAATTGAATTTCTGCCTCGAAGGAAGTTACATTCTTGTTGTGGGGACAGATTTTAGGTAAACAAAGAGCATGTTACCAATTCCTTTTTCCTTGCTGGCATCAGGTCCTTTCCTACACCTCTCATCTGGAGGAAAATGATTACCTAGAGCAGGTGTGACAAGTGACATAAGAGGGAGAGAGAAGCCCCACCAGGGCATTGCTGTAGGATCTCATTTAGCCCTCCAGAGGCTGTGTGAGGGAGCCTCTTATCTCCTTGCAGCCCAGGGACCTGAACCTTCAAGAGATGTAGGGTAATGATGCTATCTTGTTCCAAGGGGGGATGCGAGAGGTGGATGAGGTAAGACACAAAGGAACACCTAACAGTGCGTAGAACCAATAAGCACTCAGTGAATGCTCCCTCTGATTCCTAGGTAACTTGCCCAAGGCCGCAGACATAGTTGAGGACAGAACCAGGATTCATTCACACCCTGGTTAGCCCAATTAAAAAGCCCCCACCTTTCCTTCCTGGCTGCAGGTGCCTCTTGGGATTCAGTTGCCTTCATCTTCCTCCTCGTCTTCCCTCCTATTTGTGGTCACACCTCCAGCCTCTTTCAAGTCCACCCAGAGAGCTTTTTCTTTCCGTGTGTTGGAACGCAGTGTTGACAACTTCCTGGCCTTCCAGTATAAGCAGAGGAGGGAGATGAGCAGAAGGAGGAGCAGGACGAAGGGACAGATGAACAGGAAATAGAGTAAAGGGGCCGAGGAGCAGATCCTGGAAGGAAGCGTGGGCTCTGCAACGAAGGGAGAAACAAGAGAGTAATTCATCTCCAACTTATTTGTACTAGTCAATTACAAACACTCCTGGGATTTATTGTTATAGGCAAGTATATGTAAAAATAATGGGGCCAAATAGCAGTGGGCCCCTGAAATCATGAGGAGCACAGGACAGAGCACTGGGGGAAGAGAGCTCCTGGAACAGGCTCTTCTAATGCAACAGCCCCTTGCCCTGCGATTTCCAACCACTGGAGGTTCCAATGACCTACTTAAAACTAACAGCCAAAATGAAAAACAAAACAAAAAAGAAAACCTCTCCTTTAATCTTCTTTCTTCAGAAAAGATATCTATAATTCAACCCTCGTTCTCAACAGTGTTGCCAGTCCTGAATTTTTAACTGAGTTATTCCCACTGCTGCTCCTCCAACACACAGGCACACACTCTTTCTCACACACACATACACACACACTCTGCCCTGCACTCTGCACTGTCCTTATAAAACAATCACACCCACAATAAGAAGCCCCTACCCCCGCTGACCCAAGCCTGGCCCTCCCTGTGGGTCTCCTCCTTCCCCGGCCCCCTCCCTCCCACTCCTTTCCTGTGTTGCTCTGGCTGTGGCCACCACCTGACATGCTCCATGCATCTGAGCCTCTAGGTCCTTCTGGCCTAGCTCCATCACACTTCCTACTCTCTCAGCTCTTCCTACCTTGCTGCAGGCACAGTTCTTCTCTTCCATCCCGTTCTCACTCAGCCCTTTGTTTAGGCCTCTTTAATTCCCTTTTACTCGTCTCCTTTGTTCACTATAGTTACTTGAGTATGTCTGATAGTGCCATTTGTTTCTATATCCCCTACAGTGCCTAGCACATGTGCTCAGTAACTTTTGCTGATCTGAATTAAATTGGATTGACTGCAACCACATGGGCAAAAGATACTATATAAAGGCATGCTGAAGCATATGATCATCCCGCAGCTGCAGTCCGCCGGGAAGCACTATCAATCAGCAGATACACACGCAGAGCACGCACAAGCAGCCCCAAAGTGGCTCCTGGCCACACGGCCAGGAAAGCAAAGGCCCAGAGGACTGCAAACACCACAGGTTTCAGGAAACAGTCTATTGAAGCAGAAAGACACATGCTTAAAGAGACCAATTACTAAATGTAGTCTTCCAATTACATTTATTTATGACATGATATCTGAAATCAGGGCTGTTCTGAAATATTCAATGCTAACTGTAGCTGTGCTTTTACTGGAAAATTGTAATGACATAAGCAATTTCTTCTTCAAAGGTTAAGCTACAGGATTCATGGGATTATGGATGCTTAGAGATGAAAGAGGTTTAGAGGTCATTTTGACCAACCTCCTGCTGCAAGAATTCCATTTTTGGCATTGCCGACGAATCCTACATGTTAAAGAACATCTCTTTGATGATAGTCAAGAAAGAATCTAGACATTCGCTCACCTCCTGCACTGTGAGCTCCTTGAGGGTAGGGCCTGTGTCTTGTGTGTCTTTTTATCTTCCTCAACTCTTTGTTCACAGGGTCTCAATGGAGCCTGATGAATGAATCAATTGCATGAGTACATTCCACACATGGGAACCCAGGGATGGCTGCCATCATGCTATACAAAGTACAGATCATCACTGAACATTAGGCTGGCAGCTCTGAATGGGGCTGGCAAAGAGCAGCAGAGGTTCATGGCCTGGATTTTCTCTGATCTCATTTGTATCCTTCATCCTAAATTTAGTTTTGTTTTTTGAAATGGTGAGCAATGATAAAGTTAGGTTTTGAATTCTTTACCATCCCTCTGCTCCACATCCTATCTGACCCCTCTTCCAATGACCCTGCTTGACTACAGTTATTCTCCCCCGGTCTTATCTGAGTACATTTGAAGGCCCGTGGCTAGAAGGAAGCATAGACTGCAATGATGCAAGTGAATGGAGCCATGGAGTCCAGGTATTATAAGCACTGGCTGTGAGCATTTGTGCAGAGTAGTGAATGAGCACCTACTGTGTTTCAAAGAGAGCTGAGTTCAAATCCTCAATCTTCAATGTGCTGTTATTGACATTGGATAAGTTACTTATCCTCTCTTAATCATTAGTTTCCTCATCAACCAAATAGGGATAACAATTTCTAGAGTTGTGATGAGATAATGTATAATAAAGCATCTAACGAAGTGCCTAAAGCATTTGTGGAGTCAGCAAGCAATAAATATTAGCTAGAATGCTACTGAGAAAGCTAAGAAAATCACAGGAAACCTTCTCCCAAGAGAACAGACAGAGAACAGGGCTGGAGCCTACAGATATCTCTCCCACAGGGACCCCAGGCTTGGCCATCTTCCTCCACAGGCTCTCTCTCCCTTACATCTCTAGTCCCCCTGTCCTCAGACCTGGGTGACATTCAGCAAAGACTGAAATGATTACTTAGGAGGCCCTGGCTTCCTTTTCTACTCATGGGAGGCAGAGAATTGTGAGGTTAGAGTCCACAGCACCAGGTATTACAGTTGCTAGAATGGTGGGGTAATGATGGCGAGATGGGGCCACTACACAGGAGGTGGAAATAAATCTGCTACTCTGCTTTTCAGCATGAAGGAACAGCCAGAGGGCTTGGCTATCTTGGTGGGGAAGAGGCTGCCCAGCTTAGTGCAATCTGCCATCAAAGGATGGCAAGGTGTGCCCCTTACCATGCTGAAGTGGCCAACAGCTAGCAACTGTTAGTGCCTGTGCTGTTAAATCACCTCTCCTGGGAGGCCAGTGTTTGCTCTGCATCCCACAGTCACCATTTCCCACCATCTGCCTCTCACCCATATCTGGATTAGAATTAGTGACATTCAAACCATTAAGGTTTGGCATTTTGATCAATCTAAGTAAGTGCCCAATGCTCAAAGTACAAGGTCTTCAAAACAAAGCCAAAAATGTAATGAGAGCACTTCATCATGAGGCTTAGTTTAGAACGTGCTTCCACCCACAGCCAAGCACAGCAAAAGGAGCACTCCTTTTTGATATTTCCTCAGAGACACTGACTTCAGAAGAAAAGAGGTGTGAGATAAAGAGGGGGCTGCCAACTCTTCCCCACTACCCAACCCCAAACATGCAGCCATGTGGGAGTTGGCTCTTGCCAAGAAATAAAAGTAGGGTAAGGTAACCTGATAACAAGTGCATCCCAGAATAAGTGAATCACTGACAGCATCCTGTTTCAACCCAACTGAAGACGTGCCTGCTCATTCTTTCATTAAGCATTTGTTGAATGCCATGTGCTAGGCCTTGCTGGAGGTACTGGGAAGCACAGGTAAGTAGCTTGGCATCTCCAAATACTTCAGTGTGGTAAAGACACACAGCTCCTTCAAGAATCCACTTCCTTATCTTCCCTTCTCCCCTTTCCCTTTCTCTCTTTCTCTTTCTCTCTCTCTTTTTTTCTTTCTTTTCTTTCTTTCTCTTTCTTTCTTTCTCTGTCTCTTTCTCTCTCTCTCTCTTTGTTTGTTTGTTTGTTTGTTTGTTTTGACAGTGTCTTGCTCTGTCATCCAGACTGGAGCAAAGTGGCATGATCATGGCTTACTGCAGCCTTGACCTCCAAACTCAAGCAATCCTCCCATCTCAGCCTTTTGAGTAGCAAGTACTACAGGCGTGCATCAACCATGTGTCTAATTTTTAAATTTTTTGTAGAGACAGGGGTCTCAAACTCCTGGGCTCAAGTAATCCTCCCACCTCAGCCTCCCAAAGTGCTGGGATTACAGATGGGAGCCATCACATCTGGCCCAAGGATCTAATTTCTAAATAGACCTTTACCCAAATAAAAGCTGGGAAATAGTAACAAGTACCACACTACTACAGATAATCCAGTTCCCAGGAAGCCTTATAGCCTGGCCTATCAATTAATCACAGACAATTCTCTAGAATAAGACATTTAATGTCTAGGGTCTAAGGGTAAGGTAAAAAGACTGAGGAAGCTGTTGTCTCTGCCATAGCTTAGTCACTGATAAGGAAATAAGATAGAGAAGAAAAGGCAAGGTCCATTCTCCGAGAAAATGTCTCTTAACTTTCCTGCCTTCACTTGAGCCACATGCTCTACAGTCCTATTGTGTGGCCCTAAAACCAGCCCAAGCTGGGATAGCCAGATAGAGAGCATGGAAAACCATCTGTTAAGTGACCATAGGTAGCATATTATATTTGAACTGGATCTTGATAACACATAGACCTGGTACTCAACAGGAGTGCAATTACACAGTGATTCAGTAAACATTTAAGCATCCCCTATGTGCCAGGCACTGTGCTAGTGCTACTAATGAGACACTCATTATCTTTGCCTATAGTATAGTCTAGCAGTGTGACAGATGTTAAACAGGTAACTGCAGGTGTGGGGGCTAAAAGAATAAGGGAAGTCTCTGAGGCAGTGGCAGTTAAGTTGCTGGATGAAGGATGAGAGTGTTGACCAGGGAAAGATGGCATGGAGGAGCATTCCAGGAAGGAGATGGTGCATGCATGGTGAGATGTTGGACTGACAGTCGTATCTACTCTTCTATTAATCTTTTTCTTCCTTCCTTCATTCCTTCTTTCTTTCTTTCTTCTTTCTTTCTTTCAGATGTTGGACTGTCAACCGTATCTACTCTTTCTTTCTTTCTTTCTTTCTTTCTTTCTTTCTTTCTTTCTTTCTTTCTTTCTTTCTTTTCTTTCTTTTCTTTCTTTCTTTCTTTCTTTCTTTCTTTCTTTCTTTCTTTCTTTCTTTCTTTCTTTCTTTCTTTCTTTCTTTCTGATGTTGGACTGTCAGTTGTATCTACTCTTCTATTAACCTACCTTCCTTCCTTCCTTCCTTTCTCTCTCTCTCTCTTTCTTTCTTTTCTTTCTGCTGGCTTTCTCCCCTCTAAAACATAAATGTGCTCAAATCTGTATCATCTTCAAACCAAAACAGCAAAAAAGCAAAACTAAAATACTTTCACTTTTTTTTGACAACTTTTGCCATTTTATTGTCTTCTCTCTTCCCCTTGACATCAAAGCTCTTGAAAGAGCAATCTGCATTGATGTGCCCACTCTCCCCTCAACTTGCTGCAGTCTGACTTCCCTGATAACTTTTCTGTAATTGTCCCATAATGTCAAATCCAATGGATACTTTCCCACTGTTATCTTAATCAACCTCTTTGCAAGAGCTGAGTCTGTCGACTCTCCTCACCCTCTTGATGCCCTCTCTGCCTTTAGTGTCTGTGGTACCACCAAATCCTGATTCCCTTCCCAGCTCTCCATCACTCCTATCAGTCTCCTTCACAGGCTCTCCACTCCCTGAGAAATGGCAATTTATCCCAGAGCTCCACCCTTGGGCATCATTACTGGCTACCTATGGATGACTTGTAATCTACAACTCTGGTGCAGATCCCATTTGGCAGTCTTGATGTCTATTGGACAGACCTTTATCAATAACTCACAGTTACTCTGAACTCAGTTCCAGCCCAACTTATTCAAAACTGAACTAATCTTCCCCTCCAAATCCCTCTCATATATTACCTTGCTTGGTAAATGACCCGACTATCCATCTAAGCTAGAGTCCAAATGTTAATCCTTAATTCTCTCCTTCTGCTCCTTTGCCCTCTATATACAATGAATCAGCCTCTAAATCCTGAAGATTACACCTCCTAATACCTAATGCCTGTTCTTTTCTTAGTCGTCATGGGTACCGCCTTAGCTCAGGCCTTCATCTTTCCCCAGTTGGGTTTCCACAATTTCATATACTACCTGCACTGTACTGTGGACCTCCCCTCCAATTCACTTATTTTATTTTATTTTATTTATTTATTTATTTATTTTGAGACAGAGTTTTGCTCTTGTTGCCCAGGCTGGAGTGCAATGGCGTGATCTCGGCTCACCGCAACCTTCCCCTCCTGGGTTCAAGCGATTCTCCTGCCTCAGCCTCCCGAGTAGCTGGGATTACAGGCATGGGCCACCATGCCCGGCTAATTTTTAGGATTTTTAGTACACACAGGGTTTCTCCATGTTGGTCAGGCTGGTCTCAAACTCCCAACGTCAGGTGACCCGCCCGCCTTGGCCTCCTAAAGTGCTGGGATTACAGGCACGAGCCACTGTGCCCGACCTCCAATTCATTTTAATGTGGGAACTTTCTAAAAGGAAAATCTGATCATGTCACTCCCCTGCTTAAACTTTTTCAATGACACTCCATCACTGTCATGATAAAGTTCTTCCTTCTTAGCTTCATACTCTAGACACATTTGGGATCTATCATCTGTTCCTTTCCCTCCTCACTGGTCTCATCTCTTGCCACTGTACCATAGAGACTGCAGTTCCTGCCATTCTCAATGACCAGGAGTTCCCCGAATATAACATGAAATTTTACATCTTATTATCATCTTGCATACTCTTTCATGTTCTTAAAATATGTTTCTTCCTTTTCATGAGCCCCAGACTCTGGGGAACCTTCCCAGATCATCTCCCTACCTAGCACTTCACCCCAGCCCTGCCTCTGTTGTTCCCCTAGTCTACTGGAAATACTTCTTTGATGACACCTGTTATGTTGGACTTGATTTCTCCCACTGGATTCCAAGCTCGGTGGGAACAGACTCTGTCATGTACACTTTTGTGGCCTCAGAACCTGATATAGTTATTTATTAAACAAGTGTCATTATTTTGTCACATAGATGTACACATGTAGGTATGTGTGTACCTGTGTGTATATGTATGTGCAGCGGGTTTGGAGGCATAAGGGGAAAAGGAGATTACATTTGCTGAGCACTGACAATGTGCCAAGCACTGTACTGGATACTTTATACATATTTATATTGTGATCTTCATTTTATAGAAAGCTGAGGCTCACAGCAAGTAACCAGCGTATGATTTCATAGCTGGTATTGGTAGTAGAGCTGTGATTTGAGCCTAGGCTGGTCAGATTCCAGCCCCTGGGATTTTTTATCACCCCACACTGCCTCCCTGACTACCAGGAAGGAACAGCCAGGTGGAGGAGCCCAGAAGGTACATTACAGGGATTTCCTTGGAAATCCTCAACATTAATTACCCTCAAAACCCTCAGTTTGTCATGACAAAGGTTTTCTGAAGAATACGAAGGCCACTCAATTTTTAATGTTTTCTTTCCAGGTTTATCTTTTAAAAACCGTATACCTGTTTTACAAGGATCTCACAAAGATTAACAATATGTATGCTATGAAGGATCCCATCTGCCTCAGAGAAGATACGCTTTTCATCACAGACTGTATACTTTTTACAGTTCTTATCTATTTATTCTACTGCAAAAACTGCCGATTCTACAGAGCCTATTAATTCCACTGGGAAAACATGTACGGAATGTGCTCATGAGTATGGGACTTCCTGTAATTGTTGGAAAGAAGAAAAAGGCTGATAGAAAAAACATTTTGGCCTGGCACTCAGGAGAAAACTTCTGCTGAGGAATGAACAGGGAAAAACAATGATGGACCACCTCAAGGAACAAATCGGATAGCTTCGACTTCCCCTCTGGAAGCCCTGCTGCGCTGGGATGCACCTATCCCTACTTCTTAGATGTTCCCATATGTTCTCAACAGCATTCTGTCCCTCCTAAGCAGTGTCACTAAAGCTAGCTGGTCTCTTAGGATTGTTACCTTTATTGATGATTTTCCCTTTGTGCTTCCTGGTGTCTGGCACCAAGACCACACCCCTACTTCTCCAATGGCCCTTTCCCTCAGTAAGCTTAGCTTATTGCTCACCTCCCACCTTCTCCCTGAACCCCAGCAGAAAGACATGGACCTGTCAGATGCTCCCGATATTTAAGTGTCTATGCCAAAATCTCATGTGGACCTTGTTTGTTCAAATGAGTTACTATTGAGAGAGACAGCAAAGTCATCTTCTTTAGGGAACCTGAAAATTGTCTTCAGTCTGAAAATTGTCTTCAGAAGGAGCAAAAGATAGGTGAGAGGGAGAGGATAAGAGGAGAGCCATGTATTCTCCTGACCATGAGCTCGCGGTAGATAAACCCCTGGTTACCTGAAGGCAGCACCGTGAGCACCATCCGCTGTGACTCATCGGATGCTTGATTAATCCACTTGCTTGGGTGTCCATGGAGCTGCCACTCTGCCACCCTACACCAGTACATTCCTGCATCCTCCATCTCCACCTGATGAAGCTTCAGGACAAAGTCTGTAGAGGATGAACGGTAACAGTGCAGGTGCCTCCTGAGCCCCTCTTCCCCATACTCCAGCAAGCCATCATGTTGCAAGTGCACCAGCAATTTACTTCCAGAGTTTTCTCTGTTCCAGTACCACATCACAGAGTACAGAGTGGCTGAGCTGCCTACACTCTCCAGGCTGCAGCGGATGGCCACTTCTCTGTGCTCAGTCACATTTTCGGTCCAGTACACTTTGGAGACACGTACCTTACTTCCTAGAAAATAAAATGGCAGTAAATTAGAGAATGCAGACTTTCAGATTTGGATACCACCTCTGAAAAATCTAGTTCTCACTGGGAAGATCTTATATTCTTTAGACATCAGTGCATTCATTTTATTTTTTTTATTATTTTTATTTTTTGAGACAGAGTCTTGCTCTGTCACCCAGGCCAGAGTGCAGTGGCATGATCTCAGCTCACTGCAACCACTGCCTCCTGGGTTCAAGCAATTCTCCTGCCTCAGCCTCCCAAGTGGCTGGGATTACAGGCGTGTGCCACCATGCCCAGCTGATTTTTGTATTTTTAGTAGAGACGGGGTTTCACCATGTTGGCCAGATTGCTCTTGAGCTCCTGGCTTCAAGTGATCTGCCCACCTCAGCCTCCCAAAGTGTTGGGATTACAGGCATGAGCCACCACGTCCAGCCACATTCATTTTAATTCTTGTCCTTGGTCCCTGTTTTTCTCTCACATTTGCCAGGACATTCTCTGCTAGGAATCAAACCAGCCTCTTTCCTTCTTTAGCCCAACTGCTTGCCTGCTGGACCCTGCCATTGAAAACTACACAGCTTCTGCAGGGCCCTCTGCCTGCTGCTTTTACTTACCCTTGATTCACTCCTCCTCTACTTCCCAAAGTGGTCATTCACAACTTTTAGCAGCTCCCTCAAGCCATGTATTCCACCAGTACCCCTCATTCTTAGCAAATTACTCTCCTCCCATACACCCAGATATTATCTTGGGTGTAAACGCAGAGAGAGAGGACGCCATCCAAGAGACTGAACATTTTGATGCAAGTGTTAGAAGGCCATCCATGGGAGCTATTTAGATGATTGGATTAGACTGAGTTTTAAAGAGATTTTGACATTTACTTTTTTTCCCCTTGCTAACCAGCAGGTGAGGATTTAGAATAACAGCCAAAGTAGTTACAAACAAAATAAAGAAATTATAGTGTGCATTACATTTTCAATTCCACTACAAACACATTTATTTATTTATTTATTTATTTATTTATTTTTATTTTATTTATTTTTTGAGACGGAGTCTCGCTCTGTCGCCCAGGCTAGAGTGCAGTGGCACAATCTTGGCTCACCGCAACCTCTGCCTCCCGGGTTCAAGCGATTATCCTGCCTCAGCCTCCCGAGCAGTTGGGATTACAGGCATGGGCCACCATGCCTGGCTAACTTTTTTATTTTTAGTAGAGACAGGGTTTCACCATGTTGGCCAGGCTGGTCTCGAACTCCTGACCTCAGGTGATCCGCCCACCTTGGCCTCCCAAAGTGCTGGGATTATAGGCATGAGCCACTGTGCCTGACTCAAACACATTTATTAATCTGTCTTTAAGAGAATAATTCTGTCTGATCTTGGACTCTTTCTTAGTTACCATTTTTACTCTCCCCTTTCCTTCATGGAGTAGCACGTGGAATATTAGCACATGGAATACTGTTGCTGTTTCCTTGTCTCAAATTACTTCCTACTTTATTGTGATCTGGCTTCCAATCCCATCACTTTACTTGGCCAGGGCCCAATTTCCCAGTTCAAGGGACCCTCTAGTCCTTTTCTGTCCTCTATGTGGTTTTTGTTACTGGAGTCCAATTTCTCCTTGAAATTGACTTCTTTTCTTCCAACCTCAGAGAAAATATCCCCCTTACAACTCTGACCAGTCATTCTCAGCATCTTTCTGGGGCCTCTTGGTTAACTTGTTCCCTAAATGACGTGCACAACCGGAAGTCCACAGCCACACCAAGCCCACAGGTATGTTCTGCTTGACACTTGCAGTATTTTAAGAGAACTGGGCTGGGCGCAGTGGCTCACGCCTGTAATCCCAGCACTTTGGGAGGCCAAGGCAGGTGGATCACCTGAGGTCAGGAGTTCAAGACCAGCCTGAGCAACATGGTAAAACCCTGTCTCTACTAAAATTACAAAAATTAGCCAGGCATGGTGGCACACACCTGTAGTCCCAGCTACTCTGGAGGCTGAGGCAGGAGAATTGCTTGAACCCAGGAGGAGGAGGTTGCAGTGAGCTAAGATCATACCACTGACTCCAGCCTGAGCAACAGAGCAAGACTCCGTCTAAAAAAAAAGAAAAAGAAGAAGTGAATTAGTTGTGGACATTCTCAAACTGGGAGATGTCACCAAAAAAGATTTTAGGCATCTCTAGATATGCAAAAAGATCTGACAACACGGAGCCCACATTTCTACATGGGAAGCACTTGAGCTAAGCAGTGGCTGCCTCCTGAAGACGGCCATGCACATGTGGTCAAGAGTTTGGTGTGGATGACTGGGAGACAGAATGCCAATCACACAGATGGGAAATGCAGAAGTGCAAATGAGCATGGTGAGATGGCAGAGATGCTAAGTGCAATTTAGGGCATGCTGAGTATGGGGGCATCCAAGTAGAAATGTACAGCAGGCAGTTGGGTATGAAGGCTTGGAGCTCAGGAGATCAGGGCTAAGCACAAAATCTCAGAGTTATCATCTAGAAGGTGGTAGTTGAAACCAGGGCAGTGTTTAAGAAATTCTGAGGAAAGCAGAGAATAAGAAGCAAAACAGGCCCAGGATCTATCCCTGAGGAACACACACATTTAGCAGGGAGAAGAAGGGGCTTGAAGAACATACAGAAGGGAAGCCAGAGGGCAGGAAGAGACCCCAAACCAAGCTGCTGTTCTGCCCTTGTTGTCCCACCAGACTGGGAGCTCCTTAAGGGCCAGGGCTGTGCCTTCTTTATCTTTGTATTCCACTGCCTAACACATAGTAATGCTCAATTATCATCTAATTTTTTTTTAGCGTTACCTTGAAAATAGTATTTCAAGCACCAAATTAGATCAACTTCTCTGCATTGTGCTGTAGGATCTTGGCCAGTTCCTGAACCTTGGCTGTGACATTCATTTAATTTTAATCAACACTGGAAGTGACCTAACCTATGCTGAGAGACCTAATCAACCCTGCCCACATTTAGACAGTGGCACTCTTAGACCAGTGCGGAACTTCCATTACATTTTTAAAGATCTCCTGAGGAAGAGGAGACTCCCTCAGTAAGCCATTCCAACAGTTAACTACTCTTATTTGCCTTATGTTTAGGCAGCTAAATGTTGAGAAGCAATTTCTCCACACATCCCCATAGAGTTGTACAGTTTCTGTTCACAGTGGGAGAAATATGCTTCGTATTACTCTTTCTCTGCCAAATTACAGTAGAGCCCCACTGGAATGACACAGCTTGTTATGATAGAGATCTGGAGATACGATACCCTGGGTAGCTGCACAGACCAGGCTGCCAGGTTGAGAAGCAAACCAATCAAAGGGATATTGCTCCTACCTCAGCTCCCCAAAACCTCAGATTGGATTGCCTTAAGTGACCTCCCCTCCTTTGGTGGACTACTCGGTCTTGCAGTCATGTGTAGGTAGATACTGTTCCTATGACTTTAGGTCATATTTTTACTTCCACATAATCACTCCATAGAACAGCTGCCCAAGAGAAAACAGCCGTCAGACAGACAGACATTGTGAGGATACACTCGCAAGGTTTACCTGTGGGCTTGAGTTTCAATTCTGTTAGTCCTGACTTCTTTTCTCCAAGCTTGTGCCAAGTGCCATTTGTAGACAGGAGCCATTCCTCCACAGCACAGTGATATTTGCCCCGATCGCTGTCTTCCACATTCAGAATGTGCAGCTGAAATAAGTCTTGGGAAACCTTCTCAGTATGAAATTTTTGTTTTCTCTGTGGGGTGTGAAACTCATCCCCAGTTTTTATAACATTGGTTTGGTCCATCTCCAGGATCTTTAGCCAAGAGGCATTAGTGGAAACAGGAGAAAAATACCAAATAATGGCTAACTGAAGGTTTCCATTGGACCGGGACAAGATGCTACATTCTATATCAGTGTTGGAGTTGATGGAGAGCTCTTGGACTTGACTCCTTGAATTCACTTTTAGCTTGCTCTCTAAATTTAAAAAAATGAAACAGTTACTTTGCTATGAAATAGAAAGTTAAGGTAGTAGAGACATTAGAGGTCAAGTATGACACTGCATCCTCCCGCCATCATATGGGTGAACTCCCTCTACAGTAGCCCCACTCACTGCTCATACAGCTTTTGAACAGCATCACTAGCTGACAAGGCAGCCCATTTCATCTCTGGACAGCTCTGCCCCTCCAGAATGCTTTCTGATATCAAGTTGAACTTTATCTCTTCATAACTTCCATCCACTAGTCCTAGTGCTACCTGTGCTTGGTAGGGGTGGTGTGGCAGAGGGAGTGTCACACAGACAAGCCCAGTATCTCTCTTCCACATGATACTGCTTCGGTATTTAAGCACAAGCATCTCTTCTGTCATATTTCATGTATCAGATTGGGAGAAAGTGGCCCTATTAATGCTGTGTTTGTGTGTTTACTATGCAGAGTACTTCTGGATTCACAATTTCCAAACTCTAGTTGTATCTGCCTTCAAACGTGGGTAAACAAAAGGAAGTTGTACATGAGTGATTAAAACTGTGTGTGTCTTTGCAGTCACTTAACTGTGGGAACATTGTATAGATATGGAGCCAACTAATCTTTGACCCCAGCAGCTTTTCTGCTTTGTCAGAAAGATGAGTGACAATCCTTGTTCCCAAATCTTCTTCTAGCATCTTGCTGACATCACCCACTCTACTTTTTTAACTGCTTATTGATGTTGCCCATAGGTCCCTTTACTCTTCCTTCAACAAATATTTATGAAGCACACACTATATTATGTGCCAGACAATTCCAGGCCCTGTGGATATCTTCCCTCAGTGGCTCACACTCTAGAGGGAGACAAGTGCAGGGACAGAGGCTTAGAGATGGTGCCAAGTGCCATTTGTAGACAAAGAGCCATTCTACCACAGCACAGTGATATTTGCCCTGATCACTGTCTTCCACATTTAGAATGTGCAGCTGAAATAACTCTTGAGAAACCTTTCTCAAGTGTGAGATTTTTGGTTGTTTTGTTTTGTTTGAGATGGAGTCTTGCTCTGTCGCCCAGGCTGGAGTGCAGTGGCATGATCTTGGCTCACTGCAACCTCCACTTCCTGTGCTCAAGCGATCCTTGTGCCTCAGCCTCCTGAGTAGCTGGGACTACAGGTGCACGCCACCATGCCTGGCTAATCTGTGCATTTTCAGTAGAGACGGGGTTTCACTATGTTGGCCAGGCTGGTCTCAAACTCCTGACTTCAGGTGATCTGCCCGCCTTGGCCTCCCAAAGTGTGGGATTACAGGTGTGAGCCACCACACCTGGCCTCAGTGTAAAATTTTTGTTCCTCATGTCCCTCATGTAAGACAGAGGTATATAGAAGTGCCTATCTGAGCACACAGCAGGGTCTCCTAGCCCAAATACAGGAGTGAGGGGAGACTTCCTGGAGGAGATAATTCTGAGCTGAGTCTTAAGGGTTTATAGGAATTATTCCGATGGAGAAGAGGTTAAGGATTGCCACACAAAAGATGCAACTAGATCAAAGACTTTGAGAGTGAGAGGGAACATGGACAATTGAGGAGCTGCCAGTAATTCAGTGTGGCTGAAGCTCAAATTCACGATGGAAAGTTGAAGGAGATGATGCTGGAAAGACACAAATGTACCAGATGATAAAGGACCTTGCATGTCACACTGTGGGAGTTTAGATACAAGGTGAACATAAGAGTTGTGATGACTCAGGTTTTCAACTTGGGTCACTGGTGAGGAGTGGGGACATAAGGGGCAATGCAGAAGAAAGAGCTTTGGATGATAATGGTGGGTTTATGTTTTGACATAATGAGTGCAGGCATGTCTTGGAGACAGCTGGATATACGAGTCTGGAGATCAGAAGAGAAATTGGTCAAGATAATGAATGTGGGAGTTGTGAACATACAGCTTGTATCCATGGGTAGGGACGAGTCCACTGCAGGAGAGCGTATAGAATGAAAAGAGAACAAAGCTAAGAATAGAATCCAGAGAAACTGTTTTCTTTAAAGAATAAATCAGTGGAGGAGAAAATGAAAATCTTGTGTCATGGTGCCAAGGAAAAAAGAAGTTTCAAGAAGACAGATTGGGGCAGCAATTGCAAATACCACAGAGAGGACAAATTAATTAAGCATGAATTCATGAACAAGGGGATCATTACTATTACCAAAAATGTTGCACAGCAGCAGAGAGAATAATGACAGTGACCACGTTTGAGCGTCATCTTGGTGTGTCAGGTACTCGGCATGTTATATATGTCACCATATTTAAATTGCACATTAACAATTTACAGATCAGGTAACTAAGGCTTCAGCAGATTAAGTGTCTCATCCAAAGCTGTTCTGCTATCCAGTGACTGTCAGATCTAAATGACTCCAACGTCTCTCCATCACTCTTCCTAAGAGAATGCAAACTATAAGAGAGAAGATACATGACACAGCAGAACTTTGCCTAGGTAGTATCTCACTTTTAACTCCTATGCTCTATTATCAGTTGATGAGATGGATTATATTTGATTGTAATAATAAATTCTCTGACTCTTATACATTAACACCTTACAAAGAAGTAGGTGGATGTATTCCAGTGGAATTTACCTTATCCCTACCACTAGCAGAGACACTGCAAATGTTTACTAACTGGTAAGGCCTGGACAGTGACTAATCCAAAACATTTCTTCTCCCCTCTAGCCAGGTCCTAGAGGCCCCCTGCTGTGCCACGTGGTACCCTTTAGTTGCTGGGTGGTGGGAACTTAGGGGAAAATGGGGAATGGGTAGAGAGCAGCAATTAGCCAGCATGGAAGGTATTTCAATGTTTTAACAACCAGTATGGCCAACCCATGCATACTAACTCAATGTTAACCTGGGTATCATTCATCATGTGGTGCTTACTTAGATAGAACAAATATGGGAGAAAGTATTTTATGTTTTATTGTTATAACTTACCCAAAATGGGAGGATTGCTATTTGTTTGTTTTTAAAACAGGGATTAATTTCAAGTCACACTTACCTGGTAAAGTGACGGCTATCCTCAGTGGGTGAGAGATGGCAGAAGCCCTCGGGGGGCGGTTGTTGTATAGGGAATTTCTGTCATAAACTTCTACTTCACACTGATACACTCCTGTCTCTTCCTCAGTGGCATCATGGACTAGGAGTTGTGAACGAAATAAAGACTGCGACACTTTCGTCTTCTTTTGGAACCGGGATAGGAAATTCCCCCATTCAATAGTGCCATTGTGGGTGATTCGAATAAGCTGGTGGAAGATGTGAGAGCTAGCTGGCTGGAACTGCCACGTCACAGTGAGTGGCACCTTGAGGTCAGAGTAACCGGCCCTCACGACACAGGACAGGTCAAAGGTGTTGGTTAACATCACTTGCGGCTGACGGCTCATCAGACTAACTTGTAAACTTGACTCTAGACAGAAAAATGAAACAGAATTTCTAATATATTTACCAGATTAAAATATAGCACTTTCAAGTTTTTCTAGTTGCCACCTCTTTGACTAGGACCATGCATTTGTACATTTGGAGTTTCCTATTTTATAGAGTAGAAATTGATTCCCAGTACAGTCTGTCCTGAACTGTGACCTCAATTTTGCAAAGTTGATCCTTTTCTAAGACTGTTCCCAGCAGCCACAACAAATAGGCAGTGTTTCTCCAATCTGCTACTTAGACAGCTGCTGCTGAGTGGGTGGAGCACTCCCCACCCTAGTCGTCTGGCCTCCTTCCCTTACCCCCATGCGTGGGTTCAGTATCAGAACCCTTTTGCACATGCTTCAATGGGCTCTGCAATCCCAGGGCCACAGCTGTCAAAAGCCAGAAGGTAAGAGGCTCAGCTATACTCGTCTATAAGCTGATCCATAGGATTTTGTTTTTAACCTTGAACAACAATTTACAAGTTGCACTCTAAAGATGATCTTTACAAAAATGAAGAATCTTTAAAGATTAATTGACAGAGAGGGTAGCCAGAGACTAGCTCTGTGTCCTAGGGTACACATACCATCACTGGGGGATTCAGGATAACACGCAATCCAGTTCCACTGCAGAATGAATTGAGTGATATACAGGTGCAGAAAAGGACTTCCTTTGACACTTACCCAGAGACTTTACAGTAACTGAAATCTTCTGAGTCCAGCTCAGATCTCTGGCCTGGTTCCGAGACTTCTCAGATACTCTGCACTCATATGTGCCACTGTCTGTGATGGCAGTGAAGGTGATCTCCAGCTGGAAGGTGGCCCAGTCCATTTTCTCCAGCCTTGTGTTGCCATGGTAACTGGGTACCCCATAGGAGGCACCCAGCTGCACAATGCCATCCTGCCCCATGCCAGCCACAAACTCGGGCTGTGTCTGGTCCCGTGGGATGTGCCACCAGCTCACAGACAGGGGACTTTCAGCTCCACCAGCCTTACAGAGAAAGGCGAGTGTCTCTCCTTCCCACACAACTTGCTGCTTGTTCTTGGTAGACATGACCACACTTCTTGCTGTGAGTTACAGATTATAGAAGAACAAAACTGTTTTAGGTAAATAAGAAATGTTCTAAAATACAGTGAAATTTCATTAATTAGGACTTGACTAGTTTGTGACAAGTCAAATTGGGCTGTTTCCTCTTGCACCACCCTCAGGCAAAAGATTTGCCAAACCTTAAATAGTGGAAACAAGATAGCAGAAAGAATATCGGAGGATGTATTCACCCTTAAACAATTTATTTATTTCTAAAGACTGGGTCTTGCTCTGTTGTGCAGGCTAGAACACAGCACTGTGATCTTAACTCACTGCAACCTCAAACTCCTTGGCTCAAGCAATTCTCCTGCCTCGTGCCTCAGTAGCTGGGACTACAGGCACGTGCCAACATGCTGGCTAATTTTTAAATTTTCTGTAGAGATACGGTCTCTCTTTGTTACCTAGGCTGGTGTTGAACTTCTGGCCTCAAGCGATCCTCCTGTCTCAGCCTCCCAAAGGGCTGGGATTACAGGCATGAGCCACTGCACCCAGCTTACTTAAACAATTTATCACTTGCACATATTTCTTATTTGTTTGTTAAATCAACTCTTCCTTAAGAATATCTAGTTGGCAAAACATCTGGTAATGTTTTAGTATATTAATTAGGGTAGATATAAGAGCCTGAAACTAATAAAGCTGTGTTTATTTAAATTTTTAGTTTTTTAGAATTCGGACCTTCAGAGTTCAAGACAATCTTCCTCTTTCTTATCTTTCCCTAATCAATCTGATTGGTTTAGTAAGTGTTTTGAATGAGGAAGAAACATCATTGTTAATTATATCTCTGTTCACAATATTACCATGAAAAACAATTACTTGGCGGGAAAATACGTGTATATATACATATACATTTTATATATATATATAAATAAATATATATATATATAAATGTGTGTCTGTTTACAACACACGTTGTTGTACAACAACGTGTACAACAAGGTGTACGACAACACACGTTGTTGTAAACAGAGAGGCTTCTTATGTCTAAACTACAGTGTAAAACCATAAATGTAAATCTGGCTCCCAGATGGGAAATTCAAGTCATCATTCAACAAACGCATTTATTCAACAAACATGAATTCTGCAAGGTCTTTCCTGGTTGCTTTGTGAGCAATGTAGAGATACAGCAGGAGATTGTACATTCTAGGCAGCCCAACACTAATTTAAGGCCACGGCTCCTGGAGTCAGAATTGCCCTGGGCAACATATTTGACCACAGTTTTCTTTTCTGTAAAAATGAAGATAATAATAGTGCTCACCTTGCTGCATTGTTGAGAAGACTGAACAAATGGCACATGAAGACTGAACAAAGAGCTTAGCCTGGATGGCTAGGGAAAGTACTTAGTAAAGGTTAGCTGCTAGCATTAGTGTTTAATGATAGGCTCTGGCAAAAGCAGAGGTAATTCAAAGCAAAAGAGGAAAATAAAATAGAACTGGCATTAGAAATCTAAATAGGATCTAAATGAATTTGCAAATTGTTCTTCCCTGCGGAGGAAGGAGTTCAATCTTTGACTGTTTTATGCATACATATACATAAGTAACAAAGAGAGAATGAGGGTTAATGTCCATAAATATGTTTTTAAAAAGAGCAAATCTGCTTTCAAATTTAGTTTTTTTCAAGTTAAAAATAGACTCATAACTGAAGTTTCAAAATTGGAGGGGAAATTCACCACTTTAACATAACCATGATGATTAGTTTAAACTAATGATTTTTTTTTTAAATGATGTTTCCTTAGTTCATTGTGGCCATTACTGCCTTTTGGTAAGAAGTAATAAACTTATGAAATGTGTGCAAGTTACACATTCACAATGGTAATGAGTGATTAAAATAT
Source organism: Homo sapiens (assembly GCF_000001405.40). Taxonomy (NCBI): domain Eukaryota; kingdom Metazoa; phylum Chordata; class Mammalia; order Primates; family Hominidae; genus Homo; species Homo sapiens. Next base: position 117,015,242 of record NC_000001.11, on the reverse strand, counting down.
TCATAAATGATAAAATGTTGCTAATACTTCAAGTAACGTTTGACTTTCAAAACAGAATGCTAAACAGGATCCTTAATAAATTTGCTAATAACTTTTTCTGTGTCTACATAGTAAGCCCAGTGTAGACTCCAGCCTATACAAAGAACTATTTTTAGTTTTAGAAGATGACCCTATTGATAGGATTATCAGCTGTGTACCCTGAAGTTCCCCTTCAGGTGAAATTCCCACATACCAGGTTTACAAAAGCCTGCAGATATGTTCCAGAGAAGGCTGAGATGCATAAAGCAGAAACTTATCTCTGCATAAATATGTGAACTCACCTATATTGTTTTTCCTTAATTCTAGAAAGTCAGACCAAATGTTTAGTGTGAAAACGAACACCAACACACTTCCTGGCCTGCCACTCAAGGCCAAATCGGTGCATCTTCATTCCTAGTAAATGGCATATTGGAGAACATGAAAGGAAAATTTATCTATCTTTGGAGATGTCTCCAATGAGCCAGTGCAACAAGGACACCTTTATTTTTAGCTCAGTTTTTAAAAATTTAAAACATTAAAAAAAATTTTTTTTGGGCAATTAATCTTTCTGGACTTTGAATTTAAACCCAGCCTAGTGAATCCTTATATTAGTTGCAGATATGTCTGTTTTTCTTCACAAAAGGCACTGATTATTCAAACATGTTTAAGGTCACCCAACCTTCATAAAGTAAAGGTGAGCTGAGTGGCTTCCTCAGTTCCGTGCATGCAGACATTCAGAACCATTTGGACCGGCGTCTCACCACATCACAGCAAAATGCAGAGGATGGAGTCTGCCCACTATCAATTACCTCTTCATTTCTTACTGTGAGTCAGAATTATGACTAAGTACTATTTCCCACACCAGGTCAACATAGTAGGAGACTAACAGAAGGCAACTGAAAAATGCCGGCAGGGTCTCAAGGTAGGATAACACGGGTGTTCATTCCTCAGGAAGGAGGACAAAGTGTAGCTTTTTACTCTTAACCTATTCATATCACACACACACACACACACACACACACACACACACACACACACAAAGGCAGAGGGCTTCATTAATACACATGTTCTCTGCTTTAAGAAATATCTAATACATAAAAATTAGAACAAAAAATAAATAGACTCTAAGATAGCAAGAAGGAACTTAAAGACCATCTAGTTGTGTGCCATCATTTTACAGATGAAGGAGCTGAGACTTAGAGACGTAAAGTGGTGTGTTCATGGTCACAGACTACTTAATGACTCAGGAATAGGACTCGGGTCTTCAGCTAGTTTGGGTGCCTTCCTTTACTCCACTCCACTCCACCTCCAATGTGATCTGATTGAAACCTGCTCTTCATGAAGATCCCCATTGTATCCACGAAGGGGTCTTCCACTGACAAGGGGGCATCTGAAAGCAGCCCAATGCATGCCTGGCCTTGACTTTACGTACCTGCTGGCTTCCTCAGGTGCACGTGGCTGTCTGGTGACTGCTTTCTCTGAAGCACCTGCCAGGAACCTGTGCGTGTTTTCATGACCTCTGCTACCACACATCTGTAGGCGCCTTCATCCTCTGGGCCCAGAGAGAAGATCTTGAGAGAGAAAGCCTTGGGGCCTAACTTTGAAACCTGGAGCTCTCCTTGACTTGCTCTCTCTTTGTAGTCATTCTTCAGGCCCAGGACTCCACCAGCATCAATGTGAGCAATTTCAGTCCCATTGAAGAACCAAATGCCTTGAAGCTGTGGGTCACGGCCACTGCTTACAACCAGGCAAACCAGTTCTAAGGGTTTCCCTTCAGCAAACAAGCTGTCAGCTGTAATGTTGACTTGAAAATCTTTCACTGGGAAACAAAAGCAAGGCAGGTATTTAGAGAGCCCACAGCCTCTGTCCTTTCAGTACCAGAGAGAGATGACACCCTCTGTAAGGATGTCACAGGGATCACATTTTATGTGGGAGTTCAATTCTATAGCGGTAGGTAAACCCAAAAAAAACAAAATCCTTAGAGTAAAAAACGCTCATGACTCTTCCTTAAATCACCCAGAAAGGACAGTACACATGGTTTTCTGAATGCACTCTTAGTAAGCAAGATGTATGCACAAATGTATGACACATATAGTAATGTATGCTTTTTAAATTAAAAAATAAAATATTGTATACTGAATTAAATATATATATTAAATATTTTACACTAAATTGCTGTAAATTGTGATTTCTTACTCTCTTTTTTGGCTAAGAATATCCAGCAGAATTTTCTGAAGTTAAAAAGCACATGTGATATCGCTCCATAGGACTCATGAGTATAACTTGGATACTTGAGGCCAACAGGACAATTTTTAGTGGAACACAATAATACTGTTTTTAATAAAGAAAAAACTTTAATGATCCACTATTGGATCATTGCTTTTAGCAATGCATATACAGTATATGGTTTAGCAACCACTTCCTGTTGGACAAAAGCCTATAGAGACCAGGAATCACAGACAAGGCCTTTATACTTGCTTTGACAAAAATGCCAAAAGATTATGAAAAGTAACAGCAGGCTGGGTGCGGTGGCTCACGCCTGAAATCCCAGCCCTTTGGGAGGCCAAGGCAGGAGGATTGCTTGAGCCCCGGAGTTCAAGGCCAGCCTGGGGAACATAGCAAGATCCTGTCCTTAAAAAAATTTAAAAATTAAAAAAATAATAAAAAAGCAAAGTCACTGCATTCCAAGTTGGGAAAGGGGGCAGGTGGAAGGAAACCCCAGCACTGACGAAGACAAGGCTTCATGTTGGAAACTGGAGCTACTTTGAGGCCCAGCTGTCTGTGCTGAGTGGGCTTTGGAGAGAGACAGGCCTCCCTTTGAATGCCAGCCCCACTCTCACCAGCTGGGTGGGCTTAGGCAGCGCATCTAGCATGTCTGAAGTTCAGAGTCCTCATTTTTAAAATGGAGACTCAACTACTTGCCTCATAGGGTGGTGGTTACGACTAAATTAGATAATGTAGATAATGTGTGAACAGAGACTGGCAAAAATGGTAACAAAACTACTTCCATGACTGGCTTGTGGAATCGATCTAGCCACTCAGTAGACCTTATCCCATAAAGAATCCGTGGGCAGAGCCAGAACTGAATGTGCTCCCTCTTAGTTATGCTTCTCAGATGACAAAAATACAAAATTAAATCAAACTTTCTAGCCAATTTTTTAGAGCCAACAAAAGATTAGAACAAAAATTAAAACATACCTCATAAATACCCACTACCTAATACTAGTGTATTAATGAATTTCGTAGGAAGATAATTACCTGCTGGCTGGATCCTCAGAGTGGTTTGATCGGTCTGCTTTTTGGTGATGAACATCCAAGTTTCATCTGGATCCTGAATCCATTCCGTTGCCTCACAGAACAGCTGACCCTGATCTGAGGACTGGAGCCTCTCTATGGACAGCCTGAATGTAGTGGGTCCCAGTTTGTTGAGCTGTACGTCACTGGCTGCAAACCGCTCTGTATACAAGGGCCCAGGGACCAATATAAAATCTTTGGAGAGAGAAATAATCTCAGTGGCTTGGCTTCCTCCTCCATCCTGTGTTAGGTACCAGGTGACAGAGAGGTGAGTATGTTGGGCTGTGGCTTTGGATGCCTCACAGGTGAGGGCTAATGGCTCACCTTCCTCCTTACCGAGAGTCTGAGAACTCATGGTGGCAGAGAGGGTATCTGGAATAACTGGAAACAAAGGAATGATAATAATGTGACTGGCCCAGTGCTTGTCCAGTGGGCCTCCTTAGATGGCGCCCTGAGCTACCCTATGTAAAGCACACAGACTTTGAGTTGGTTTTCCACTTGCCATATGCTTTCCTATCCATATGCTTTCTCTATTGCCATTGGGAACATTGGCATCTAGGTACAGTCTACGGAACTGGGCAAAGTAAATGCCTCATCAATGTGTTGACCCTCACTTTGCTTTATTAACATAGGCTATAACCAATTTAGCTACTCAGACACAAAGCATGTATTTAAAGGGAGAAAGCACTGGGACAGAGAAACCTTAGATTCTGATCCTAAATCCATCCCTACTACGTGGACTTGGGCATGTCACTTCACCTCCCTGGGCCTTAACCTGCTCCTCTATAAGGCTGTGTAATAATCTAATAATGTAATAATGGCTGTTAAAATGTATCATTTAGAGCCCAAATGCAATCTTTACTAAAGTTTTGGTAACCATCTTACTACCCTACCATTCTTGTTTTCCTAAAATGAAATCACACAGCCTAAGCTTATATGAAAGCAACACTTAGATTTAATCAATGAATGTGACTGAGCGTCTACTCGGTGCTAGCCACTGAGTAGAAGCTGAGGATGTGGTGGGAAAGAGGCATACAAATAGCCAATTACCATGTAACTGGATACATGCTGAGAGCAGTGGTATGAACAATCTAAAGGAAACAAAAGTGGGAATTCTGCCCAAGCAGTCAAGATGAGTTCCACAGAAGAGGTAATATCTAAACTGGGTCCTGAAGTATATGTAGGAGTTTGTTAAGCTGAAAAGGGGGTGATAGATATTCCAGACAAAGGGACAAAGTGACAATTGCAAGGACTATCACCCTTTCCCAATGTGTAAATATGCTAGAGAATGGTAGTTTGAGAATTATCATTTCTAAGTTAATGACTTATCACCTATGGTACCAGCTTTCTTGTCAAATTACTGTTCTGCCTGCAAGCAGAGACAACACAGGGAGAACTCTCACAGCTTTGTTGAATGCTGTTGCTACTAGCAACCTATGGAGAGCTGCGGACAAGGCCTTGGGAAAACCACACACCATCTAAATATTTATGGCAAAGATAATTGAGAAAAAGAAACAGATAATTTTAGAGAATATGAGATACCCACTTGTGACATATCTCCAAAATATCCACAGGGGTACATGGGCTCTTTTCCCAAAGAAAATGGAACAATATAAAGCCATGTCATATTGCAAGATATTGTCATGGTGGAGACTCTGGCTTCTCAGGGGCTGGCTAGCAGAAGTGGACAAGCAACTTACCAATTAGATTAGTCTTTGCACTGTAACTTCCATAGTATTTCTCATCAGTGTTTGGTGTGTGACACTCATACTCGCCAGCATCCTTCATCTGGAGTTTTGAGATGTGCAACAAGACTGAGTTGCCCTGGACCCTCTCCACGTAGACGTCTCCGCTTCGCACCCGCTGCGTATATACTGCGTAAGAGAAGGCAGCATCCTTGGTGCTAATGATCTGGACTTCCTGGGTCGGGTTTGTCGGCAGGTAAACAGACCACTGGAAATGCTGCTCAGAAGGTCCCTGGTGGCCAGTTACATTGCAGCCAATGCTGACTGGGTAACCTTCAGCTCTAAACAGTGGTCCTTTCTGAACTGTTACTTCTCTCTGGCCAATGCTGAGCTTAGCTTGTAAGTAGGAGAAAGAAAGGGGAATAAAAAGAGATTAGTGTTCCAGTTCCCAGTGTACCACGTTATGTATTTCCCTGTATTACAATTCTGGTAAATGAGATCGCAAGTTATTAGCTATAATTGACTCAAATGTTCAACATCTTCTTCAGGCTGAGCAGCAGTGGAATTGCTTGATGAGTTAATTGTTCTTTTATAACTTTAACTTCCATAGTAATCTTCAGTCTCTTAAAAAAATTTAGCTTCATCAATGTAACACGACCACTTCTATAAAACATCTGCTTATCGAAGTGTACTTATTTTAAAGCAAATAAATGTATGGTAACTTTACATTATTTTCTGAGAAAATTTGGCATATACTTCCTCAAGTCTCAAATTCCAGGGTGCCTGCCATCGGGCAGTTCCCAGAGAAGTAGTTGCTGGAGACGCAAAGTCTAGGGCTCTGCCCTTGGTGCCATGATTTTTCTAGCTGGTTGGTTGGAACTATCTGTAGCTCCTAGCCAGGTCTGTTGCAAGACTAGCCAACATTAGCATCTGACGAGGCAGCAGCACTTCCTTTCTATTCTGTGGAGGTTTTTTTGGTTTTGTTTTGTCATTTCTTAAAGAGCCACTATAGCTTTACTGAAAAGCCTCCTAATAGATGGCTAGAAAATCCAGCAGGTTCTGGGATTAGAATTTATTTTAGCTTTTTTCTTACCAAAAGTTTTCCATTGGGACCACTAGGGAATGTTTTCTATTAGAACAAATCTGAAGTATTAGGTCTAAAGGAAAAAGCATGATTAAATGGTAATATTTCATTTGACAAATTTTTTAAATCAAGCATTTTTCAGAAATCAAAAAGCATATCTTTACTTACTATGATTGATATTAAAGGCTAGTTCATTTTGTGTTGCAGAAAGAACAAAGACATGCCACAAGAGTGGTCAGTTCTTCCACTAGGGGCCCAGGGTACTGTAAAAGGGAAGACAGGGTTGGAAGACACCAGAAGGGCCAGACAGGGAGAGATTGCTGGCCTTATGGAGTTAACCGAACAGAGTTCATACGAAGATGAGTAAGAAGCAGAGCCTCTGCTGCATTTTGTGACTCCACAGGGACAAAGAGTAAGGAGACCAGAGTGGAAAAAAAAAGTGAGGGAAAGGAAAAAGGACATTACAGAGAACATGATAAGGCTGAGTATAGGAATCTGGGATGAAATGAAAATAATTCTAAGGGATAGGAGGGAACTACAAAAAAGGGCAAAAGCACAGAAAAGGTAAGTGGTCACCTGATGCAGTCAAGTGCATATATTTCATATATGTATGTTCAGTCTAAAACTGGGAAACCAACCAATGCCCAACCAACTAGTCAGCCAACCACACACATTTCTAGTAATAATTTTTTTTTTTTTGACACGGTCTTGCTCTGTCACCCAGGCTGGAGTGTTGTGGTGCAATCTTGGCTCACTGCAACCTCTGCCTCCCAGGTTCAAGTGATTCTCTTGCCTCAGCCTCCTGAGTAGCTAGGATTACAGGCATGGGCCACCACGCCTGGATAAGTTTTATATTTTTAGTAGAGACGGGGTTTCACCATGTTGGCCAGGCTGGTCTCGAACTCCTGACCTCAAGTGATCTGCTTGCCTCAGCCTCCCAAAGTGCTGGAATTACAGGTGTGAGCCACTGCGCTCAGCCTCTATAATAATTTAGAATACACTAATTTATTCATAAGTCCAAATTAATGTGACATATTTATATCATGCTTTTTTTGTAATAAGAATCTAGGAATACAAGTTAGACCACCTTAGAAAAATGTAAATTATTACTTACCAACAAGTTATACTACAGTGGCAGTTTAAGACACTTTTCAGTAATGTCGTCTTAGAGAAATGTGTGCACCAAGCTATGTGTGAAAGAATATGCACAGCTACACTGCTCATTAAAGCTTCAAACAAGAGACAACCCATATGTCCATCAACAGTAGGCTGGATAAACTGTGGTACAGTCATAAAGTGGAATGTTATATAGAAACAAAAATCAACAATTACAACTATTTGCAATAACATGAATGACTATGTTCAAAGCAAGATACAAAAACACTTCTGAATCCTTGTGACTATATACAGAATGATCGTACTGTTTATAAAGTTTAAAAACAGGTGAAACCACACTGTATTATTTAGTGATGCACACATAAAGGGCTGAAATCATTAGCAAAAAGGCAGGAAATGACCAGGCGAGGTGGCTCATGCCTGTAATCCTAGCTCTTTGGGAGGCCAAGGTGGGCAGATCACTTGAGGGCAGGAGTTTAAGACCAGCCTGGCCAACATGGTGAAACCCTGTCTCTACTAAAAATACAAAATTAGCCAGGCATGGTGGCAAGGTGCCTGTAATCCTAGCTATTCCAGAGGCTGAGGCAAGAAAATCGCTTGAACTCAGGAGGCAGAGGTTGCAGTGAGCCGAGATTGCGTCACTGTACTCCAGCCCGGGCAACTCCATCTCAAAAAGAAAAAAAAAAAAGCAAACTAGGAAGTGGTTATCATGAAAGTCAGGAAAGTGATTGCATGGTGTTTGTGATCTGATGGGGCACACTGCGGGCTGGGTGGGTGCTTCTAGGGTCTTGGCGATATTCTATTTCTTGACCTGGGTAGACATTATACAGATTTTACTTTGTGCTTATTTGTTAAACTGAAAATTTGTTTAACAAATTTTAAATTTATTTTAAAATTATTTTAAACAAATAATAAAAATTTTCTTATGTTGTATTTCACAATAAAAATATTTTCTTAATGTGGCTTTTGAGGTACCACTAACCCACATATATCAAGGCATGTTTCTACAAACAATGTTATTTTTGGTGGCTAGGCAACACTTCTCGAACGTTTCCCATCACTTTTCAGCAAGATGGGTACCACGTTTGAAAATTTTTATTGTGAAAACACGCACTTCTTTTTCTACTGCTTTATTTGCCAATTCAATAAATATTTATTCAACCACTTATAGTATTTCTCATGCTTGAGGGACTAAGATATGAAGATGAATTTAGGCTAGATTCTGACTTCTGGATTTCATAATCCAATCAAGTGGATAGTAGTCACCTCTCTATGGAAAACATATAATAAAAGTGCTTCAAAAATTTTGAAGAGGGACTACATTTTGAGGGGAGGGAAATAGGTTTATGGAGATGGCATAAGAGATGGCATTAGAAATGGATTTTGGAGAATTGGGAAGATTATGACAAGGTAAGTGGGGAGACAGAGCATTTTAGGTGAAGGAGATTTCATGGCAAGACTCTGAGTAGGAATCAAAAGACTTACTCAAAATTAAAGAGTAATCAACTGGATGGGGGAGGGCTGCATAAAGATTAATAGAAAGAGGTAAAACTGGACAGCAATTTTTGGGTCCAGAGCAGAAAGGACTTGACTATCACATTTAAAAGTTTGGACTTGATTCATTGGCAATGGGGAATCCACTGAAAGTGTTTAGGAGGTTTTAGGAAAATGAACCTCACAGTTTGTGTGCAGAATGATGGAAGTTAGAAATAGACAATCAGGTAATTGTAGGAGCTCAGGACAGAGGTGACAAAAGCAATAGGGATAAAAGTAAAGGTACTATAACTGAGCTACTGTGGAGACAAAATCTGTAGTTTTCAGTGCGTTGGATGCTTGGGAGTAGCAGGGTTAAATGGCGAGATGAGAGGTAGGAAGAAATCAAAGATCATAGGTTTGATAAGGCTGCCTGGGAGAATATTGATACTCTGACTAGAAATACAGATATTAGGAAGAGTTACTGTTGTGTGTATAAGGGTGAGTGAAAATATAATGCATTTAATTTTAGAAATACTAAATTTGAAGACCATGGAATAGACAGGAAGGATATCCAGCAAACATTTTGAAATATTTAAATATAGATATTTATATTTACATATAAATTATACATATTTTCAAAGGGTTAAATAGACTTTAACCCTTTGAAAATATTTGTAATCGAATCCTTTCAAAAACCCTGTGATATTCCCATATTTAGTTATGTAAAAACTCCTAGGATTTGAGCCAGACTTGAACATATTAATAGATCTGCAAATGCCAAATCCATGGCTGTCCCCATTGTTTCTTGTTGGCTCCTGTAAATGTCTGTTTGTAACTAGGGAGAGTTCTGAACTGTTAGATGTAGATTAGGTCAGTTACATACAAGTGTTGGGAAGTATTGGGGAACAGAAGGAAGAGGACTAAGGAGAGATTACTAGGGAATTTCTCTCTTTAGGGGATGGGATAAGGAACAAAACTTACAGAGGGAAGAGTTAGATGGAGGGCAACTAGGACACAGCGGCTGGAAATCAAGGGAAGAACATTCTAAGAGGAAAGGGCTTGTCAGCACTGCCAAAGGCTGCCAAGAGGTTGGGGACTCTGAAGGCAGAGGAGACTCCTGTTAGCTCGATGAGGAGGATGTCCATGAAGATCTTTGTAAAAGGGATTTCAATAGAGTGGAAGCAGCAGTTTTCAGGGTAAGAAGTGACTGCAGGAAGTGGAACCTACTTCCAGGAGTTTCATGGAGAAGGAAAAATGAAGATTAGGATGGCAGCTAGAAAGAGTAGCTAGGTGAGGAGCGGTAGGAAGGGGTGGGATGGAGAATGGGTGAAGCCAGCAAGGAGGATGAATGAAGTAATGTCCTAGTAGAGGGATGACAGGGAGGGTGCTGTGTTATAGTCTCAACGTCTGTGTCTTCCTAAAACTCACACGCAGAAACCTAATTTCCAAGGTGATGGTATTAGGAGATGGGGCATTTAGGAAGCAATTAGGTCATGAGGGCTGTGCTCTCATGAATGGGATTAATGCCCTTGTAAAAGAGTCCAGGAAGCTCGCTAGCCCCTTCTGCCACGTGAGGACACAGTTAGAAGGTGCTATGAGGAACAGGCCCTCACTGACACCAAACTGCCAGTGCCTTGATCTTAGACTTCCCAGCCTCCAAAACTAAATTTCTGTTGTTTATAAGCCCCCCTCCCCCACCCGCCCCAGTTTATGGTACTTTTGCTACAACACGCCAAACAGTCTAAGACATACTACTTTCTGAGAAAAGTGAAAGAAATAGTGTGGAGATTTCAAAGGTATTTTTCAGGTAGAAGGCATGACTGGCAGAGATCAACTCAAATGGCTATGCACTGGGGCCATAAGCTTAAGCATCTTACTATAAATATATTCTCTCTGGGTTTTTTCAAGTACATATCATCCACCCTCCGAAAAACACCTGTGAGGACTGCCCTCTTGCTCTCTCTTTTAATGGGTAGAGGGTTAGCTACTTTTGAATAGTAGCTCATATTCTTGTTGGCTGATGAGTACAAAGCTTGGCACTGACATACTAACATTAGAATCATGCTTTCAAAACACCAAAAATTCCTCGATGGTATTGACTTTCTTTAAAAATATCACTGGAATTGTCAAATTTACCACTGCAGTATTATTTGAATGAAAACGATTAGGTTGAACTGTATAAAATGGTCCATACTTGAGCACTTTTTATACCAAAAAAACAGCAGTTTCAAATAATGCTACCTTATACAAAACCTACCTCAGGAATAGCCAACATAACAAGCAGCTTCTTTCTCTTTTCACATTCAAAAACCCTATATGCTTGGAGGCTGAGATAGCTTCCATCCATACTAAGTGGAATCTTTTTTATTTTTCATGAATGCAAACTCAGTAAGACAGACAATAGCCCTTCCCCCAAACCCTGCCATATTAATGGCCATTATTTGTAGGGCAGCTAGTTTGGGTGGGGGAAATAGATCAAGCAGACAAAGCTAACTGCTAAATCCGAGAACTCATTTACCCATGACATTAATCTCATATGGCACCATTTTCTATCAGGATTGTTCAGTCCTTATATTTACTAAAAAAAAATTGGGACAAAGTGTAAATTTGCTAACCAATGTAATTGATCAATAGATCGTTATTTAAATAATTTATTTCAATTCCCCTCTATATTTGTAAGGACAAACAGCAGACTTCTAAAGCTTTTTCCAGTAACTTCCTGATTTATGTATTCTTCACATAAAAACTGTGCTTCTACACAAAATTAGTGCTTCAGATGAGTCAGAATTTAGAAGAAGTAAATGTATAACCCAGTTTAGGTAATTGTTTAAATGGGTTAAGGAAAAGCTTCCAGCTTCCCCTTTTTGAGCCTTGATTACTACTTTCCTTCCCCCAGGGCTTCTAGCCTGCTTACCAAAAAAAGAGACAGAATTTGCAATTCTATGAATTATTGCACAATGTAAACCCAGTTTCCTCCTATATACATAGCAAACATAGAATTCAAATACACAAAGCACATACACTTGAGAATCACACTCAGACAACTTAACCAAACAACAAAAACACACCAGCCCCCAAAGGATCCCACCAGTGCACCTATCCATCAACACCCGCCAAGCCAGTCTGGCAGGCATCCGTCACCCAGCAAGTGGTCCCAGTAACTTCCCCTGCAGGCCCTAGGTCTGACTCTTAACCTCACACTATCATATGTACCTAGAGACATGAGCACAATTCAACTCAATCAATGTTTATTAAGCAACCTCTTTGTGCTGAATGCTGTATTCTTTTCTTTTAATTCTTCAGCCATAGTCCTGGTCACACCAAATGCAGCTTGGTTTAGTTCCCCAATCATCCCAGCCATTCGGGTCCCTGCACTGGCTCCATCCAGTCTCTCTAAAGCAAGAGTTTTGTTTGTTTGTTTGTTTTTTTAGATGGAATCTCACTCTGTCACCCAGGCTGGAGTGCAGTGGCTCAATCTTGGCTCACTGCAACCTCCACCTCCCAGGTTCAAGCGATTCTCCCACCTCAGCCTCCCAAGTAGCTAGGGCCACAGGTATGTGCCACCATGCCCAGCTATAAAGCAAGAGTTCTTAACTGGGTCCACATGTAGGATTAAAGGGTCCATAAACTAGGGTGAAAAATAATCTTACATCTTTATTTTCATTTTTGCCTCTAATGGAAATTTAGTATTTTCTTCAGTTATGTATGTAGACAACCACAGATATCTTCATATCACATTACAACTACTTAAGATATATTGAAATGTTATTTATACTCATCATTACTTTGAAGTTTGGTGGTTAAAAGACCTACCTGTAGATTTTGTTATGTAATGCATAAATAAGAAGCAAATAAATTACTGCATTATAATTTATTTAAAATATTTTGATACCTGTATTTCAATGTGACTGATTTCCTCTGTAATTCTATGCATTTTATTTTATGCATTTTAAACATTATTCTGAGATGGAGTCTATTCTCTTTACCAGATGTTAATGAAAACTGTAGCATAAAAAGTACCTGCTATCTGGTTTGAAACTATTCCATTACCTGCTCAACTCATCTGACTCTCCCTTCTACCTCCAAATTTTCTCTTCTTCCATCCTATTCAAACATAGATAAATGCCCCTAGATCAGGCAAGCCCCTCTGCATGGCCCTCAGTAGAGCCAAGTGAATCTTCCTGTTCATTTCTCAGTCTCTCAGTAGTCAATTTCCACTTCCACTCGCAGGTGAAATCTAGAACCTTCTTTTAGCATAGTCTAAAACTACTAAGTACTTTCATAACCTTTCTTTCCATCCAGTCATATCTGCAAGGCATAGTTATCCCATCAAGCCTTAATATCAGGCAAACCTTAAGGTCTCCTCTCAGTTTGGGACACAAAGCTTTTTTACTGTCTCTTGGGATGATCGGCCCAGGAAGATGAGTAAAGCCAGGGCCAAGCAAAACTGACAGATCTGGCAACACACACAAATGTTAAAACCAATGGAATCTTGTGCATGGGACTCAACCAAGCATTGTGACTCCCTGGAACTCAAGGATGTCTAGGTAAGCCAAGAACTGTCATTAGTAAGTCAAAAATTATTGCTAACATCAGAAATATATGGCATAGTTGTTCCTGTAGAGACCAAATTGTCCTGTTCCATCACTCAGCACCCTGAGTTGATGAACTCCTGTGACAAGAGAAACATAAAGGATTATGAAACTTACTCAGAAGGAGAAAGAAAGATGCCACATATGAGATGCCTGCCATTTGGGCCAGCACAGTCCTTTTTCGTCCCAATAGTGTCACTAACATTCAGAGGTTGAGTGACAAATGCTGTGCTCTCACTGCAAAGTAAAGAGGAAGCAAAAGTGTGGTTTTCAGCCCACTGAGAAATAGAGATGTCTTGTGAAAAGCAAAACTGGTTACATTATGTAGCTCTTTACTAATCACTCAAATTTGGGAGTAAAAAAGTTATCTTTGTGGTTAAGTAAACAGATATCGATAAAACTAAGAAAAGATGGGTCTCAACCTGGCTCACAGTATGTGTCATTTGGTAATGATGAGAGAATTTAGGTAAACTGAATAAATAAAAAAGGCACCAGCAATGTTGTCTTCTTGGCCCTTCCTTCTCCTCCTCTCTTGAGAGAGGAAATGACTGAGAAATGGGAGAAGGCCCCTGAAAAACATGAACTTGGGGCGACATGAGGTGGTGCTGAAGGTTACAGGCTCTAGAGTCAGGCTGCCTGGGTTTGCATGCAGATTCTAGTTTTAGTAACTGTGCAATCTTAGAAAACTTAATTAACTTTTCCTAACCCTCATTGCTAAAATGAGGATACTAATAGTAGGTACCCTGTAAGATTACTGTGAATGCCAAATGAGCTAATTTTTTAATTATTTTTTTATTTCTTTTTTTTTGTATTTTACTTTTTTTTATTATTATTATACTTTAAGTTCTAGGGTACATGTGCACAACGTGCAAATTTGTTACATATGTATACATGTGCCATGTTGGTGTGCTGCACCCATTAACTCGTCATTTACATTAGGTATATCTCCTAATGCTTTCCCTCCCCCTTCCCCCGACCCTATGACAGGCCCCGGTGTGTGATGTTCCCCTTCCTGTGTCCAAGTGTTCTCACTGTTCAATTCCCACCTATGAGTGAGAACATGCAGTGTTTGGTTTTTTGTTCTTGAGATAGTTTGCTGAGAATGATAGTTTCAAGCTAATTTATTTAAAGCACTTAGAACAATATCTGGTACATAGTAACTGCTCAATGAATATTAGCTACCATCATCACCATCATGAGACATTTAAGTAAATCTTCATCTGCCCTGTGAAACTGCCTTTGCAAAAATTGTAACAGTGAGAAAGTTATGACAGTGAAAGGGATCTGACCTCACCATCTCCATCTTGCTTCTAACTTCCAAGCTGCCCTTGTTAATTCCTGGTTGTAGGCCAAACTAACTTTGGGAGGAATTTAGCTTAGTTTAATTTTGAAACAAAGAGGATAACAGCCCTTTCTGGAAACAAACCCCCTTCTTGCCTGGGGAGCAGACTTCCCTAGTAAGACTAACAAATTAGCCACAACATTAGAAATTATGGTTTAGGAGTCATGCAGCCAGAGGCCACACAATTCCAACCTCCCCAACTGTTCCTAGGGATAACATCACTATTGTAAAACCTAAATTGGTGCTCAAGGTATTTTTCAGACCCTGCATCCTGATGCACCAGCTGACACCATCCAGGCTGGTGATCTGGTTCCACCAGTTCTTTGATCCCACTTAGGAACGGAAGACTGCAAGAACCCCCTTTGATCCCCTGTGATTTCATCTCCTACCTGACCAATCAGCACTCCCCACTCCCTGGCCTGCCAAATTATCCTTACTAACTCCAGTCTCTGAATTTCCGGGGAGACTGATTTGAGTAATAAAACTCTGGTTTCCCATTTAGCTGGTTCTGTGTGAATTAAACTCTTTCTCTATTGCAATTCTCCTGTCTTGATAAGTCTGTTCTATCTGGGCAGCAGGCAAGGAGAAACCTGTTGGGCAGTTACGCTAATGGGCAGTTACACCGATGTGAACCCAGGTATCAAGGATGGCAGAGGAGTATCTAAATGCAACAGTTGGCCCTGAACCTAGACTAATACTACGCTAGTGCTAGAGTTCTCAGGAAGCTTCCACTTAAATCAGATAATCACAATGCAATGTGTCAACAATCAGTGGGGCACCTATAGGGGGTGGGGAAAATTGGTAGGCAGGAGGGAAGGTCAAGATGGATTGGGCTGGGCCAGGTGAGTCAATGAGTCATCTAGAGAGGCAGGGGGCCAAGGTACAGTTGGGGAAAAACCGTGTGGCATGAATAGTAACACACAGGCTGTACTATCTTGTTGGAATGAAGTTTGAGGTTGTTGTGAAAGAAGGATCTATACAGGTAGGATGGGCAGATCTTAGTGGGCTTCGTGTGCCAAGCCTAAGAGCTTGGCTTTTATTAATACCTCAAAGAAGAGGGAAGCTATGAAGATTTTTAGTGGTAGTATAGCCTGGTTGGATTTTCCGTTTTTCCTTTTAAGTTGAATTCTGTATGTGTGCATTGCTAACAGGTTGAAAGGTGAAGAAGGGAGACAAGGCTAGAAGCAAGAAGGTCAGTTACAAGGTTTTTGTAGTTGTCTCTATGAGCAATAATAAGGGCCTGAAGTAGGGCATTTAAAATAAAGACAGAGGCCGGGCGCAGTGGCTCATGCCTGTAATCCCAGCACTTTAGGTGGCAGAAGCGGGCGGATCACGAGGTCAGGAGATCGAGACCATCCTGGCTAACATGGTGAAGCCCCGTCTCTACTAAAAATACAAAAAAATAGCTGGGTGTGGTGGTGGGCGCCTGTAGTCCCAGCTACTGGGGAGGCTGAGGCAAGAGAATGGCATGAAGCCAGGAGGCGGAGCTTGCAGTGAGCCAAGATCACGCCACTGCACTCCAGCCTGGGCGACAGGGCGAGACTCCATCTCAAAATAAATAAATAAATAAAGACAGAGGTGGGATAGATAAAATAATCAAATAGTTACGGAATACTCCCTGTGCAGTAAGCACCCTACCATGTGCTGGACATCCATTAAGGACATAATTAAGCTGCAGCCTTTGATCTGAAGGAGCTGCTGCTTGTGCCATGTGGCATGGTGGAGGTGAGCAGGTAAGAACTTGACTGTCACATAGGGATATCAGAGAAGGAAGAGGGCATGTCTAATCTGGAGAGAATGAATGGGAGGTCAGTAAAATCTTCAGGGGAAAGGTGGCATTTTAAAGTAAAATTTATTTTCCTAGTGAGAATTATAGTAGAATGGGGTACATTCTACAAATTCAGGTCTGGAGGCATCTAACTTTATCTATCTATCTATCCATCCATACATCCATCCATCCCTCCATTCACTCATCCATTCTTCTGGTTTTATTCATTAGCAATGATACCTATTAGCCCTCCAGTGATGGTCAAACTACAAATATTGAAGTCTTAAGTGAAAGGCCCTGTACTTCCCTTTTCAAGATACTATGCAAGGCTTGGGGGATAAAAGAGGTGTAAGAGGGCCCTGCCCTCCAGGAACTTGGGGTCTAGTTTAATAAACAGCTGAGATAAAAAAAAAAAAAAAAACAGCAGCCATATACGGCAAACATGGGTCTGGTATCCGATCTATAGCTCAGGCAAGAAATAACCTGAATTAATAGGCTGAAAAGGCAGGGAACAGTCGCAGTAAGTCATTCAGAAGAGCCTGGTTTTAAAATTGGTCCTTGGACATCTAGTATGATGCAAATGGGCAGGAAGGAGAAGGACATTTCAGTGTGGACAAATACAATGTACAGAGGCAGAGGCAGAGTCAGGGATGTGCAGATTGTATTTTGGGAACAATTAAAGGGCAGTCTGCCTAGGATGGAGATTTCGAACAAACTCTCCAGGCTACTAACTATAAAATCAGTGAGGCTCAAGTTACAGGAATTTATTCACCATTTTAGTTGCAGAAGTTGGGGGTCACCCCCAGGCACCAACACTTTAAGCAAATGTGGTGAATGGAGTAGTTACTGCTGTGTAACAATCAGAAAACTTTGGTGGCTTGCAACAGCAAACATTTATTTCTGTTGACAAGCCTATGGGTCAGCTGGGTGGCTCTGTTAATGGGGCTGTGTCCTGCTGACAGGAGCTGGATGGTCTAGGATGGCCTTGGCTGGGATGACTCAGTTCTCTTCCACATGTCTCTCACATCTCTCTGGCAGGCTGGACTGGCACATTTTCATGGTAATGTCAGGGGTCCAAAAGAACTAGTGGAAACACAACAGCATTTTTTAAAGCTTCTACTTACATCATGACCACTACCATCCCATGGGCCAAAGCAAGCCACATGAAAGTCCAAAGGCAAGAGATGGGTTAATATATACTCTGCCTCTTTATGGAGGGGAACTACAAAGTGATAGAGCAAAGGGAGAGATTAACACAAACAAACTGAGGCCATCAATGCAATCAATCTGCCATGTGCACTGAAAAGAGAATTATTTTAGAAATAAGCATTGACCACAGAGACAATCATTGCCAATAATAGAGAGTATCCTGTATCCACAGAATATATATAACCCAGTAAATGCTATGCAATTTCTCATTCCTGGCTGTTGCCAAAATATTTTTTCTCTTTCCATTTCAGTGGCTTCATTTCTGCCAGAATTTAACATTGACAGGGTGATGTTGCCTCTTTTCTGGGGGGAAAAAGAAGCTCTCTGTTGTCAAGAAAAAAAAAAAAAAAGGAAGAAGAAAAGAAAAAATAGAGCCAGCAAGACAGACAGTTATTCTTTTACCTTGGGAATTGTTGCATTGCAATTGTATCATTTGAAAGGAATGTAAAAATGTAGTTCCTGATTCAGATGGGGGGAGAGAGTACTGGACAAAGAAACCAGGAAGGTACTAAAGGAAAAATTCTGTTCTAGTTCCTGGAAGATTAATAAAAAGTTCTTTTTTTCAGGTTGATATGCGCCAATATTAGTTCCACAGAACCATAGAAATTGCAGGTATTATGTCCTCTGATCATAAGCACTCAGGCCCAAGAAATATTTAAATAGGGACCTTTTACATATCAGGCTCTGTGCAAGGCACTTTACATATACAGTCTTATAGAATACCTCATATCACTATGTGGTAGGTATTACTAATCCCATTCTACAAATGAGAAAACAGACTCAGAGTATATCAATATCATGGCTAGAAAATGGCGGGATTCTAAGGCTGCCTTCTCACTTTTGGTTCAGAGCTCTTTCTAACAAACCTTCTAGCTAGCTACTCATGATTTACAGGAGGCAGAATGTACGATAGTGAATGGCTGGAGGAGGGGGAAAAAACCCTAAGGGGTCAGCAGGAGGCTGATCATTATTTCACCCCTTATCCCACTTGAGCTCTTTGAACTCAGGTCAAATTGATTACCGTTCCACAGGGCCTGGACTTGCCCATGTGAGGGAGACCCTGAAGTTGAGCTTCACCTCTGCATGTGTATAACACCAAGCAGTCACACTACAAGAAGGGACCATAGTGATCTCAGTCAACTCCCTCATATAACAAAGGAAGAAACTGAGGCCTTGCATAGGCCCAGCTGGGACTTGGCCCCAGTGATGGAGGATGAAGTCCAGGTCCCAACTCCCCGGCCTCTTTGCTCTTCCTTCCCACTGGCCCAGCTTCACCAGGAGCTGATGAGTTAACCAATCCTGAAGAAGTTTTCAAGGTGGGTGACAACTCTTCCTACCTGTGAGGAAAGCATGAACTAGGTTTCTATGGAGGAGGCAAAGAAGCATGGGGTGCAAAATAGGGCGAGTTTAGCTTCCTGACAAAAGAGGAGAAAGAGAAACAGATGGGATCCTAGGCCATCTCCTGTTTTCTAAGTGAATACTTCCTTGGGAAGGGCTATTCCTTAAATTTCCTGCGGAGGGTCAGTTGACAACAAGCTATAAAGATTAAAAAAAGTTTAGGGGAGGGGATCAGAATAGGCCTTAAAGAGAGGCAGAAAGGAGGAGAGGAGACAGGAAGCTCCCTTTACCTAGACCCTAGATCCCTCTTATCCCCTTGGGGCCAGACACCCATCCATTGCTTACTCAGTCCATAAAGAAGCTCAAGTGTCTCCTATCCTACTAAATAGCCAATTTTTACTCTAGTTCCAAATCACCTCCTTTTCTCTCCCATCTTCAAACTTCTGACAGTTTCCTGGTGTTCTGCGTTCTGTTTGATTTCCTAATTCTCACTGCCACTTTGGCCCACTGAAATCTGGGCATGGGTCCACACAGACTTCCTGGGCCACAAAAGTGAACACTGCTCACTTGACCTGGTCTTTCTGTGGCATCAGGTGTGGCTGGCCATTGGCAAACTTGCTTGCAATTCTTTCCTTCCTCCTCCGACACCACTCTCTCCAGGATTTTCCCTTACCCCTTTGGAAGTTCTTTCTCAGTCTGCTTCTCACTGGTTTCTCTTCTCCAGGCCACTTGAAATTATTATCTTCTCCAAGGTTCTGTCTTCAGCCCTTCTTTTCTCACCCCGCTGCATCTCATTCCCCATCTCTATATTGACAATCTCAAATAGATCTCCAACCCCAAGTTCTCCCTTAAGCTCCAGACCATCTAGCTGGTGTTGAGTATCTCCACTTGAAGGTTCCTCAGGAAACTCAAACTCGAGTCTAAAGCTGAAATCATTGTTTTCTGTTTTCACTGGTATTGTCCATTATGGTTGAATGCACCAGTATCAACCCAGACCCATGGCTGGCCTCCATGCTTCACATCCACTTATGAAATCCTATCAGTTCTCCTTAAAATCTTTTATGAATTAATTCTACCCGTTGCCATCACAACTGAGAGCTTTGAGTTTTCATCTGGACTAATGCAGCCCCTTTGGTCTTCCAGCTTTGTCTCTCCCTGCTACTCGGCTGACAGAGTGATCTAAAATACAAACACAGCCATTAACTTTCCAAATTTTTCTTTCAGTGGCTCCAAAACATTTCTAGAGGATCAGGTCCAAACTTCTTGACGTGATCTCTGTGAGCTGACCCTGGGGAACACTCTCACCACCCTATCCTTTAACTTTCAACCTTCAGGAATACAGAATCACTTATATTTCTCTGAATGTACCTTACCATTGTTTCTTTCTTTTGCAAATGCTATCCCCTTTGCTTAGAATCTTGTCCCATTACTACCTGGTAAATGCCCATTCATGTAAAAATTTTAAAATTGGGGTTTGCATCTCCTATGTGAAAACTTTCTTAACATTTTGGATAGAAATCCAAAGAAAGGTTTATACTATGTCAGTGAATTTCTGTAAGTTTACTTATTATATAGTAACAAAATGAATTATTTATACACTTCCCTATCTTGTAAGACCATGAATTTCCTAAAAGAAGGGGCTAGTTCTTACTCATCTTTCTATGTATGCAACAAATACTTAACAAATGCCTGGCATATTCAGGCACTGAGACTGGTGTAATGATTTAGAACGTGCATAGACTGTGGAGTCAGAAAGATTTGGGTTCAAATCTTGAGCAAATCACTTGCCTTATGTCTCAATTTCCTCATTTATAAAAATGGTAACAATAACAGTAGAAACTTTCTTATCTGACACAATTTGGGCTGTTAGTTGATCAATTAAGAGAACATGTCAGGTAAACGTGGGAATCATAAAAAGACTTCCATGGATCTTAGACATTTTATTTCTACCTCAACATATACATGCACATTCATTCACCAATCTCTTGACACAGGCCCGAGCCTTCCTGTTGAATATGGGTCTGCTGCCTGGAGTCTCTTGCCACTTTCTTGCATAAACCAAACCTATAATGTCTACTCTACAAATTTCAGGTTTGATTTTTTTGAAATGGAGTAAGAACTTAAGCATTTGTGAAGCCAACGGAGTGTAGAGTCCTCCCATGTTTCTGTTATCCTCCCCACCCCGCTCAATCTTTTACAGTTATTTTGCCCATACCTAAATTGATAGCATTTTTTTAAAAAGCAATTTGCTTTTATGAGTTTTTTCCAGAGAATTCATGTTTTTATTGATACATCTTACTTTTTAAAATTGTGGTAAAAAGCATAACATTAAACTTACCATCTTAACCATTTTAAATGTACAGTTTAGAAAGTATATTCACATTGTTGGGCAATAGATCTCCGTAACTTTTTCATCTTGCAACTCTATACCCAGTATACACTAATTTCCCCTCCCCCCCAGCTCTTGGCAACCTTACTTTTCTACCTTCTGTGATACTTTATATGAGTGGAATCATACATATTTGTCCTTGTGACTGGCTTATTTCACTTATGTCCTCAAGGTTCATCCACACTGTAATGTATGACAGGATTTCCTTGTTAAAGGCTGCATGATATTCCATTGTAAGTACATACCACATTTTCTTTATCTATTCATCTGTTGCCATCAACAAAAGGTCGGTTACCTCTACCGTTTGGCTACTGAGAATACTGTTGTGATGAATATGGGTATGCAGATACCTCTTTGAGATACTGCTTTGAATTCTTTTGGATATATACCCAGAAGTGGAACTGCTGGATCATTTGGTAATTCTATTTAGTTTTTTGAGGAAACTCCATGCTGTTCTCCTTTGCAGCGGCACCATCTTACATCACCAACAGAGTACAAGAGTTCTAATTTCTCCACATTCTCAGTAACACTTGTTATTTCCTATTCTTTTGATAGTGGTTACCCTAATGCACGTCAATTGATATCTCATTGTGGTTTTGATCAGTGCTTCGCCTACGATTAGCGATGCTGACCATCTTTTCATGTTTGCTTTCCATTTGTATATCTTCTTTGGAGAGTTGTTTATTCAAGTCCTTTGCCCATTTTGTTTTAAATTTTTACAGGTTTGTGGGAAACACGTGGTGTTTGGTTACATGAATAGTTCTCTAGTGGTGATTTCTGAGATTTTGGTGCACCCATCACCTTAGCAGTGGACACTGTACCCAATGTGCAGTCTTTTATCCCTCACCCCACTCCTACCCTTTCCCCAGAGTCCCCAAAGTCCATTGTATCCTTCTTGTGCCTTTGTGTCCTGGTAGCTTAGCTCCCACTTATGAGTGAGAACATACGATGTTTGGTTTTCCATTCCTGAGTCACTTCACTCAGAATAATGGTCTCCAATTCCATCCAGGTTGCTGCAAATGCCATTATTTCATTCCTTTTTATGCTTTGCCCATTTTAAAATCAGGTTACTTTTTATTGTACAACTAAGTTACTTATATATTCTGGATACTAGCCCCTTATCAGATACATGATTTTTAAATATTTTCTTCCATTTTGAAGGTTGTCTTTTCACTCTGTTAGTTTTTCTCCTTTGACATGCAGAAATTAAGTTTGTGTAGTCCCATTTGTCTATTTTTTTTTTTTATTTTGTTGCTTGAGCTTTTGGTGTCACACCCAACATATTATTGCCAAATCCAAAGTATTACAGCTTTCCTCCTATGTTCTCTTCTAGGAGTTTATAGGTTTAAGTCTTATGTTTAGGTCTTTAATTCATTTTGAGTTAATTTCTGTAGATGGTGTGAGGTAAGGGTCCAGCTTCATTCTTTTGTATGTGGACATCCAGTTTTACCAACAGCACTTTTGAACACCCCTTTGGCATTCATATTTCATTGGTTTACATACTATTCAACAAACTTATTATAATCATAGTAACCAGTACTGTTGGCACAAGTAGGTTGGAGAATGCACAGAACAGGGTGGACTCAGGTGAGCATCACCTCTCTGGGTGGAGCTGAGCCACCCAGGTGTTTACAAGACTCAGTAGTCTACAAGCCCTAAGCAATGAGTGTATGCATTAATCACCCCTTTTTATTTTCTGTTTATTGATGCTTTAACATCTGGGTCTTGCTAATCCTGGAGAGACTGCCCCTGCCAGGGCTAACCAATTCCTAGAGCTAGTTAAGGACTCTCCTGAGAGAAGCCTTTCGTATGCAAACCAACCAATCCAGAGCCTACACTGCACAACCTCCTCCACTGAATTCTTGCACTAAGGACCACTACTCCCTTTCCCAAATCACCCAGGATTAGGTACCAGACAACTAGGGACAACCCCTATGCCCTAGAGCTTGCTGAAATTATTCAACCTAGCCAATCCTAAGCCTGCCTACTCTGCCTCACCTATTCCTTCCTGCAAAAACCACAATAAAGCCCCGTGCCCATGTTTCCCCTGTGCCTTGACCCTGGTGCTTCCCTGCGCAGCCTCCCATGGTGGGGTACGTCCCTCCTCTTGGGTTCTATGAATATAACAAACCATCTTTTCTACGGCAATTGTCTCCTGATCTGTTGGCCCTGCCAAACCTAAATAATACTAAAACTTTCATTTTAAAAGTGTGTCACACACACTGGTCTGTGGGTTAGAGGAAGTGAGTGGTATTTTTTGAATGATCCAGTTTTGTGAAGAACAGGCAAGAGTGCTTCTGCTGTAAATCCCTTTGGGTCACTTAAGATTGCAATCACATCTATGAGGTACTTGTCTTAGTGCATGGCACATTGTAAGAGTCCAATTCACAATTTGGTACTGAAGCCACAGCAATGAATGGTTCCTATCCTCCCATCATTTTCAGACTATCAGACCATCTGTCAAGGGACCTTCACTTTGCCTAGAGAAGGAGAAGATGACCCCTGGGTCCTGAAAGAGAAGTACAAGTTAGGAGGAAGGAAGGCTGGATAGAAATAAGTTTCTAGGCAAGCAGATACTATGTGCCAAGGCCTACAGACAACTCAGCAGCAATTGTGCTTAGCACAATGCCTGGGCACACAATAAGTATGCAAGTAAGTTCCTGTTTTGTTTTTAATTTAGTTTAATGTTATTAATATAAATTTATAACTTAAATTTTAGGCAGGAATGGGTTCAGAAATAGGTGGAGGATTGCTAATGACCAGCTCTGACCGTGTTACCGTTGTGACATGAGTGGAACCCTCCCGGTTCGCTAAGAAGCATGCAATGATGGCTCATTTCCTAGAGCAGAGCATTAACTGTGCATTTACAAAGTGCAAGTGCCTTCTACATGCCTGGAAGAGTGCCAGTCATTGGGTAATGTTAGTGACTGGGACACGGACCCAGCCCTTGAATAACTCCACAACATGAAGTTGGTCCCTGGAAAGGACACAAAAGACAGAGAATGCAAACGAGGCCAAGAGGAGAGTGAATGGCGGAGGCCAGCCAAGGGCAAGCAGCTGTTCCAGGGGCCCGCAGGGAGTTGGGTTCTCGGTATTCACTCCTGCCCAGGCCTGCTGACGCCAGCGGCCTAGGGAAGACGATTGTTTTTCTATTACAGGGGCTGCTACCTTCTGGACTGATTTGGCCCCAGACTGCATCATGAGTCAGAAAAACCACTCCGTTCCAGTCACGATATGGTCACAGAACTTTGGTGTTTCCTCAACTGCAGAGAGGAACAATATCTAACTTCTCTCTTTCCTGAGAGGAGTCCTGTAAGGTCATGGGAATTCCCTGAAAGAGCAGGAGGCCTTCTGTAAACAATAGGATCCTAGCCCTCACCTTTCCACCCGGTGGGAACTTCAACATTGATCCCATCAAATCCATTTCTTCTCTTATCATTAGTGAAAATCTGCAATGCTTTTACAGGATTCAAAGAGATCAGAAGGTGCTAAAGTTGCTGCTGGAATCCAGTCACAATCCCTCACGCTGAAGATATGAAAGGACAGAGGCCAATATCAAGCTCCTCACACAACTTCAATTTAAATTAAACTTCCTTTAATGAAATAAAAAACAAATGGTGCATTGCATAATATTTGTGGTCACAGTATAAAACAATACAATTAGTTCATATAACATTGGATATGGACAAAAATACACAAGATCCTTTCTTTGTCTACGGAAAATTCTGCAGATCCTTATGTGCCACACTTAAAAAGAAAGTCAGCGTTTTCTCTTCTAGGGATCTGCACACATATTTATCACTGAGAATTTGGTCAAACAGTGGAGGAGAACTTACCCAAATCCCAGTTCCCTTCTTCCTCTGTTGTCATCGGTGAAGCTAAAAAAAAGTTTTCTGAAAGTAGCAAGTTGTGTAGTATTGCTTATTATTCCTGCCAAAAAGGCTCAGTCTTTGGCTCACAGATGTCAGTGACAAAATCATGGCTGCAGGCAGTCTGCAAAGCAAGAAGCAAGGGCCACCGGGGAAACAAACGAAGGTCTGGGCAGGAGGGGCCTCCTCTACCAAGATCTCAGGGAGCCCCTCAGATGGTGAGGGTGAGGGGGGGAAAGACACTCAAATAAATACATTTTTAAATTAAAATTTAGCCCAGTTGGTGAGTCAGAGTTCTACTGTCCCATGAAACATCTCAACAGTTGTTAAAAAGTCGATTTGCATTTTTTTTCAAAGTGAAACGTGTATGTAAACATCATAAAGTAAACAATTTACAGGAATTTCGAGGCTTCTATCTGAACATAGCTTAGGCTCTTTCTGGGGCTATTTTTATGATTAGGAAAAAAAATCCCAAACTTTTATAAAGTTCCTTTTTGTTAAGAAGTGCAATTCCACCTGTGTGAGACGCGGCTGGGTCTCTCTTTCATTCACACCAGTGCTGCTGGTAGGAACCTGTTCTAGAAGAGCACTTGTCGCAGGGGTGGGGTGGGGAGCCCTATTTGGTACAACAAAAGAGTGCATCTCACCACATTAAAAATACACATTCCTGGAAATTTATATCCCTAGAAGGAACTAGGTCCTTGGTACAATGCCCTGGGATTTCTCGCCCCTTCCTGCCAGCCCTCAGGTGACATGCAGCTTGGGCAGCCCAGTGGACATGGGGCAGGTGGGTGGAGGTCAATGCCTTAACAACTCCAGCCCTGAACTGCAGCATCAGTATGAAAGGAAAAGGTACAGTGTGTAAGCACCCATCACATTTACCACCATCGAGTGTCTGCTGTGACTCAGTCCATGGTTTTACACACACCCGGTCAGGTCCAAAGCTAAGCACCCTTTCTTCCTACTAAGAAGGGCCTGTGCCAATAAAATCCTGAATCTCCTTTTAATAGATGCAAGGGCTGAAAGGGCACTGGCTGTTACTAATACAGCACCTGTTTAAATATCTGTTCTCTCTTTAATTCTCACTTGTACAATCACCTACAAGCTGCCTCTTCTGAAATAGCAGTTAGGATATGTTATGACATGCAGAAAATACCCAAATCTAGTGCCAACAAGGCCTCGTCCTCTTCCTCTAGTCACTCAGGCCCTGGTGGGGTATACTTGTTGCCCGTCTTCCCACCACAGGCCCGGGCCAAGGAAAGGCTACTGTCAATGCAGAATCTAATGTTTCTACCATGTGCATGGTCCCCTTGGTGGGGAAAACTCAATGGGAATCTGCTTCCAGGGGCGACTCGGTGATAAGTGCAGAACCGGCTGTGGGGGAGCAGGGGGAAATGGTGAGCCAGGAGGAGCACAACTCATCCGGCCCATGGTGACAAAGAGCTGCACATGAATGGCCATCATTTTGTATTAGTTTATTGCTCAAAACAAATGAATCTTTTTTTCCCCTTTGGAAGAGAGAGCAGTGTTAGATCCTTCAAAGTCAAGATAAAAGCAGAGGATTGCAATTAGGGCATGAGTCACCAGCGAGCCTCAGAAAACCCTACTGGGATGCTTCCGAAAGGCCAGTGCTGTGCAGGGGGCGAGACACTTCAGGGAGCGGGAGGCTCCAAGGACAGAGCTTTTAAAGCAGCAGCAGAAGCCTGGGATGTGGAAGATCTCTGTCTACTCTCCTATTCCTGATGGGAGCAGTCGGGCAAAGCACACCGCTCTTGACTCTGCTCTACAGGCCATTCACATAACAGCAAATTGCTGGGTTTCCTTCATGTCCCTATTAGGAAAGCAAAACATACCACAAAGTATACCCTTTCTCACTAACCCCCTGCAGTGGACCTTAAAATGACCTGAAGGACTGAAAAGGTCATAGAAAAAACATGGTGCTTCTAGGTAATTTCTGATTCCTTGAAGTCAGTCAGTCTTGCAAGTAGCAATTTGCCTTCAGGTTAAGGAGCCCAAGCACGTGTGAAGGACATGGCATATCTGTGGGTCCCCCTGCAAGACTCTTGGTGACCAATGCCTTTGCCCCCCACAATGGGCAAGAGAGAGGAATAGTGGTGGCTTCTTTAGCCTAACTTGCACCTGGCACCACTCTGACCCTCCTGGCCCCAGCTGCGTAAGAATAACTTCGTGGGATCCCTCTTCTGCTCCTCCTGGAGTCCCCTGAGACACAGTGGCCTCACAACTACTGGAGCAGGTATCTGATCCTTTCCTTGTCCCCATCCTCCCCTTCCTTGCAGCCCTTCTTACTGCCCTGGACAGAGGTGGCTGTGTATTTTTCTTCATATTCATTCTTAAGGCTAAGGTGGCAAGATAAGGTGCTCAGTGGAGAGCCAAATTGTAGATTCCAGGGCTGCCATTTCAGTGCTCTCACAGAAAACAAATACAAAAGAAATGGAAAAGGGGCAGAGAAGCAAAAAAAAAAAAAAAAAAAGCAGTTGGGCTCAATAAGAAGTTATATACTCCAAGTTTGGATTTCAAATGTAGTCTAAACCCCTGAAAACAGGGGGTGGGGTAGGGTCGTAAAAGCCACAAATTAGCCTTCGGCACAGGTCTGTGTTGTCTGTCAGCCGGGTAGAGGGTGGCGCTCAGCAGCTCTCTGAACACGTGCCTCCAACGCGGAAGCTGGCTCTCAGGCGGGCAGGCACATTCTCACTGAAGATAAAGAACTCCGCATGCCATCACCCCTTCCTCACCACAACCCCGCGAAACAAAAGCTATAAACACACACAAGTCAGAG
This sequence comes from Homo sapiens, assembly GCF_000001405.40. NCBI lineage: Eukaryota > Metazoa > Chordata > Mammalia > Primates > Hominidae > Homo > Homo sapiens. The sequence goes on along the minus strand of NC_000001.11, from coordinate 116,987,265 downwards.
GATCTATAAACCAGTGGGAGAAAAAAAATTAGATGAAGGTTAACCATTAAAAAGCTGCAGTTGGGAAAACACACACTCGATTGTTACATCAGAAAGTGCCGTGGGAAGAAGAGCCGTGTGCTGGTAAACATGTCCGCGCTCAGAACTTGACATGCAGAAAAGAGAGAGCGCCAAGTCCCACCTGAGATTAGAGAGGACTGGTTTTTAGTGTAACACACTTTGTTTTAAAATATCACTGTCCTCTTCTTGCCCCAATTGCTCCTAGAACGTCCCTCTGTCACTCCCCTCCCGGGCCAGCCTAGTCCATCTCCATCGACATGAGCCTGCGGCGCTCGCGCCGTGTCTCCTGAACCTCCTTCTTACAACACCAGTGGGAGCTGCAGTACCCGATGAGACAGGACAGGAGCCCGATGACCGTGGACAGACCGACGCCGATCAGCAAGGGATACTTGAAGGCGTTCAGCACTGGGAGGGAGAGATCAAAGGGGAAGCCAGTCAGTGCTGCGAGGGAGGCCGCTTTGGGGGCACCCTCGCCTCCCTTCCCCACTGGAGCAGGATCTCCCGAGAGATAAGGTCTCATTCCTCCTGCATCTAGCACCTAGCACACCACTGGAGACAGGAGAAGCTCAGCCTTATCTGTCACAAAAATGAGCAAATGTCTTCCTACCCAGCTCTGCGGGGAGAATAAAAACCACAAAGAAGATTTCACTCGATGCCTTTGAATGTCAACTTGCTTTTTAGGGTTTTGGCAAAAGATTGATTTTTAAAAGTCAGTATAAGGGCACCGCACGTTCAGCAGCAGATGCATCCTTAAAAAAACCATGCATAAATCAATCCTATGCATCAAATAACTGAAGTGTACTAAGGGAGCTATTTTAAGTAACACTATACTAAATTATCTAGCAAAGTGAATAATCACTCCCCTGTTTGTTAAATCTGGGTTTTTATACGGAGTTACTTCAAGCAAGGAATTCCTAAGATGCAAAATATGGTACAGATGATTTAAGTGTCAGAAATGCACAAACACCATTTAGACTCCACCCTTGAAATCCCACCTTCCTTTCCCCATAAGTACCCATGCTCCTTGGGTGGACGCTGCCACTGGGCTAGGTGCTTTACGTTTGCTAAGGTTTAATTTTCGAAATAGCCCCATAGAAGACTATTATCCCATTTTACGAGAGAAAATGGATCAGAAAGGCTAAGTAGTCTGTGGAAGAGCTAGGGCTCCAATTTCCATCTGACTGATCACTAGGGAAACACTCAAAAGGCTTTTACTCATCCTCGGAGGCCCCTGGACTTTAATTCTCTTTATGGAGTTATTTCGACTAACATGTACTTTCTGAAATTTTCCACAAAGGAGACATGTTTTTTGTAAACCAAGGAACAACTGTCCCCACTCTGGGATGCTCAAGGAACAAAGCTCTGACTGTCTAGTTAGGTTGACCCTGGTGTTCATCGTGGGCCAACGAGGCTGGGAGCTCATCCTCCCATCTTGGGGCTCCGTGAAGTACCCACTCTGTGCCACTGACTCCAGAAGGAGTCTCTTTTTTTTTTTTTTGAGATGGAGTATCCCATTGTCGCCTGGGCTGGAGTGCAATGGTGCGATCTCGGCTCACTGCAACCTCCACCTCCTGGGTTCAAGCAATTCTCCTGCTTCAGCCTCCGAGTAGCTGGGATTACAGGCACCCGCCACCACTCCTGGCTAATTTTGTTTTTCTTTTTTGTATTTTTAGTAGAGACGGGGTTTCACTATGTTGGCCAGGCAGGTCTCGAACTCCTGACCTCATGATCCGCCCGCCTCGGCCTCCCAAAGTGCTGGGGTTACAGGCGTGAGCCACTGTGCCCAGCCATGAGTCTCTCTTAAGAAGCAAAACCAGTGGTAGTGAGAGTAGCAGGTCCCTAAGCTATAGCCTCCCCTATTGACCTGAGCCCTCTCTCTCAAGGCTGCTCTCTGCCTGTGCCTAGCAGAATCCATGCCAACCCTCGGACACCATAAAGCGAGTTTCTATAAATTTATGGAAGAGGCAAAGCCTTGAAAATTTTTCTAGTAAGTCTTGAAAATTATTTATCAATGGTGACACTAGCACATAATAGCAAAGCTGGGGAAACTGCAAGGGCTGCTGGTGCCCTTCTGGGTGCAGGCTCAGGCCAGGTCTAGAAAGAAAGCAGGACGTGCTATGGCACATTCCTCAAACTGTGGCCACCTGGGTTCTGTCAGCTACAGCCTGGCACAAGAAGAAGACATTCCCAAACACTGAGAAATTTGGGTGACATTCTTACCATCCATCTTCACAGTTATAAAAACGGGCTTGGAGTGGATCTCTGCCTCCTTCTGCCAGGAACCTGTTGGTGACTTCACCCATGGAGTCACGGAACAGTAGTAGTTGCCAAAGTCCTGGTCCTCGGAGCCATGCACTTGCAGCAAGAATTCCAGCACACTCACGCGCTCCAGGCTGAGGTCGCTCTTCCAGTCCCTCCGGGAGGTGGTCACGATGCCCTTCCGATCCAGGGAAGACAGGAGCACAGGAGCCTTGTCCAGGCCAAAAGAGTGCACCGCAAACCAGGACACATCAAAGGCCATGTCATCTACGGATTACCAAGCCAAAACCCTGGGGTCAGTGCAATGGGCAGAAGTCATATGTATGGCCACATCCATGTATGAGGCCCTTACTACGTATGGCAAGCACAACACTACATGCCTTCGGTCTCACTGGATCCTCACAACAGCCCTATGATGAAGGCACTATCATACTTTTATTCTGCCATTATTGCCAGACTATATACCTGCTCAAGGTCATGTAGTCAGCAGGTAGCAGAGTGTGCAGCTTAACCCAGGGAGTACAGCTCCAGAGCCCAGCCTCTTAACCACTGCACTGCTGCCACCCAGACTAAGGGGCCACAGGAAGAAGAGTCAGGGCCAAAAACTGTCTCCCACAGAGAACACTGATCCGAAAGCTGGTATGCCAGGACACTGCAGGCTCTCTCTCCCAAAGAAAGCCAGCTCCTTTGACAGTTTAGGCAGAAGAACCCAAGACTGGAAGGACACTAAAGTCATATGGAACAAAATGTACATAAAATGAATTGCACCAAATTTAGAGTTGTAAACAGTTTAGATTTTATTGTACACTATGGTTTTTCTTTCCTTGCAGAAGTGCTTAAGTTCAAAACAAGAGGAAAAAAAATGTCAAGCTGAGAAAATGGAACACAGTTTAACAGTCCCAGAGAGTAATGCTGAATCGTAAAGTACTCTGCAAAATTAAGATTCTAACAGCCTCAAATAAATTAATATGGGCATAAGAGAAAGAAGACTTTGGCACAAGTGGTAATTCTCATGGAATGTGAAAACAGAGCACACATCATAAGCCCTTGACCTCTTCCCTTGACTGGTACCAACCATTATCAGCTGTGTCGGCTCTGAGATTCATCCAGCAACAAAAGACAACAGCCATGACACTGTTGTCTTAAATCCACTTGAGAAAGCGTTTTATATAAATGTCAAATAACACAATTTTTTGCCGAACAAGAGATAACATTTGTTCATTTAGTAAAAATACACTAATAGCCTCAAAAAGCACATAAGGCAAATAAATTATTTTCAGATGCTTACATATTAAAAAAGTAAGCAGAACTAAAAGCAAGAATTTCTATGAAATTATCCAAATGATAATTCTTCCTTAGCTCACTCTAAACATGTAATATCTTCTCTTTTTCTCCCATTGACCCACTGTGGCACTTGAGCATAATTTTTTTTTTTTTTTTTTTTTTTTGTTCCCAGTGTCTCTCCAAGGAAACTAGCTCCCTGGGGGCAGAGGGAGTGCCATAAACAGCCTCATGCTCTCACAGTGCCAAGGGCAGAGTGGACACCCGCATCACTCTCGTCTTCAGTGAAAACTCTTAACTCAGTGCTGCTGTCACCTGCAGGTGCTGGGTGGTTGCTGAAGGCAAAAAGCCAAACCGGGTTCCCAGACTCTAAGCCCTGATCCCCGCTGTGCCTTATGGTGTGGGAGCCAGGCTCCAGGGCCAGGCTGCCTGGGCTAGCATCCCAGCACCAGCACTAATGAACCATGTGACCTGGGCGAGTTCCCCAAGTTCACTGAGACTTAGTTTCCTCATCTGCAAAATGAAAATGACAAAACCCAGGGTTAAATTTACCACATTTATTAAAATGCTTAGAACAGCACCTGGAACACAGTAAGTACTCAATAAAAGTTGGTCACCATGAACAACATTATCTCCACAGCTCAACACACATGCTCCTACACACAGACCTGCTAAGGGGAAGGGCATTACCAGCTGCAGCAAATGCAGCTGGTGGCCAGTCCACCCCAGCTGGTGGGCTGGGCCTCTGGCCACTGCAGGTACTGGCTGTTAAAATTCACACACCTGTACCCTCCCCCCTCCAGAGGCCGGGCTTAGGCTGATGGAAGCCGCCACCTGGAGGTTATGAACTGCTCTCGCTTCTTTGCCACTCAGCCTGTGGACAATGACTGACTAGTGAAGGGACAGAAAAGCCCAGTCCCCTTCCCTCCGGTGGGCCTACTCTGCAGTACACTCATGCTCCAGAACTCCCCGTGGGGAGGTGGACTTGCTCTGAATTCACACCTCGACTTGCCTTCTTCTCCAGCTCTATCTCAAGTCCCTCCCTCCCTCAGTGTTCTCCTGAGAACACTCCCTCAATCCATCACTCGCGTGCTTGTCTGTCTTTGCTTGCGGAGAACCTGACCTAAGATACTGCCTCAGAAGGGCCAAAGTCTGCTGTCCCCACCCCTGCTCAGCACAGAGGACCTTGGCCCACAAATCACTTATGCAACATGTCCTTCACAAAAGAGCATTCCCTCACAGCCCACAGCATGTGTGAGGAAAAACTAAATTACAACTTGTGTTTAATAATTCAGTATCTTCCATCCACACAGTCCAAGAGTGCAAAATTCTGGAAAATTGTGATCTGAAAGATAACAGCTACCTATAGCTTTTGCAATTAATTACACTGGAGGAAAAGGCTTTTATATTAAAGGCACAACTGGTGACCTATTAATTTACTGAGAAAGAGCATTTAAAGGATTTATTTTTGTGTGTATCATAAATGAACTTTAAGGGCAAACATGGTATCGCATTTTCCCAACTTTTGAAAAGGATTTTCCTCCCTTTTCCCCGGTAGTCTCTTCTAGTTTTACCATCACTTTCTCTTCGGAATTCTGCTTTCTGTCCTCAGTCTTCCCCATCTCAGGTACAGGAGTGGCTTCTCATTCCTCTTCCCCTGTGAATGGAGCTAACCAACTCCATGGATGTGGGTGGGATTGTTTCTTTTCCTTTTCTAACATCTCCCATAAACTCTCCTTCTGTTTCCTACCTCTAAAGATCAGCCATGTTCACCTTCCCTACTGGAGCCAATTTTGGTTCAATCAACTAGTCCAGGGGTCAGTAAATTACAGCCTGCAGGCCAAGTCCAGCCCACCACCTGCTTTTGTAAATAAAGTTTCACTGAACACAGCTATGCCCATTTGCTTACATTATTATCTACGGCTTCTTTCACACTACAATGGCAGTGCTGAATAGTTGCCACAAACGCCATCTGGCCCACAGGGCCAAAATATTTCCTACCCAGGTCCTTTACAGAAAATATTTGCTGACCTGAACATTCAACTGGGAGTCCTGCAGGAGACAGATGTCCACCTGGATGGTGGTGGCATCCAGGCCTCTGCTTCCAGATGCTAGTGTTACCCAGTCCCCTGCTCAGGGGCTCACTGGATTCACTGCAGGCCACCGCCCTTTGCTTAGAGCTTGCCCCTTCATACAGAATGGAAAGCTGCTTTTAGTTTCTTTCCCAGGGACACACTTCCAGCAGTCTCCACATAGAAACTTGTGACCTCTGTACAATTTGGCCTTTTCAAGCAGCAGATTTCTGCCGGCAGCCATGGCTCTGCTTGTGATGGGGTGGGGTACTACAGAGTGTCGAGGTCAAAGCATGCAGGAGACAAGGGAAGCCCATAGGGAATTAGGGTCTTCATGAGTTCTTTAGGAAAAGGCAGAGGTGGGTACAGTCCTGCTCAGTAGCAGAGATCCCCTGAGTGCATTTAATGTTCTTTCAAGTCTTAAGGGTCAAAGAGTGAGAGAGGGACATCAACTGGTCACTAAATGAGGCTAAGCAGAAAAGGAGTAAGACTGATGGGTCCCACAACTCTTAGGCATCCTGTTGGCAATGCTAATATGTAAATGCAAAGAAAAAATTTATAATGATTTCCTAAGAATTCTAACTACAATAGCACCCTCTGGTCACCAGCTACTCCTTTGCTCTGCATGTCTTCATAGCATTAATTGCTGTGATATTATAGAGCACTTTATTTCTTGCCCATGTCCTCATCTAGGTTGCCAAGCTCCATGAGGACAGACTTTGGGCATATTTTTATTATTATTATACTTTAAGTTCTAGGGTACATGTGCACAACGTGCAGGTTTGTTACATATGTATACATGTGCCATGTTGGTGTGCTGCACCCATTAACTCGTCATTTACATTAGGTATATCTCCTAATGCTATCCCTCCCCTCTAACCCGACCCCACGACAGGCCCTGGTGTGTGATGTTCCCCTTCCTGTGTCCAAGTGTTCTCATTGTTCAATTCCCACCTATGAGTGAGAACATGAGGTGTTTGGTTTTTTGTCCTTGTGACAGTTTGCTGAGAATGATGGTTTCCAGCTTCATCCATGTCCCTACAAAGGACATGAACTCATCCTTTTTTATGGCTGCATAGTATTCCATGGTGTATATGTGCCACATTTTCTTAATCTAGTCTATCACTGATGGACATTTGGGTTGGTTCCAAGTCTGCTATTGTGAATAGTGCTGCAATAAACACACATGTGCATGTGTCTTTATAGCAGATTTATTTATAATCCTTTGACCCAGTAATGGGATGGCTGGGTCAAATGGTATTTCTATTTCTAGATCCTTGAGGAATCGCCACACTGTCTTCCACAATGGTTGAACTAGTTTACAGTCTCACCAACAGTGTAAAAGTGTTCCTATTTCTCCACATCCTCTCCAGCACCTGTTGTTCCCTGACTTTTTAATGATTGCCATTCTAACTGGTGTGAGATGGTGTTGCATTGTGGTTTTGATTTGCATTTCTCTGATGGCCAGTGATGATGAGCGTTTTTTCATGTGTCTGTTGGCTGCATAAATGTCTTCTTTTGAGAAGTGTCTGCTCATATCCTTTGCCCACTTTTTGATGGGGTTGTTTTTTTCTTGTAAATTTGAGTTCTTCGTAGAGTCTGGATATTAGCCCTTTGTCAGATGAGTAGACTGCAAAAATTTTCTCCCATTCTGTAGGTTGCCTGTTCACTCTGATGGTAGTTTCTTTTGCTGTGCAGAAGCTCTTTAGTTTAATTAGATCCCATTTGTCTATTTTGGCTTTTGTTGCCATTGCTTTTGGTGTTTTAAACATGAAGTCCTAGCCCATGCCTATGTCCTGAATGGTACTGCCTAGGTTTTCTTCTAGGGTTTTTATGGTTTTAGGTCTAACATTTAAGTCTTTAATCCATCTTGAATTAATTTTTGTATAAGGTGTAAGGAAGGGATCCAGTTTCAGCTTTCTACATATGGCTAGCCAGTTTTCCCAGCACCATTTATTAAATAGGGAATCCTTTCCCCATGTCTTGTTTTTCTCAGGTTTGTCAAAGATCAGATAGTTGTAGATGTGTGGTATTATTTTTGAGGGCTCTGTTCTTTTCCATTGGTCTATATCTCTGTTTTGGTACCAGCACCATGCTGTTTTGGTTACTGCAGCCTTGTAGTATAGTTTGAAGTCAGGCAGCGTGATACCTCCAGCTTTGTTCTTTTGGCTTAGGATTGACTTGGCAATGCGGGCTCTTTTTTGGTGCCATATGAACTTTAAAGTAGTTTTTTCCAATTCTGTGAAGAAAGCCATTGGTAGCTTGATGGGGATGGCATTGAATCTATAAATTACCTTGGGCAGTATGGCCATTTTCATGATATTGATTCTTCCTATCCATGAGGATGGAATGTTCTTCCATTTGTTTCTGTCCTGTTTTATTTTGTTGAGCAGTGGTTTGCAGTTCTCCTTGAAGAGGTCCTTCACATCCCTTGTAAGTTGGATTCCTAGGTATTTTATTCTCTTTGAAGCAACTGTGAATGGGAGTTCACTCATGATTTGGCTCTCTGTTTGTCTGTTATTGGTGTGTAAGAATGCTTGTGATTTTTGCACATTGATTTTGTATCCTGAGACTTTGCTGAAGTTGCTTATCAGCTTAAGATTTTGGGCTGAGACGATGGGGTTTTCTAAATATACAATCATGTCATCTGCAAACAGGGACAATTTGACTTCCTCTTTTCCTAATTGAATACCCTTTATTTCTTTCTCCTGCCTGATTGCCCTGGCCAGAACTTCCAACAATATGTTGAATAGGAGTGGTGAGAGAGGGTATCCCTGTCTTGTGCCAGTTTTCAAAGGGAATGCTTCCAGTTTTTGCCCATTCAGTATGATATTAGCTGTGGGTTTGTCATAAATAGTTCTTATTATTTTGAGATACGTCCCATCAATACCTAATTTATTGAGAGTTTTTAGCATGAAGGACTGTTGAATTTTGTCAAAGGCCTTTTCTGCATCTATTGAGATAATCATGTGGTTTTTGTCTTTGGTTCTGTTTATATGCTGGATTACATTTATTGATTTGCATATGTTGAACCAGCCTTGCATCCCAGGGATGAAGCCCATTTGATCATGGTGTATAAGCCTTTTGATGTGCTGCTGGATTCGGTTTGCCAGTATTTTATTGAGGATTTTTGCATCGATGTTCATCAGGGATATTGGTCTAAAATTCTCTTTTTTTGTTGTGTCTCTGCCAGGCTTTGGTATCAGGATGATGCTGGCCTCATAAAATGAGTTAGGGAGGATTCCCTCTTTTTCTATTGATTGGAATACTTTCAGAAGGAATGGTACCAGCTCCTCCTTGTACCTTGGTAGAATTCGGCTGTGAATCCGTCTGCTCCTGGACTTTTTTTGGTTGGTAGGCTATTAATTATTGCCTCAACTTCAGAGCCTGTTATTGGTCTATTCAGGGATTCCGCTTCTTCCTGGTTTAGTCTTGGGAGGGTGTATGTGTCCAGGAATTCATCCATTTCTTCTAGATTTTCTAGTTTATTTGCGTAGAGGTATTTATAGTATTCTCTGATGGTAGTTTGTATTTCTGTGGGATCAGTGGTGATATCCCCTTTATCATTTTTTATTGCATCTATTTGATTCTTCTCTCTTTTCTTCTTTATTAGTCTTGCTAGTGGTCTATCTATTTTGTTGATCTTTTCAAAAAACCAGCTCCTGGATTCATTGATTTTTTTGAAGGGTTTTTTGTGTCTCTATCTCCTTCAGCTCCGCTCTGATCTTAGTTATTTCTTGCCTTCTGCTAGCTTTTGAATTTATTTGCTCTTGCTTCCCTAGTTCTTTTAATTGTGATGTTAGGGTGTCAATTTTAGATCTTTCCTGCTTTCTCTTGTGGGCATTTAGTGCTATAAATTTCCCTCTACACACTGCTTTGAATGTGTCCCAGAGATTCTGGTATGTTGTGTCTTTGTTCTCATTGGTTTCAAAGAACATCTTTATTTCTGTCTTCATTTCATTATGTACCCAGTAGTCATTCAGGAGCAGGTTGTTCAGTTTCCATGTAGTTGAGCGATTTTGAGTGAGTTTCTTAACCTGAGTTCTAGTCTGATTGCAGTGTGGTCTGAGAGATTGTTATAATTTCTGTTCTTTTACATTTGCTGAGGAGTGCTTTACTTCCAACTATTTTGGAAGTAAATTTTGGAATAAGTGCGATGTGTTGCTGAGAAGAATGTATATTCTGTTGATTTGGGGTGGAGAGTTCTGTAGATGTCTATTAGGTCCACTTGGTGCAGAGCTGAGTTCAATTCCTGGACATCCTTGTTAACTTTCTGTCTCATGGATTTGTCTAATGCTGACAGTGGGGTGTTAAAGTCTCCCATTATTATTGTGTGGAGTCTTAGTCTGTTTGTAGGTCTCTAAGGACTTGTTTTATGAATCTAGGTGCTCCTGTATTGGGTGCATATATATTTAGGATAGTTAGTTCTTCTTGTTGAATTGATCCCTTTACCATTATGTAATGGCCTTCTTTGTCTCTTTTGATCTTTGTTGGTTTAAAGTCTGTTTTATCAGAGACTAGGATTGCAACCCCTGCCTTTTTTTGTTTCCATTTGCTTGGTAGAATTTCCTCCATCCCTTTATTTTGAGCCTATGTGTGTCTCTGCACGCGAGATGGGTCTCCTGAATATAGCACACTGATGGGTCTTGAGTCTTTATCCAATTTGCCAGTCTGTGTCTTTTAATTGGAGCATTTAGCCCATTTACATTTAAGGTTAATATTGTTATGTGTGAATTTGATCCTGTCATTATGATGTTAGCTAGTTATTTTGCTCGTTACTTGATATAGTTTCTTCCTAGCATCAATGGTCTTTACAATTTGGCATGTTTTTGCAGTGGCTGGTACCGGCTGATCCTTTCCATGTTTAGTGCTTCCTTCAGGAGCTCTTGTAGGGCAGGCCTGGTGGTGACAAAATCTCTCAGCATTTGCTTGTCTGTAAAGGATTTTATTTCTTCTTCACTTCTGAAGCTTAGTTTGGCTGGATATGAAATTCTGGGTTGAAAATGCTTTTCTTTAAGAATGTTAAATATTGGCCCCGACTCTCTTCTGGCTTGTAGAGTTTCTGCCAAGAGATCCGCTGTTAATCTGATGGGCTTCCCTTTGTGGGTAACCCAACCTTTCTCTCTGGCAGCCCTTAACATTTTTTCCTTCATTTCAACTTTGGTGAATCTGACAGTTTTGTGTCTTGGAGTTCCTCTTCTCGAGGAGTATCTTTGTGGCGTTCTCTGTATTTCCTGAAGTTGAATGTTGGCCTGCCTTGCTAGGTTGGGGAAGTTCTACTGGACAATATCCTGCAGAGTGTTTTCCAACTTGGTTCCATTCTCCCCATCACTTTCAGGTACACCAATCAGACACAGATTTGGTCTTTTCACATAGTCCCATATTTCTTGGAGGCTTTGTTCATTTCTTTTTACTCTTTTTTCTCTAAACTTCTCTTCTCGCTTCATTTCATTCGTTTGATCTTCAATCACTGATACCCTTTCTTCCAGTTGACCGAATCAGCTACTAAAGCTTATGCATTTGTCACGTAGTTCTCATGCCATGGTTTTCAGCTCCATAAGGTCATTTAAGGACTTCTCTACACTGGTTATTCTATTTAGCCATTCGTCTAATCTTTTTTCAACGTTTTTAGCTTCTTTGCGATGGATTCGAACTTCCTCCTTTAGCTCAGAGAAGTTTGATCATCTGAAGCCTTCTTCTCTCAACTTGTCAAAATCATTCTCGGTCCAGCTTTGTTCCGTTGCTGGAGAAGAGCTGCGTTCCTTTGGAGGGGGAGAGGTGCTCTGATTTTTAGAATTTTCAGCTTTTCTGCTCTGTTTTTTCCCCATCTTTGTGGTTGTATCTACCTTTGGTCTTTGATGGTGGTGACGTAGAGATGGGGTTTTGGTGTGGATGTCCTTTCTGTTTGTTAGTTTTCCTTCTAACAGTCAGGACCCTCAGCTGCAGGTCTGTTGGAGTTTGCTGGAGGTCCACTCCAGACCCTGTTTGCCTGGGTATCAGCAGTGGAGGTTGTAGAACAGCGAATATTGCTGAACAGCAAATGTTTCTGCTGATCGTTCCTCTGGAAGCTTCGTCTCAGAGGGGTACCCGGCCATGTGAGGTGTCAGTCTGCCCCTACTGGGGGGTTCCTCCCAGTTAGGCTACTCGGGGGTCAGGGACCCACTTGGGGAGGCAGTCTGTCCGTTCTCAGATCTCAAGCTGCATGCTGGGAGAAGCACTACTCTCTTCAAAGCTGTCAGACAGGGACATTTAAGTCTGCAGAGGTTTCTGCTGCCTTTTGTTTGGCTATGCCCTGCCCCCAGAGTTGGAGTCTACAGAGGCAGGCAGGCCTCCTTGAGCTGCAGTGGGCTCCACCCAGTTCGAGCTTCCCTGCAGCTCTGTTTACCTACTTAAGCCTCAGCAATGGCGGGTGCCCCTCCCCCAGCCTCGCTGCCACCTTGCAGTTCGATCTCAGACTGCCGTGCTAGCAATGAGCGAGGCTCTGTGGGCATGGGACCCTCCGAGCCAGGTGCAGGATATAATCTCCTGGTGTGCCGTTTGCTAAGACCATAGGAAAAGCGCAGTATTAGGGTGGGAGTGACCCAATTTTCCAGGTGCTGTCTGTCACAGCTTCCCTTGGCTAGGAAAGGGAATTCCCTAACCCCTTGCGCTTCCCGGGTGAGTTGATGCCTTGCCCTGCTTCGGCTCACGCTCGGTGGGCTGTACCTACTGTCCTGCACCCACTGCCCAACAAGCCCCAGTGAGATGAACCCGATACCTCAGTTGGAAATGCAGAAATCACCCGTCTTCTGCATCGCTCACGCTGGGAGCTGTAGACTGGAGCTGTTCCTATTTGGCCATCTTGGAACTGCCCCCTGACTTTGGGCATTTTGTTCACTCATCTATTCCCAGTATCTAGAGCAGCACTTGTATACCAAAGGAACTCAATAAATATCTGAATGAATAAATGAATGAAAGACACAAGAGAAGGAGCTAGACTCTGCCAGTGGGTTTCAAATCAGCCTGAAATAGGCCTGGAAGTGACCCCACTGACTGTCTTGACAGCTCAGATTCAAATGTCTGGATGTATTTCCAAACCATCTAGCAGATAGATGCATCCACTCAACATGTATTTATTAAACACTTAATGAGTACAAAGTACTGGGCCAGGCAGTTAGGGGATAAATAGATAATCCTATCCCTAACCCACATCTGTGTAACACAGTGCGGATGATATGAGAAACATTTACAGAAAGCAACATGGTGAAGGGGTGAGGATGGAGTGAGGTACCTGGATCCAGTGCTGCTCCCTCGACAGTGATGATACAGAACAATTTGATCAGATCTCCCCGAATTACTGATGGTGTGTCTGAATGCACAGAAGCATTAAATATAGGACCTGGAAAAAAAGTAATGCCAGCCTCATTATTCTCTTTCATGCTTTTGTCAAATTCCATTCTTTGCACTCTAAGGGGCATCAAAATGTGGTTCTCTTCCCTGGGAACTGGTCTAGAAACTCACAAAATAGGTGTTCCAAGGTTGCCTCTCTTCTATTCAGAGAGACATGGGCATTAGGCACATCCAAGTGAGCTTCATCTTAAGATTACAACCAAAATAGAACTCTTCTGAAAGAATTACTTTTGCTCTGGCTTTTCTTTCTGGTGGCCACAGTGACCTCATTCGAAAGCTACCCTCCACCCTGGAACAGCCTGGGCTGGTTCTAGTTCAACATGGTTCACTTCTAGGCCAGGGTGGCTTAGGGATCAGAGGAACAGGGACTGAAGCAAGAAAGCTTTTGGTTCCAGTGGAGTGAGTGGTCTCACTGCACTGTGCTGGGTGCTGGGGAAAGGGGCCCTGTTACCAAGAGGCTGAAATCTGGTAAGAAGACAGACATGTCAACAATGATATTTCTATGAGGTGTGGTGGTAGCACTCAAGGCACAGCTTCAGCATGCCAGGGAAAATGGAGGCAGCCTGGATATGCCTTTTTCCTTTTTTTTTTTTTTTTTTTGAGATTGAGTCTTGCTCTGTCACGCAGGCTGGAGTGCAGTAGTGTGATCTCGGCTCACTGCAACCTCCACTTCCTGGATTCAAGTGATTCTCCTGCTTCAGCCTCCTGGGTAGCTGGGATTACAGGCACATGCCACTACGCCCCGCAAATTTTTGTATTTTTAGTAGAGACAGGGTTTCACCATGTTGGCCAGCCTGGTCTCGAACCCCTGACCTCAAGTGATCTGCCCGCCTCCCAAAGTGCTGAGATTACAGGTGGATATGCCTTTAAGAGACTACTGAGGTTGGGGAGGCTATGTGTTGTGGGAGAGTTGGGAGTATATGGAAACTTTCAGTACTTTTTGCTGAAAAGCTGGGAACCTAAAACTGCTCTAAAAAATAAAGTCTGGGCTGGATGCAGTAACTCATGCCTGTAATCCCAGCTCTTTGGGAGGCCGAGGCAGGTAGGTCACTTGAGCCCAGGTGTTCAAGACTAACCTGGGGAACATGGCAAAATCCCGCCTCTACAAAAATTAGCTGAGCACGGTGGTGCACACCTGTAGTCCCAGCTACTCAGGTGACTGAGGTAGGAGGAAGATTGCTTGAGCCTGGGAAGTTGGGGCTACAGTGAGTCAAGATCGTGCCACTGTCTCAATAAATAAATAAATAAATAAAATTAAAATAAAGTCTGGTTAAAAAACAAAACAAAAAAACCCTACCCAAACTGGGTTTGTCTTACATGCCTCCCTGAAAACGCTGCAGGCAGAATTATTATTTTTAACTCACTTATGAATTCCTCTTAGGTGAGAACATTCCATAGCTTTCAGCTTAGCTAATCCTAAGAGTTCAATGTTTACTTTATCCCAACTCCTAAAATCTAGGAACAAGGCAAACCTAAAAGAAATTCACAGAACATCAATGCTATGGGACTCCCCTTGGGTTTCCTGGGAAGCAACGATTGAAGGCCCTAGGTGCTGACTGTAAAACTCATTAGAAGTTAAGAATATAGGTATTACTACTTCTTGTTCAGATTGCCAGAAAGAAACAAGTATCCTAAAGTATCTTTTTTAAACTTGCAGAAGAAATGGCCATGACAGAGGGAGTAACATGATGAAAGGGCTATATTTTCATTTTGACATGATGACTAATAAGATGAATTCATCAGATTGCTTTCCTAACCAAGTATATAAATATTTTTTGTTTTCCTGGGAGAAAGGTAAAGGATGGTTATAGAATATTGAACCCTAGTGGGGGTTAGGCAGCTCTGGGTAGAAACTGCTGAGAGTTCTGATTATTCAGGGAACAGCAGGGGCGTACGTAACTCTAAGGGGATAAAGAATTGACAGAATGGCTGTTCCAGGAAATGGGGAAAGGGATGAAAGCAAAGACAAGGAAGCCTGACCTACTTCTGGACATCATCCCCTTCAATTAACTCAGCTCTCAGCCCTGGCTCCCTCGGGCCTTATACCCTGGACTTGCTCTGCCTGGAGCAGTGAGGTGGGGCAGGATTAGGCCAAACTGCCTGGAGTTGGCTCTGTGTGGTGACTGGGGACACTTATGCCATAGGCGGCCACCTGTCAGTGAGTACAGGTTAGCAGCAACCATGGTGAGCAAGGGCGGGCAGGGGGGTCACATTTTTCTCAGATTAGAAATTTCATGGTAATACACAGAACTACACTGAGGGGCTTTTCTAGTGCTCAGGCCCCTTCTAAGAGAACATAAAATGACAAAACATTAAGAAATTCTCATGGTTTTATCTCATGGATTATCTATTTAATTTGAAGCAGCAAAGAAGACTTACTTAATTCGAACAAATTTCACTTTTTCTTTATGTTTCCAAAGAAAACCCAAATACCTCCTAGGTCACGTTACAGTTCTCACTTCCCCTACTGGACGTGGGAATCAACAGAGCATTTGTGCTGCAGCTCACAAGGCAGACAAGGACTGGGGAAAAGGCCTGCATTGTGGTGAGCTATTCACAGGAGTGGATTTCCTCCTAATGAAATCAGCAGCTCACTGTTAATATGGGTCATTATCCCAGGCTTAGAAATATTTTCATTATGGTCAATTTCTGTGGTAATTCTGTTTTTGTGAGGGGATTTGTCTGGTTAACTTCACAGATGACAGGGTATGGTACAGAGAGTTTAAATGAACAACCGGAGTCACTAGGGGTCCCCCAATTCCTAGTCTGCAGAGAGTATAGGAACTACTTAACTTTTAAATACAAACATTGACATAAACCATGTTCCAACCTTGGCCTCTAAAAAAAGCTGTTAGTGGCAGTTTTTTTAATGAAAGCAAAAGTTACAGACCATCTGCATGTCCATCAATAGGGTAATGGCTAAGCAAATTCAAGTATGTAAAGTCATTAAACGTGGTATTAATGTTTACCTAGAATTGGTGACAATATGGAAAGTGCTGATCTTATAACACTAAAGGGAGAAAAGCAGGTCCTAAAATTGTATGTACAGCTTGATCTCAAAGTCATGAAGAAAATATACAAGAAAAACATTCTAGGAAGATGAACAACACAAGTTAACAGTCTCTGGTAGGATGATGGATAAGTCTCTTTCCCTTCTTTCTACATTACTATATTTTCAAATTTTCTATATATTACGAAGAAAAAAATTTATTATTCTTCTTTTAAAAGGCCAAAGCCTACACTATCATATTTAAATACCATTTTCCTCTTGACACTTTGAATCAGTAAAACCCAGCACTCAGTAGGGCCCCTTGGTTTTTAATACCAAAAAGCAGGTGCCCTGAAATCAGGGGACAGGAAGGTGAACATGGGAAGAACCCCTTTGTTGCGTGTCTTAAGGTATGTCACGGATTTTTAGGAAGCAAAGGCTGTTCAGTTTCAAATCAATGTTTGCTGGTGGCTATTCAGGGCTATAGTATTGTTCTGGGTGCTGAATTTGATGGCAGCTTCTCCTAATTAAAATGTGAACTGGCCATGACAACTCTGTGGATTAAATAAAATAAAACCTTAGGCAATCTATTCAACCTGGAAGCTACAGCGGTTTTATCTGTTATGCTGAGATTTAAAGAACTGAGGAATAGACTCAACATCCATTCCTCACCCAGAAATAGATACAAAATACTCTGTGTCTCCCCTTTTCCATATAAGAGTTTAAAAGAAAGATCAAATAACAAATGTAAAACAAGATGGAACAGATTCCTACAGACAGCAAAACAAATACACAAATAAAGGACAAAAACCACATAATAATCTCATCTCAACAGACAGAGAAAAAGCATCTGACCACATTCAACACCTTTCCATGACAAAAATACTCAACAAACTAGGAATGAAAAAAAAACTAAGAATGGAAGGAAACACACTAGGAGTGGAAGGAAACTTCCTCAATCTGATAAAGGGCATCTATGAAAATCCCACAGTGAACATGATAGTTAAAGGTGAATGAGACTGAACGCTTTCCCCCTATGATCAGAAACAAGACAAGAATGTCCACTTGTGCTACTTCCATTCAACACTGTATTGGAGGTTCTGGCTGGGCAATTACTCGAGAAAAAGAAATAGAAGATATTCAGCTTGGAAGAGAGAAGTAAAACTAGTTCTATTCACAGATGACATAATCTTGTATTTTAAAAATTGTAACAAGTCCCCCAAATTTAGAATTAATTAGAATTAATAAACAAGTTCAGCAAGGTCACAGGATACAAGATCAATATACAAAACCCAGTTGTACTTCTATGAAACTGCAATGAATAAACAAGCCAAAAAGTAAATTCAGAAAGCAATTCTATTTACAATAGCATCAAAAAGAATAAAATACTTACGATAAATTTAACAAAAGAAACAAGATCTGTACACTGAAAACTACGAAACACCATGGAAAAAATTTAAATACCTAAATAAATGGAAAGATAGCCCATGTTTATGAACTGAAAAACAGTATTGTTAAATGGCAATGCTTTCCAAATTGATCTACAGAGTTAACACAATCCCCATCAAAGTCCCAGATGCCTGGACTGTAGAAATTAACAGGCGGATCCTAAAAGTCACATGGATGTACCAGGCATCCAAAATAGTCAAAACAATCTTGAAAAAGAACAAAATTGGAAATCTCCAACTTCTTGATTTCAAAACTAACTACAAAGCTACAGTAATCAAACCATGTGATATTGGTATAAGAAGAGAAATCTAGATCACTGAAATAGAATTGACAGTCTAGAAATAAACCCTACATTTATGATTAAATTATTTTTGACAGGGGTGCCAAAACAAGTCAATGGAGAAATAATACACTTTTCAATAAATGGTGCTAGGACAACTGGCTATCTCCATGCAACATAATAAAGTTGGATTCCTTCTTCTTAACCACATACAAAAATTAACATGAATCATAGCCTAAAATGTAAGACCTAAAACTATAAAACTCTTAGAAGAAAACATAGGTGTAAATCCTCACAGCCTTAGATTAGGCAGTGATTTCTTAGACATAGCAAAAACACAAGCAACAAAAGGAAAAAAAAAAAAAACAGATAAACTGGACTTCATCAAAATTTAAAAATTTGATGTTTCAAGAGACATCATTAAGAAAGTGAAAGACAACACACAGAATGCGAGAAGATACTTTCAAATAATAATGTTTACGGCAGCACTATTCATAATAGCCAAAAAGTAGAGATAGTCTAAACGTCCATCAACAGATGAACAGATAAACAAATGTGGCATATCCATACAATGAAATATTATTCAGCCATGAAAAGGAATGAAGTACTGATACCTGCTACAACATGAATGGACCTTGAAAACATTATGCTAAGTGAAAAAAAGCAAGTCACAAAAGTCCACATATAATATGATTCAATTCATATGAAACACCCAGAAGAGGCAAATCTATAGAGACAGAAAGTAAATTAGTGGTTGCCAGGGGCAAGGGCATGGGGGCATGGGAATGATTACTAATGAGAGTGGAGTTTCTTCTTGAGGTGATTAAAATGTTCTGGAATTAGATAGTAGTGATAGTTGCACAACTCTGTGAATATACTAGAAACCACTAAATTGTACACTCTATATATAGTAAATTTTATAGTATGTGAGTTATATCTCAATAAAGCTGCTATTAAAAACAAACAGATACACAATAAAGGAGGCCTATGCTTTCTCCAAATCTAAGGGCTTAAATCAATATTTACCCTTTAATTTAAAGGTCAAGAGATCTTAGAAGATTATTTCACTATGGTATATATTATATACCATAAAAGGCTATAATAATAGAAAATAATATTAATAGAAAAACTTTATTAGAGTCTAGCTTACCTTTAATATAAATGCTAATCATTTAATTCAACAAATATCTTGCATTCATTGTATGATTCAATTGACACCTGAATTTTTACAGATAAGTATTAATTTATACATTCAGAAATTTCTAACTAAAACCCAGGAACCCAGGGCAGAGTTAGTGAAAACACTTAGTATTAAACTCACAAATGATAATCCTTTGCATTCATATTCTAAATAAGATTGGGGTTTAAATACTTTTAAATCATCTTCCTACTGAAACACACACATACACAGACAGAGGATGTTAAAGATCTTCCACTTTGGCAAGTCATTTAACACCTTGGGAGGCTCAATTCCCTCCTCTCTTTCTTTATACTCCACTATGTTCCCTAAAGTATTTGAAGTAGCTGAGCTTCAGCTCATTTTCTTAAAATGAAAGCAGAAATGAAAACATACATTCATCAAAAATTTGTACATGAATGTCCACAGCAGCATTATTTGTAACAGTCAAGAACTGGAAACACCCAAATGTCCATCAACTGATGAATGGATAAACACAATGTGGGATATCCATACGATGGAATCTTATTCAGTCATAAAAATGAACAAAGCACTGATACATGCTACAATATGGATGACCCTTGAAAACATTTTGCTCCAAAAAAGAAGCCAGATAGAAAGGCCACATATTATATTCCATTTATGTGAAATGTCCATAATAGGCAAAATGTATAGAGACAGAAAGTAGATCATGGTTGCTGCAGAATGGGAGGTGGGGAATGGAGTGTGAATGGAGGGTATTGGCTAAGGGGTCCAGGTTTCTTTTGGGGTCATGAAAATGTTCTAAAACTGGTCGTGGTGATGATCACACAACTTTGTGAATATATGAAAAGCCACTGAATTACACACTTTAAACAGGTACATTGTATGGCATATGAATTGCATCTTAACAAAGCTGTTTTAAAAAATGAGGGCATCTGATCAAAACCCTAGGGTCTCTTCTAGCTCCACCTATGATTCAACAGGGCTCACTGCTCACCTGAGGTTTGGAAGTCTATCTCAATAGGATTGGAGAGACTGGTTGCTGCTTCTCGCCAAAGGCTGCCCCTGACAGGAGACCAGGCTGTCACCATGCAGCGGTACAGCCCTGCGTCTGAGACCTGAGTCTGGTACATTCGATAGCGGAACTCATCCTCCTGCACTTTTTCTAAAACAACGCCATCCACCCGTGATGCATCTGTCCAATTCTCCAGCTTCACCACAGAATCCTGGTCCAGAGAGATGATGTACTTCGTTTCATTGGGACTGGAGAGGTCGCCGACAGGCTTCTCAGCCATGATGAGAACAGAGTAGCGTGGCGACTTAATATTCTTGGAAGATACTTTGCAAGTCATCTCAAATGTATTTCCGGCAGCAAAGAAAGGCTTTGGCTGCCTCGCCTTCACCACAAGCACGGAATCTGGAATGAATGACCAGAAGGATGTGATTTCCAACAAGATCAGTTAAAATAAAAATGCAACTAAAAGCAAAATAACCAAGAAACAGAAATGTATTTGCAAATTGCCACACAAAAGCACCTACGAAAATCTGGAAACTCAGAAAGAAAATCATGTGTATCTATAAGCAGGCTAAAACCACCCCATTGAAAGTAATAGTCTGAAATGAATCAGTGGGTGTCAGGAGAGAGGAAATTATGGTGAGAACTGGTTTTAAGGATTTTTAAGTCCTTAAGAAGTTTCACCAGGAAGAATCTGGGAACCCGCTATTGGTGCTCCAAAAGATGCAAGGCAGAGGACACTCCTATAAAGGTGGGAAAGACATGGCTGAACACAACACCATGACCTCCAAGCCAGGCTCCTGGCCATACCATTTGCCTCTCCTCCCCAGGGGTCTGCTAAGTGCAGGGGAAGTGCCCCTAGCTAAGCTAGCCTGCAGGGAGGAATGCAGCAAGGGAGAAATGAATTCTCCCTGTTTAATCATATGATAGTGACATTACAGAACAGATGTATTGCTAAAATGACTGTAGCGTATGTATTTGCAGATCTAATAATTTCCACTTGCTTTACACTTTAATTTCAGAAATGCTGTTTAAACATTTTGAGAGGTGTCTATGGCTACGCTAACTTTAGGTTTAAGTGGATTACTCCTTGTGTCTCTGTCAAAACAACAATGCCTATGCATGTACACATTAGAATTCATCTATTATAGTAGCACAACGTCAGGCACTTGGAAGGTGCTTAAATATTTGTTGAGTGGATGAATAAATGAATTAGATACATTCTTTTTATCCTTTAATAAGATGATTAATCCTATAATCCATCCAGTTACAAGATGAGATTTTTACGTTAGATTTTTTGGAACACTTGTTCCACCAAACCGATTAGCAGAACATGTATATTAAGAACTCTCTCCAGAACCACTGACTGCTGAGCTTCTACTGAGCCACCACATTCTTTCTTGATTTTCCTGTGAGTTCGGTCATTCATTCATCAATTTAAACATATATTTATTGACAGCCTTCCATACTGCAGGTACTGGAAACATAACGGTGAACAAATAAATACAAAAATCCCTCCCTTTATATGCCAGTGAAGGAAGACAAATGAAATAAACAAATAAAATATATGGTATGGTTATATGGTGATAAATGTTTAAGAGATAATAAGCAGCCAAGGAAGAGAAAAAGCGTGGATTTGTATTTGGAAGGAAGGTGTGTGTGCCACAACCGTAAATAGAGTGATCAGGGACATCCTCACTGAGGAGGCAACATTTTAAAAAGAACCTGAGCTGGGTGTAGTGGCTCATTCCTGTAATCTCACTGATTAGAGAGGCTGAGGCGAGAGGATTGCATGAGGCCAGGAGTTTGGGATCAACCTGGACAACATAGCAAAACCCCGTGCCTCTAAAAATAAAATTAAATAATTAGCCAGGCACAGAGCATGTGCCTATAGTCCCAGCTACTTGAGAGGCTTGAGTCCAGGAGTTTGAGGCGACAACGAGTTATGATGGTGCCACTGCACTCCAGCCTGGGTGAGAGAGCCTGGGTGAGAGAGCAAGACTGTGATTCTAAAAAAATAAAATTAAAATTAAAAATAAAATAAATAAAAAGGACCTGAAGGAGGTGAGGGAGCAAGTCCTATCTATCTTGGGAAGAGCATTCTAGACTGATGGAACAGCAGGCAGAAAGCTACAAGGCCGGAGCACACTTGGTGTATTTGAGGAGCCTGGAAGGGCAGAGTGGCTGGATGGAGTGGGTGCTGGGGAGGGTGCTAGGTGAGGCCAGAAGGTAATGTGACCAGTTGGTACAGAACATCTAAGACCACTTAGAGGACTCTGGGTTTTGCTCTGAGTGAGATGGGGAGGCTTTGAAAGTTTAGAGTGAAGGAGTTTCAGGACCTGACTTATATTTAACAGGATTGTTCCAGCTGCTGTGTGCTAGGGCAGAGCAAGGAGACGATCTGGGAGGCCAGGGATGTAATCCAGGCAAGGGTGGCGCCATAAATGGCAGAGTGTGAAAAGTAGCCAGATTCTAAGTCAATTTTAACAACGAGCAGTCAAGGATGAAGGTTTTGGGCTGAGCCACTAGAACAATGGTGCTGGAGAAAGCTGGGAGAAGAGAGCTGGCAGATGTGATGGGAAGCGTCCTTTTGAACAGAAGCTTGAGATGCCTGTTAGTCAAGTAGTGTCAAGGAGGCAATGTAATATTGAGTCTGGAGTTCTGGAAAGAGGCCTGGGGTAGACATGTAAATCTGGAGTCACTGGTTTCTAGATGGTATTTAAATTGATGAGATTAGAGACATCACCAAGAAGGTGAGGTTAAATAGAAAAGAAGTCCAAGTCCAAGGACTATGTCCAAAGACTATGTCCTGAGGTAGTCTAATGTTTCCGGGTCCAAAAAATGAACAGAAGCCAGAAAAGGAGGCTGAGAAATGGCTAATAAAGTTGGAAGAAAGCCCTGAGAAGGCAGTGTCCCACAAGCCAAGGGAAAAACCAAAGCATTCCCAGGAGGAGGGAATCACCTGCGTTAAATTCTGCTAAGTCAAAGAAAATAACTGACAATAGGATTTTCCAATATGATGATTACTGGCCATCTTACCACAAGCAGCTGAGGGGAAAGCCTGATTTGAGTAGGTACCAGAGAGAATGGAAGGAGAAAAACCAGACACACTGAGTATATATACGTCAAATATTGTTGTTATAAAAGGAAAAAGTAATAAGTAGACAAATGGGTGTGGGAAACAGAAAGACGGATGAAGAAGGAAGATCAAGACTAGCATAAAAAAGGGGGGGCGCCCGGCACGGTGGCTCATGCCTGTAATCCTAGCACTTCGGGCGACTAAGGCAGGAGGATCGTTTGAGGTCAGGAGTTCAAGACCAGCCTGGACAACACAGTGAGACCCTGTCTCTACCAAAAAAAAATAGCCAGGCATGATGATAGAGGCCTATAGTGCCTCTAGTTCCAACTACTTGGGAGGCTGAGGTGGGAGGATAACTTTAACCTACCTAGGAGGCTGAAGCTACAATAAGCCATTATCATGCCACTGCATGTCAGCCTGGGTAACAGAGCAAGACCCTGTCTCAAAAAAAAAAAAAAATTAGCTGAATGTGGTGGTGAGCACCCGCAGTCCCAACCGCTCGGGAGGCTAAGGTGGAAGGATCACTGGAGCCCAGGAGGTCAAGGCTGCAGTGAGCTACAATCACACCACTGTACTCCAGCCTGGGCAACAGAGTGAGACACTGTCTCTAAAAACAAAACAAAACTAAAACAACAAAAAATACCACAACCCTCACTCCCCACCCCCTCTTAAAAAACCCAAGGAAACCTGGATCTAACAGCACATTGACAGACCAATAGGAAAGGTCCAGAAGGGAGAGAATTACCAAAGACATAAGAGAGAGCAGCCATGGTCTAAGTAGTGAGAGGGGCTGGCCTCTGCCAGGACATATGCCACGTGACCTGGTCTCAGCCCTGGGGCAGCGTGAATGGGAATTCTCCTGATTATTTCTACTTTTAGGAGAATAGGAAGCAGGGCCAACAGCTGAGAGAGAAGCTGTGGGAGGAGGTTTGCAGAGACAGAAGGTGGTATGCAGTAATCACTTAGGAGAGTGGGGAAATAAACAGACTAAGGAAATGCAGAATAATTCCCACGCAGTGCCAAGAGCCCACTTGTCACAAGTGACCACTACTTTAAAGGGAGACCAGTCAACATGTTTGAATGTTTCTCTCCAACCACATTAGCTCTGTGGGCACAGGTAGGGAGGCTGCAGAAAGCTGCCTTTGAACTGGGTTGTGGTTTGGCCACAGTCTAATGCAAACCGAGAGGGGAAGGAAGCTAGGGGTGTAT
This sequence comes from Homo sapiens, assembly GCF_000001405.40. Lineage (NCBI taxonomy): Eukaryota > Metazoa > Chordata > Mammalia > Primates > Hominidae > Homo > Homo sapiens. Next base: position 116,963,024 of record NC_000001.11, on the reverse strand, counting down.
GCAAGGGAGTGATTAAAACTGACTGGGAATTTAGGCTAGGTAATAGTAGGTGACCACATAACTTACCCCTACCTCCCAGCCTTAGCTCTGAGAATGAAAGAAGGTGCTATCATAATGTACACCATTCCAGGTGTACGCTGGACTACAAATGGGCACCCTAGTGAGAGAGACGTGAAGACACAATGGCAGTGAAGGACGATGTCAGGTGGTAGGATTAACAGATTGTTGGCCCCAGTAAGGTTGGGGGATTGTTGCTGGAGTACTAGACGGAGCGGTACAGAAAGACAGGAGATATGTTTAGAGAACAGGATGCTTGAAATTGAGACTGTGGAGGGGTTTCAGTTATCAGAAGGGAGACGGTCTAATGTAGCATATAAGCATGTAAGTGTAGGACCAAATAGGATAGAGGACATGATGACTACAGAGAGGAGGACAAGCAACTAAGAATGACAGGATTAACTGTATTAGAGTTCGCCACCTTGGCTGCACATGAAAATCACTGTGGGAGCATTTAAAAATTCCAGTGCCCAGAATGCATATACTTCAGACCAACTAAAATAGAATTTCTGGTGGAACCCGCCTGATCTCGTCTGATCTTGGAAGCTAAGCAGGGTCAGGCCTGGTTAGTATCTGGATGGGAGAATTTCTGGTGGGACAAAGCACCAGCATTTTTTTTAAGTTCCTAGGGGGCTTCCAATTGTGACCCAGTGCTCTACACAGATACTGAAGTTAGCAAGATGGGAGCAGTGTCAGACAGAGTGGCCGTGAAACAAACGCTAACATCTTCAAAGAATGAACGGAGGACCTAGGAGGCAACAGGCAATAGTAACAAGAAGAGGTGGTATGGTGTGATGATGACACGAGATTCGAAGCTAGATATTTTTAGGAGTGAGCGAAAACGACCTGGAAGCTGCAGGGAGGATCAAGAAGGGCACCTGCCCCACACCTCTAGGCCCAGTTATGAGAAGTGTGGGAAGAAAATGGGCATCACTTAGTTGGGCTCTGGGGGAAACTGTCCTCAGAGAGGTAACGGTTTCTCCAGGGGAAAGAGTGTCCTCAGAGTCACCATGTTTAATGCAAGAAAGAGAAAAGAAACATTCAGAGGTAAAGTTCAGGAAACAAGAGACTTGGCTGATTGACAGTGAGTTGGAGAGGGACCTCTCTGGGGCTTGGGGACAGAGGAGGGGTGATAGTGAGTCCAAAGAGCATGTGCAACGGGTCGCATGGCGATCAATGTCCAGGACACACATTCCTAGTGTAAGTGATAACCTGCAGAGGGTGACTGTGCATCAACACACAGCGGCACGACTTAAGCAAAGACAAAACAAAAATGAATAACAAGAAAAAAGTTCCTACCTTCTAATGCCCAAAATATGTTAACAGGCTTGGAGAAGACATCCTTGCTTTTCACCCAGCTGTTGTTCCGCTGTTTGGTCCAGGCAGACACAACACAGTAATAATTGCCTCTGTCTTCCTCTGTAGTCCTTTGGATCCGGAAATTGAACGTGTCTGTATGTTCCTTAGAAAAAATAAAGTCTCCATCCTGGGCCCGCTGCTTGCTCCTCTCTCCATATTTTAGCGTCCAGTCCCCGTCCATGACTGCAAGCAGCTCGCTGGTCACCACATTGTCGCTGCGCCGGTTCATCCTGTAGTACCACGAAACCGTGAATCGGACATTCGCCTCCCCACTCTTCGTGTCCACCACCCGGCATGCCAGCTCTGTGGGGTCATCCGCAAACCCGGGGACCTTGGAAGCATTCAGGTACACCTGGTAGTCTGGTTCTGAACGAGAGACAGAAAGGCCAGGATAGGAAAATAATTAGAGTAACATGGCAAGAATTAACAAAAGGAATGAGACAAGGACTGCTCTTGTTTTAACAATTAAATGCTTCTCCTGCCGGACTAGAGAGACAGAAATCAGTCGTTGCATTGGATAGGATCCTAGAACAGTGTTTTTGCAAAACTTGTAAAACACCGCTTCTCATACCTCCCACCCCAAGAAAACCTCCCAAGAACAGAAGCCCAATGTCCTCGGCCAGAATCTTGATCCTTCCATGGCACTGGGGTCTGCTGTCAGTTTCCCCAAGAGGTTAAGGTCTTCTGAGAAGAATCTCTTAAGAAGCTCAGTGTCCACCCCCTACCAAGATTGCTCTGGAATGCCAAGTAAGCCCACAGACCTCCAACACCCCCACTGGAACAGTATCGGAAAACCCCACCCAACAGTAAATTCCAGAACTCGAGGCCCATCAGTGGCACAGTGGCTCAGCTTCCTGTCATCCTTGGCCATGCCCTAAATGCAAGGCCCTCAGGTCATCATTCCCCCTACATATTTATGTCCTCACTTTACCGTTCCTCTGACTTTTTCTGCGGAATCTGTGTTCAGTGGTCAATAAGCACTCCCATCCTCAAACTCTCCCACAGACATTCTCGCTACTGCCACATGTAACTCACCTGTGTCACTGTGAATCTTGCCCTAGTGAGCACCCCATGTCCCTGCAGAGAAGGGTGGGAGGGAAGCCAGCATTCTCCTAGCATCCCCTTGCCTCTGCCACGGTCCTGTTTCCACTGGGAGAAAAACCCCTCCTTCCTCTGGGGTTCACTGCATCAATTTAATCCATTTCTGCACCTCCATGGTTCTGTCCTCCTTTGCCCCAAGGCTTCCTCCATACCTGCCAAGGAGCTGATGTTGGAATCCTCTTGTGGCTTCCTCTCCTTTCCCCCAGCTCCTCTACACCTGATTACTCGAGGTTCTCCAGTCTCCACACAGTCTCACGCCACTGTGATGATGTGAGATGCACTACAAACTTCCACTTATTCTTCAATGTCACCTGGTCCTGGGTCCCCAGAAGGGATATACTCTGTGCTCCCATAAGCCATCTATGCACTTTTGTATGCCAGTTAGCCCACTCCACAATGACTCTTTGCTTATAGTCTCATCCTCAAGCTCCAAATACACTGCCTTTTATGCAGTAGGCACTCAGTAAATGTTTACTGCCTGAATGTTCAGGCTTTTAGAAAAGGCTACATTTTTCTTCTTCTTCTTCTTTTGTTTTTTTTTTGGACAGTCTTACTGTCCCCAAGTGGAGTGCAGTGGCGCGATCTCAGTTCACTGCAACTGCCTCCCAGGTTCCAGCGTTTCTCATGCTTCAGCCAACCAAATAGCTGGGAATTCAGGAACATACCACCACACCCAGCTCATTTTTGCATTTTTTTAGTAGAGACAGGGTTTTGCCATGTTGGACAGGCTGGTCTCAAACTCCTGACCTCAAGTGATCTGCCCACCTCAGCCTCCCAAAGTGCTGGGATTACAGGAACGAGCCACCGCACCCGGCCTATAAAGGGCTACGTTTTTCTTCCATAGCACTTTGCCTTCTGGGAGAAAAATAATACTACCTAAACAGAACTCTCCATTTATCAACATTATCTTTATCTGCATCACCTTGATCAAAGTTTGGTTTTATTTAACATTGTTTTCATTTATGACATACAGATTACAAACTGCTGAGGTCAAGGAACTTTTCTTGTGATTTACACTTCTAATGGAATTTATAACATCATGATTTCTCCAAGAATGATTCAGTGGACCAGAAAATGCAAAGAACTCAAAATCCTAATTCCTCAAATGTCATCTTCACAAGTATTTAATTGCTTGTGCCCATCCATGGGAGTACATCGTACTGTGATGTGGACACCATAGAGAAATCCACAGGCTGTGGGACTGCCAGGGCTAGAGAGGAATCCACTGGCCATTCTGACTGCTCATTTTACAGGCTCATATGCTGTCACACTGCTAGGGGATGTCCTGAACCTGAGCATGGTGCTAATACACCACACCACACATCACCCTAGCAAAAACTGACTGAAGGACACACACCACCCAACTGTGTTTACACCATCATATGCAAAAGATAAGGAATGCTCAAATTACTCCACATCTAAACTTTCATGTCGAATTCAGGATGCAGCAATGTGGGTGCAGAGCAGGACAACTAAGTCCATCTCATGTGGAAAGGGCAGATTTGCACCAGCTGTGCATAGGGTAAGACTGCCCCAGAACACTGAGCATCAACTATCTGTAGGCAGCAGCCAGCAGTGGCTCTTACATGGAGCCTCAAGTCCATTTCAAGCACAACACATAAGACCCTTCCTGTGTGGCATGAGACTGTGTGGGGACTGGAGAACCATAACCCTGAACAGCAAACTGTGAGGCAGCAGAGAACAGTGGTGAGGAGCTGAGGTCTGGAGCCAGACTGTGTTCAAATCCTGGTTCTGCCACTTACTTGCTATTGACCTTGGGTAGATTACTCAGATCTCTGGTGCCTCACCCATACAAATGGGGATGACAGTAACTAGCTCATAATGTTATTGTGAGGGTTAAGAGTTAAAATATACTGTACTTAAAATGCCTAGACTGGTGCCTGGTGTGTGTGTGTATGCAGGTACACACATATTCATATACACATACACGTGTATATATTTGTGATCATTATTCACAGTTCCCATTTCTGAGGGGAGAGCTTTAAAGAAGTTAGTGACTTGGCCACACAGTTCAAAAGTGGCAGATGGGAACGGAGCCCTGTCTTCTACCACCTTTCAAGTGCATCCTTAGCTCACAGATGAACCAAACCTACTGTCTTCTAAACTTCATATTTTCTAAGTTCCACTGACTGACACATGATTTTTAGGAACGCTGAGTGCAGTGCTGCCATGACACTAAGTTACTGCCACAGGGAATGTGACCCAGAAGACAGCTCCCTGCAGGCCCTCGCCTCAGCCTGACTGACCAGTGTGATCCAAAACACCATGAAGTTGCCTGTGGGGACTCCTCTTCTGTCTCCTCACAGGTGACAGACCCTTTGATCCTTAATGGTTTACTTCCACCCCCGTGCAGATTCTTTCAGAGTGGCACCTTTTCAAAGGCTGTCAAAATTATGATGAAAGATGGTAGATGTTCATTGCAGCATTATTCACAAGGGCCAAGATATGGAATCAACCCGTGTCCATCAACAGATGAATGGATTAAAAAAATATGGTATATATACACAATAGACTACTATTCAGCCATAAAAAAAAAAGAACAAAATCCTGCCATTTGCGACAACACAGATGAACCTGGAGGACAGTGTTAAGTGAAATAAGCCAGGCACAGAAAGACAAATACCACATAATGTCACTCGCATGTGGGAGGTCAAAAAGCTGAGCTCATAGAAACAGAGAGTAAAGTGGTGATTACCAGAGGCTGGGGGATGGAGAGGGGAGAATGCTAGGCAAAGGACGCAAAATTTCAGTTAGACTGGAGGAATAAGTTCCAGAAATCTATTGTACAACATTGTGACTATAGTTAATAACCATGTATTGTATACTTGGAAACTGCTAAGAGAACAGATCTTCGACATTCTCAGCACAAAAAATTATAGGTATGTGAGGTAATGGATATGTTAATTAGCTTGATTTAGCCATTCAACAATGTATACATATTTCAAAACACCATGTGGTACACCATAAACATATATAATTTTAATCTGTCAATTAAAAAAACATGTTGGAGTGACTTGACTGACCTATTAGTGGTCAGATCACAGAACACACAGAAAAGGTGGTCAAAACTAGCTCCTGTGCCAATCACCTGGGCAGCTCTCTCTCTCCTCCCACTCCCTGGCCTGCTCACACCCCAAAGCTCACTCCCCCAGACATGAAAACCCAGCTCTTCCTTAGCCTCCAGACCCAAACACTGGCCTGAGCTGAGGTCTGGGCATTCTAACTGAGCATCCATGGCGTCTTTACTACAGCACGCTCACAACCGAATTCACCTCACTCCACATCTGCCTCTGCAAACACACAAACACAAACACACACACACACACACACACACAGCGAGCCAGCGAGAGAGAGAGAGAAAGAGAGAGAGAGAGAGAGAGAGTTAAAACCTTGTTCCAAACACAGCCAGCCCCACCTCCAAACTTTTCAACCACTCCTGCTACCACATTCCCGCCACTCATTCTCAAGGTCACTCAGTGTCAAAGGTGTGCCATCTTCAACGCTCTCCCTTCCCTTCCACCTCTCCACTCTGAGGGTTCCTAAGTCTCGCACATTCTACCTCCTCAGTGTCTCTTCCATTTCTTTGTTCTCAGGCCTGATGCAGAGTAGACACTTTATGAATATTTGCAAATAGAAGTGAAAACCTCATGAAGAACACCTTCACCCTGGCCCTCACTCCCTCTAGCCAAGACTATAATAACAACCTCCCATTGCCACTTGACATGACTGACATGACTGCTTGGGCATCTGCTCCATAAACCTCCCATGGCTTCTTCCCTCACCTACTGAGTTAAGAAAATGCTCCCCAGCCTGGCATTCGAGGCCCTCCACTGCGTGCACCCAGCCGCAGCACCCACTGCCTTCTCAACTCCACTCAGATGGCACCTCTCACCATTCCCTAGCTACTCCTATGCTCCGCCTTCCTTCCTGCTGCTCTGTCTGCCTCAGCACCTGGGCCACCTGCTCGATAAGTAGTTTAAATAATGACTGAAGAGATTCTTTCATTCTACTCCATTCTCCACCCTGAAATCAATCTGTTTGAATCCTACATACCCAAACACAGCGGAATGAGAGTACGGGGGACTTGCACAATGTGTGCATCTAGCTATAGGAATTCCAGCTTGGAAGGAAAGAAAAATCTCTTCATTGACCTCAACAGTTGGTCTCTTCATTTTCTCTTAAAACTAACCTTAGGCCTCAGAAAAGGAGGCCTCAGTTTTAATGCAAAGGCAAACAAAAATAAGTGGATTCTTGGCTTGTGAACTTACGAGGGGCAGGTTCATTTGAGCTATCCACCAGCCTTGTAGCTCAACTTTAGACTTACACTCCTGGAGAAGATATGATTCCACCATGTCAGAATGGTAGGAGTAGGAGCAGGTTCTGATTTCGTTTTTGTTTTGGTGCATGGACAGAGATTGTCCTTTAACATTGTTTTACAATTTTAAAAATGGTTTGCAGAGATTGTGCCCTTCTTCAAGGCCTGTCATGCACATACCTCTTCTGTGTATCCTCTCCTACTCAACGGAGAATGCCTCCTTTGAACTCACATGTCACACTCCTATTTCGTATTCAACAAATCCCACCACCTGCCAAGCTCCCTGCTCTCTAAGGGTTTTATGTGAATCCTGCCTTGAACTTTGGTTATTCGTATGTATGTCTTATGGGCTTTCCACAGGACTCTTCCCAGGGCCAGGGACTGCCACCTTGATTCTCTGTACGTGCTGTGCATGCAGTGCCTTGTACATAAAAAATACTAACATACTGGCTGAATTGAACTAAATTTAATATTTTGCATTAAAATGCTCATTTTGGGCACAGGCATTTCACCACTGATTACTGCTACATTCTGCTTGATCTCATCAAGAAATCAGCTAAGAATGCAATGGTGGTTATGTTTAAAAACTGCTTATCATTAAAGATGCATACTAAAGTGTTTAACAGTAAAATGACATGATGTCTGGGATATACTTTATACTCTTCTAGAAGAAAAAAGTGTGTGTTTTTGTGTGTGTGTGTCTGTGTGTGTCTGGTGTCTGGAATAGGGAAGAGAGATAAAATAAGATCAGCAAAATATTGATTATTGTTGAAGTTGGTGGTTATTTCTTCAACTGTGAATATTTGTAAATTTCTATTTTTAAAAGTTAAAAACAAACAACAACACACACTGTAAGCCCTCTCACAGAATACTGAGGCCAGTCCAAGTGCAGCATCACTAACGTTCTGAGAAGCAGGGATCTGCTCCCTAATCTGGATGCCAGGAAGGTGTCTGCTCATGTCCACACCATCTCCCAAGCTATGCACAGACTCCAAAAGAGTGACCCTCCCCTAAAGAAAGGCTTTAAAAATAATGGCTCATTAGACTCCTTTGTCACAACTTTCAAAACAATAAAAAGCCTTCAGAATCACTGGCTAATTTGTAAAAACAAGTATTGTGGGCCTACTATGTGCAGGAGACTGATCTAGAGATTTTCATACAAAATACCTCCTTTTACTCTCATGACAATTTTGTAAGGAAGGTATTATTATCCCCATTTTACAATAATAATGCTAAACAACGAGCATTTATCAAGGGCTTTCCATATGCCAGGCACCACACTATATACTTTCCTTGCATTTTCAATTAATCTCCATAACAACCTTGTAAGATTGGTACTATTTTCATGTACATTTCCAAATGAAAAACAAACAAAAAGCAAAAGTTAGAGGAGCTAAGTTAGAAGACTAAGGCCTTGCAGAGTGTGTGAGAGCAGAATTATAGGACAGGCTTTGGCTCCGTGGCCTGGCTCCTACTATGATCAAATTGTGCAACCTCCTTACACACCAAGGTTATTAATCTTTCTCAAAGCCTGCTACGTCCCGGAAGACAAGAGTGATGACAACAGCTGAAGCACTAATCCTGAACTGTGTACAATAGGACCATGTTCTAATACCCCCTCTGAAACTTAGTTAACTTGGCACAGCTAATTACATGAATGGCTGCATGCACCAGTTAGAAGAAACAGAAGGAGTACTCAGCCTGTGCTGATGACAGGGTTTTATTATTTTGAATTGGGTAGGTACTTTAGAGGCAGCTGAGCATATTGACCAATCGTCAAAATGACACCACGATCACCATTTGTATAACAATTAAATATTCACCGACATTTAATGAGTGAAGGCTACAAATAAGGAGCTATTGTTGTTGGGAGGGGGTGGGAGGGGAGACTCATTACCTTACTGTGGCAGAACCATTATGAGGATGGATGGAGCACTAGCCATTTCAGAGCAATAAAAATAACATCATTTGAATGCAACATCTATGCCCTGCACCCAAAGAAATACTCATGAAGGGCCAGGCACGGTGGCTCACACCTGTAATCCCAGCACTTTGGGAGGCCGAGACGGGCGGATCACCTGAAGTCAGGAGTTTGAGACCAGCCTGGCCAACGTGGCGAAACCCTATCTCTACTAAAAATACAAAAAAAAATTAGCCGGGCATGGTGGCAGGCGCCCTGTAGTCCCAGCTACTTGGGAGGCTAGGGCAGGAGAATCGCTTGAATCTGGGAGGCGGAGGTTGCAGTGAGCCAAGACTGCACCACTGCACTCCAGCCTGGGCGACAGAGCGAGACTCCATCTCAAAAAAAAAAAAAAAAAGAAATATTCATGAAGTTTTTCTTTCTTCATCCTCATTTGCTCCTCCCAGAGAAGGAAAAGTGAATTACTAGCTTTGAGAGGGATGAAAAGGGCTGGGTGTGGTCAGCTCAACCCCTTTCTCTAGCTCCTCTTAGGAGCAGCTGCTTTTAGGACACACATGTTCCTAATTCCTCTATGCTGGGCTCCTCCATGCCCTAAGACAAACTCTTAGGTCTTAATTGGTTAAGAACTTGGTGGGGAAGACCCTCAAACACTAACAAATCATCATCGCCACCACCAAGAAAATGCAGTGAGCATTTAAGAGCCAGGCACTGTACTAAGCACTTTATATGCATTATCATATTAAACCAGGAAACCAAAACTTACTTGGAAATGTTCATCGACACACCCGAGGCAACATACCTAGAAGGAGGACTAACACATGTCTCCTGACTCCAACACTTGGCCACGTGCACTTCTGCCTTCCAGAATAATCTTGGACAGACAGCTGATATTAGTTATCCTTAAAAAACCTACAGGTCTAAATCTTATCGCCTATAAATGGCCCAGAACTCTAAAGTTTCTACCAAGTACTTAGCAGATTAACAGCTCTTTTAAATAAAATAATTACCTTCCTTGCTGGCACACTGCTGAAGAGGGGCCAGTCCTTCAGTGGGGAAGAATGCAAATCAGGTTCTTAAGACTGAACAGCAGAACTCAACTCTGCCTCCTCCAGCTCTTATATCCAAAGCCTGTGGAACCCCTTCCAATTAACGCCACAGAAGTCTGGTACTTCGGGCAGAGTTCAACCATGAACTGATTAGTATCCAACTCTTGCCAAAGGCTCATTTAAGACATCTGATAGCAGAAGGAGATGGCTTAATGTGCAGATTAACTAGCCATTCTGCTAGGTTCTCTGTTTTAGACATATACTAAATTGGATCAACACAAAGCATCATTTGTCCCCCATAGTAATTGAGCTTCTTACAGAAACCCTTCACACACTTAAGATTTATGTCCTCAGCTTTTATAGAGGGTGGATATAAGAAACATCCATTTAAACCATCATTTAGGGCCTTTTGTAAAAGAACAGTTGAAAGCCCTGTCTATTATCTTTTCCAATGCCCCAAAATGAAAAAGCACATGATAAATTCAATGCCAAGAGAAAGTTTGTCTTGCTGAAAGAGTTAATGTTTTCCTTCCTCAGAGGAGAACTGTATAATCACATCTTTTTTTTTGTCTCAACTCTTCAGAACTTCAGAGGCAAATTCAGTGCTCAAATATAATAACTAATTCATACCAACCACCTTGCAATATCTATTCTTCTTTTACCCTTTTGATCTTGATTTTATGTCTCCTGCTTTAAACTGTACCTCATTTTGCAAGCCAACTTAAATCTTTTTTTTCTTTCCCTTTAAAGTAGGACATACATTCTAAGTAAAAGAGGTTTTTTCTCAACATCTAAAACATTATCATGATCCTCTCAGTGGCTGCAAGTGCTCTGGACTTGCCAGGCCCATTCATGTCATTGCCCCGTCTTCCTGCTTAGCACAGTGGAACTCTAGAAGACCCCAATCAGCTTCAATCCCCTCACCTAGCTCAGTACACAAGCCCCAAGCAAATGAAGACAAGAACTACCCAGCTCTTAGGACTATGCTCTGGAGTTTCAGGAATGAAGCTGAGTCCCAAGGCCAAAAATATTTTCACATTGAACATTTAATGCATATAAGGTCCTTAGTCCAGTGCCTGGCACACAGTAGATGCTCAATAAATGGTAATTATTCATTTTAATCTGTCAAGTGGCAAAACTGAGTTTTGCATTTTACCTGTGTAGCAAACCAACTCTCTCGAAAACTTTTCTGTGACAACATTCCAGAGTTACATGACCTAAGACCACCTATATCAACAGAGTGCTTGTCAGGTTGTCTGTCTATCTTTTTTGGTCACTTCTCGGTTACCTTATATTGGTCCCAAGTTGTATGTGGTATGGTATCCGTACGCATATACATGCACATTACATATCTAGAGACAACCATGGAGTGTCAGGCCAGGCTCACTGGCTTCTGGACAGAGTCCAGCGGGGAAGTCTTTGAGAAGGGTCTGCTGCTATGCTCATGCCCTACCCGCTCCTGACAAGTGTCCAAGCAGCTGTAATGGTCTGAGTCATAGGCACAGGGAAGGAGGAGAAGTCTTAAGAGGAAGAAAAAAAAAAGAATGCAATTGTTTTTCATACTACTCGCTCTTTCGTTAGGTTTACTCAGGGGCAAATATCTCTGAATATCCTAGGAGTTGAACATTACTGCTTTCTTAGCAATTCTAGCTTTCCTATGCACATATTTTAACAAAATCCATGTGTGGGTACTGGTTTATTTACCCGTTCAGCTAATATTTATTGAGTGCTTATTACATGCAAAGCAGCAGGGAAGGTGCAGGTTCTGTATCTGTTAGCATCAGTCAGGAAAAGCACACTGATGACTTTCACAATGGTAGTAGCACTCCAAAGGAAAACAAATGACGGGATCCTTTGGATAGTAACTGAGCCTTTTCCACAATTTAGTCTCTTTATTTCTTTTCACTCTCTGGAGAACACAGCTACCAACAAATCCCTTCCAGTTAAAGGAGCCCATTCCTCCTAGAGCTCCGCTCCTGTTGTCTGACAGTCCCTGCATCTCCCCCCGGGTATGCCGGGATCAATGCACACGTACTTCAAAGAAGCCTCAAATTGGAGTGCAAGCAGCACTTTCAATTAAAAAAAAAAAAGTCCTCGAGTTGGGATTCAGAAGCTGAAGGGGGAGCGGGTACGGAGAGCCAGTGCTGGGATTTGACAGCACCATACAATACACTAAGGATCAGAGCTGTGAGACAAATTCAGCTCCAGAGATGAAAAATCTTCTTTTGGTGCTGACAACATCTGTTTTATTTTGAAGGTTGCTAAGGAGAGTTCTAGCTGGGCCAACATTGTTCCAGTTCAGTACTTCATAGTGACTCTCTTGCATGGGGTTCAGACGGCAGGAATAAAAAGCTTGCCAGATAAACCCCGCTTCTTTTACTTTTCAGATATCAAAGGATTACTTTGCTAACAGGGCTGATGAACACCCTGCCTCGTCTCCATCGGAATCGGATTGTCCCTTCCGCTTACTCTCATTGCTCTTCTTCTCCCTGCCCCCTCTGTCTCCACTGGCCAACTCCCCATCTTTGCCAAATAAAGGCTTACTGGGGAGGAAAAAAAAAAGGAGAGCGAATATGCCACTAACCCAAGAGAAGATTTCCATGCAGAGATAAGGAATAGATAAGTATGAGTTGGAGGTCATAGCAGAAGAATCAGACAAAGGAGGAAATGGTTTCCTGGCCTTTAAAGATCTGTTTTGCCTGCTAATAATCAGAGCAATGCCAAATGCCTTTATCAGGGCTCAGGCACTCACGGACAGTAGAGAGATCAAAACAGGGGGGAATGTGATGAAAGGCCTGTCCCATCTCTGTAATAATGGAGGTGGGGAGCGAAGCTTTCCACACCCAGCTTGACCCCATCCCTCCTTTGATTACTTGCAATTACAAGACATAACAAAAATTAGGAAAAGTTAGTGTACATTTTGCCCAGAGGGCAAACATTTAGGGAAAAAAGAGGTAGGGGAAAAGGAGCTTAGTATAAAGTAAGAGGACATGCCAAAGATCTCCACATATACGGCAGGTTGTTATAAAATGGGTGGCAAGGTGCTCAACACTTGAGAGCTACTCTGCTCCTCCACTGGGGAAATTACACCTGGGGTGAGAGCGTCCACAAAACAAGCCTATAGAAGCAGGCGGGCCCTTTAGTTGTAAGTGGTATATACAGATATATTGTGGGATTCCAGGGCGTGACGTGAAAAAAAAAATGCTTTCTAATAACTGAAGGAATTATCTTTCTGCATTGGGCTTTGGAAAAGCACCAGCTCCTGCCAGGGAGCACCTAGGAGTCTAAGAGAAACAAAGGAAGAATGGCAGTGTTCTCCCTCCAACAAAGATTCATTTCAAAGAGCCATTCAGCAGTGCCCTGACCCTGCAAATGTCGACAACAAAAGGAAACTATATACTCTCAAATGAGGGTATTGAGACAACTGAGGCCACATTATCTAAACATTTCCCTTGTCTGCCAGATTCTATTTCATCCCCAGCTTGGGATCTATCTGGGCCAAAGTATGCATGAACCAATAGAAATAATGTCGAAGTCATGCAAAGCGCAGAGCCTCCTGAGATAACTCCTTCAGATAACTCCGAGGAGGGGTTAAGCTGAAGAGGTTAAGAGTCATTCTCCAAACCACTCACCTAGCCAGGTCACACCCACACCAGCTGGGGAAGACACGGCCTCTGCCACTTTGTGCCAGCTCCTGTTGTGTCCGGGTGCCCACAGGGACACGTGGCAGTAATAGTAGCCAGAGTTTTCTTTGCTAACATCCCGAACCAGTAAATGGTAGGAGCGTGCATCCACATGACTCAAAGCAACATGAGGCGAGCTGTGCACCAGGGAATCACGGTCAAGCCGCGCCAACACGCGGGAGCCAGGTAGGGTGCTGTCAGGCATCCTGCTGAAGGACCACGTCACCTCGGGCCGGACGTCATCGGCTCGGTCTGTTGTGATGTTACAGGTCAGGTCCAGTTCCTTTCCTTCAGCCACAGACACATTCTTGGGCACAGCTGCTCGCAGAACTTGAAAATTAAAAACAAATACATCTAGGTAATCTGATTATGTTTGCCCCTTCTATTCTCCACCCTCTTTAAAGCATCTCCTTTTAAGTTCTTATTTACAGCATTAAAGTTAGAAGGCTTTGTACAGTTGTAAGTGCTTGAGAAATATTTAATGAATAAATTAACAGAACATACCACATTTCTTCTTATTTTATAAAAACAACAATAGCCGCAAACATTTACATATATCTGCTATATATGCCAGGCAGTGTTCTGAGTGCTTTACATATAATAATCCTCAAAACAACCCTAAGAGGCCTAATTTTACTGATGAGGAAATTGAAGCACAGAGAAGTTAAGTAACTTGCCCAAGGTCACACAGCTGATAGGTGGCAGAGATGGAATCCAAATCCAGGCTATCTGCCTTTAGAAACTCTGCTCTTCACTGTTATGCTATCTTTTGATAAGCAGTCTATTGAAGACTGTAAAACTAAAATTATACATTCTCCATGTGCATGATGAAACTTGGGTGATTTTACAGAAAAGGAAGACTTGCTTCTGACTGGTACATATTGTTAGCTGGGGGCTAGGCAATAAGGCAGCAGAAGTGAGGGTGAAACTGTCTAAGGGATAAAAGGGAAAAATCCTAAACAGAAGGGCCAGGAAAGTGAAACCAGACAATTTTCCTTGAGTCAAGTCTTCAAAATGTAATGTACTGAGAGTATAATTTATTTCTTAGACATTCCCACATAAAAGCCAATCATAAAACATATTCTAAAACTAAAACACGATGATTTTTGGATTATCTGCACTACTGTCCTTTCTCATTAGTGTGGATAATTAAAAGTAGACTATATTTAGATGAAGCACTGAAGTATTTGGTGTCACAGACTCAAGGCAGATCTAGTTCCAGCATTCCCCTGTCAAAGCTTTCACATGGAAACATTTTATTCTATTCAGAAGATTTTAAAAGAGCATCTGTAATCTGAGTAGAAAAACATCAACTTGTGAAATGTCCGGGAACAATTACTTAGATGACAAGTACCAAGCACTTCCCAGGGGATTCAAGCAGAGGCACAGCCCTGGCCTTCTAGCAAGTCGCTGGCATCAACGGCATGGCGCTGGCCCCAGTAAGCTCAGGGACCCAATTCAGAAAAGACCAACTCCAAAGCCCGTGCTCCTTGGCGTAAATTACTTTCATATGAATATGTCCAAAGCCTGACAATATTTCAAACAAATATTTCAAGTCAAGTTCAAGATCCAGCTAGACAGAAGACAGAAAATAAGGTGGGCACAGTATTAGAAAAGGCAATTTAAAAGTTCAATTTCTCCTTCCACCTAGTCTCCTAATTCTTTCTCTCGATCATCTCTTTAAAAGGGCCAAAAGTAGCCTGAGGGTATCATTTGTGAGGACTAAGTATGGAAACTGCTGCCCTGAGCCAGGCTCTGCAGTTTGAACCATTCTACAGTCAAAGCTTGTGGCCAGAAACCCTGGAATCCTGCTGGAGTCACCTCTGCCAGGACTTCAGCTACTGGAAGTAAAAGACGACTCAGGAGGGAGTCGGGTCAGTGACGAAGTACTTAACAAGCAGCTGTGGACTGTATGGATGGAGAAAACAGAGTCTCAGGTTCAGAAAATATTGGCAGGGATGTCTCTTCAGCTGTGTAGTTCACTTTGTAATTTTCTCTGTGCAAGTGGCTCAGTATCTTGTCACATCACTAACCAGAGGTCCCACACATTCTGGATTTGGGAGTTTACTGCTGAGAGACAGGATGGAGTAGGCTAAAGGGAAAAAAAGGACCAGTTCTAAGTATTTGTAATGAAAGAAGGGACCTCAGGCAAAGCCTGTGGTGGGGCAGGTTCTCTGTCCCTGAATATAACTAAATCCATAAATCAGACAAAGTTTGCAGCAACCAGACCACTCCCATGACAGGGAGGAGGGGCTGGGGAGGAGGCTCCCTGCCACATGGGTAGCACAGCTTCACTCTGCGCCATTTATCATAACAATGTGATAAGAATATATAAGCAGCCAGCTATGGATAGTGCAGGTGTGGACAAGAAGAGAAGGACCATCAGCCTAGTGTGACAGTTCTTAGCCTGGGATCCACAAAGAGAATTTAGAGTCTGTGAACTTGGATGGGAAAAAAACTCCATCTTTATTTTTATTAATCTGTACCTGAAATATAGCATCTCCTCCCACTGTGAAAGTAAGCAACAAACCAGTGTAGTATTACCTGTGTCTGGAACTACCCCAAATAGAAATCACATTACAGTTGCTGCAGATATCCTGAAATATCATGTATACTCATTACTATTCAGAAAGTACAGTTGTTAAGCCTGCCACTATCTTATTATCAATGCATTAATAAAGCAGCATATTACTACAAAATCAATTTGCTTTACAAGTATTTTGATAACGATTTCTATATAATTATTTTCCTTTGTCATCTTGTGTACTGTATTTTATGAATTAAAACATGTTAATTCTGAGAAAAGGTCTGTAGGTTTCAAAAGGCTGTCGAAAAGTCTCATGGCACAAAAAGATTATGAACCCTGTCTCATCTGAGAGCCAGATATTACCTGCCTAATAAGTTCAGTGTTCAAGTCTCTTAGCTAGATATTATAGGTCTCATGGTGTGTTTGAAACAAAAAATGTCTTTACAATTCAAATTCTTCCAAAAAAGCGTAAACTTTCTACACAGCTGAAACTCTTAAGAGTTGTTTGATGCAAGTTTAATATCTAGAGGTTTCTTAGGGCAGATTGCAGAGCGATCACTTCTGATCAGGAAGGTAACCTAAGTCCATCTGGAAAGCGATTTCTGCAGCCAGTGGAGCCCAGACTGACCAGTAATGAGCAGCTCCTCTCCTCAATGGCCATAGTCACTCAAGAACCTCAGACCTGCTTTTCCACCACCCACTTTTCCAAATCCAGGCTCTGTGCTGTGGTGTAAGTGCAGAGTAAAGAGCTCAGGACAATGCACCTTCAGAGACAAAATATTCCCCCTGCGTGTTGTTTCCTGCTTTCCTTCCCATCTGAGTAACAGAGCCACCACATATTCACATTCATGCTCAGGAAATGAGTGCAACAACCAAGGTCTTCCCAGTTTAAAAAACAGAAGGCAGCAGCAACAGCAGCAAAGTACTCTGAGATCTGAAGATGTCAGACTTGCAGAAAACCAAGGACATCCACTCATCCTGAGCAATGACATTGCCCTTCCTTGGTCTCTTTACACTGTCTCTGTGAAGCCTAAAGCTCCACAGGGCCTGGGAACAAGCCTCAAATACCTCTGACCCAAGGGCCCAGAACAGAGCTGAGCACACAGTAGGTCCTCCATTGATGCTGGCTGGACAATGAGTCAACAAGACCATGTTTTCCTTTTATTTTTATGTGTTTTCTAAAATGCATGTTGTATTTTCTTAATTACTTCTATAATTGCAGTAGAGGGTTTGAAAAAAAAAAAAAAAAAGCTGATTCACAGACGACAGGACAAAGGGCTTCTTGTACAGACCCCAGGACTGGATGCTCCTGTGGTCTGTATGATACAGGAAAGCAAGAAGCGGCCCTGCCCTAGAGAGCTCCTCCCCCTTCCAGGAAAAGCACATCTGAGGGGACCGAAAGGCAGGCCTAGAGGATACAAGTTAGATGAAAGGTTTTGGGATGAGCCAGGCACACACTCCAACAGCTGCAGAGAAAGGCACGTCAAAGGACTCAGGAAACATCAAACCCGATAAAGTTTAGGGGCAGGGTGTGGCACCTTCACCCCAAAGCTCCACTGAACACCAAGTCCTACCTAATCTGGCTGAGGGACCACAGCACCTCAACTCTGAGTGAAAGATCTGCCTTCGTGTTATGTGCAGGCTGTGGCTTTCCATGGACATGAATTTAGATAAAAGCAGCTGCGAAGCAAAACGACAGGCATCCTCAGCACAAAACAAATGTAACCCCGCCCACCTCCAACCTCTCAACACCCTACTCCCTTCACCCCTAAAAATAAGGCCTCACATGGGAAGCAGAAACAGTTCTTGTCAGAAGGCCATGGGGCTCCCTGGCCCGGTTCTTTGTATCACTATCATTAGTCACAAAATAACATCACCTATAACGCATCGTTTCCAGCTCACCTGATGGCTGGATCACCACGGTGGCAACTTCCACGGCCTTTTCTTGGATTTCCTGCCAGTTGCCCTGCTCGGCGATCCACTCGCTGACGATACACCTGTAGGAGCCCTGGTCGGCAGACAGAGCCCGGGACACTGAGAGGCGGTAGGCGTCGCTGCCCACGGTGTCGAGGCGCACGTCCCCACTGTGGTAGCGCTGCTCGTACCCCAGGCCCGGGTGGAACCTGCCCTCGTGGGTCAGGGCGAGGACGCTCCGCCTGGCCGGGCCGCGGTGCACCTCCCACAGCAGCGCCAGGTGCGTGTGCAGCGGCGAGGCGGAGGCGGCGGTGCAGCGCAGCTCGAAGGGCTCCCCCTCCCGCAGGCTCAGGCTCGGCGGGGGCCGCGCGCTGGGGCCCACGTGCAGGGAGTCGGCCAGCACTGCGGAGAGAGAAAGCTAGGTCAGTAGCCCGTCCACACCGACCCCAGCCGGCAAGGGCCAGCCCACCGCTGCAACCACAGACAATTTCCTCCTCCCTTTCCCATTCCAAGACCCGGATGGGCACGTTTTCCCAACTGG
The DNA here is from genome assembly GCF_000001405.40 of Homo sapiens. NCBI lineage: Eukaryota > Metazoa > Chordata > Mammalia > Primates > Hominidae > Homo > Homo sapiens. The sequence continues at coordinate 116,944,539 of NC_000001.11, read as the reverse complement.
ATTCATCTGTAATCTCAATTGACTTTCTGACTTGAAAAAGAAAAATAAAGGTACCAAAAAAACCCCATGCTAGAAGTGGGTGGTAAAAACTCCCTGTGGGAGTCGTGCCTTGGGGATGTGATGTGCTTCTGCTACCCTTAAGGCAAGTTACTTTACCCCTCTGTGCCTCAGTTTCCTAAAAGGAGGATGACAACTGGACCTTCGTCATAGAGTTGACATGAGAGTTAAGTTAAACAGGGTAAGTTCCCAGGACCGTGCCTGGCACTCAGCTGTCATGATAAATCATTGGGTATGACTGTCAAACATTTCTTTGCTTAGGACCAGGGCTAGGCTAGGGAGCCCGCAGAATCTGCAGATAAGGTGACCTTCTAGACTTAAAGTAGCAAGATCCACAGGGGAGAAAGGATGGCATGAGCTGCCTGTGGCTTGCAGCCTGGGGAATGCCCAAGAATGTCTAGGGTGAACACAGCATATCCACATGATAGGAACAGGCCCAGACACTTCTACAGAGTCTAGAAAAAGGGGACGGCGATCAAGGAAGTATGGGTGGTGTACTCAGGAAAAAAGCAGTAGATGGATACTGCTATTCTGGTAACCAGAAAGGGGGCCACTACCAAGCAGCAGGGAAAAATCTATCAGGCTTATCCATGAGCTGGCTAAGAGGACCCTCCAACACCACTATTCATCATCTGTTTTTTTTTCCCCCCAATTCCATATTCAGAAACTAATTCAGTGTCCTTGAGAAGGGGCTATTCTAGATAACATTTAAAAGCTGCTACATTTTTAGGAGGACACATCCTGAAGACCCATCTCTACTGCAAAATAAATATAATGACCTTCTAGTATATGTATCAGTCTGTGAGTCTGGCTAATATGACTCAGTTCTCAAGGCCAGCTCATCTCTCAGAGCACAGATGAATAGTTTCAAGAGCCATGAAGCTGAAGGCCGGGCAGATCCTGGACCACACATGGCAACCATCAGAGGCTCCACCTGGGCAGCAGTCAGTCTCTCTCATGGTCATCCATTGCTTTCCTCACCCAAGAAAGGCCTCCTCTTGTGTCTCCTGCCTTCCAAAGACAGCAGAAGAGGCTGAAAGATACTGGAGGAAGTGGGGTGCGGGTGGGGGAATTCTCCCCTTACTCTCCCTCCCACTCAAGAGGAGACTCCAAGGGGATACAAGGGGGCATCTGGCTTAATGAAAAAGTGGCATGTGGCAATATTTAGCTCCAATACAAGAGTGTCTTTTTCTAAATAACATGTTCTGAATTTTCTATAGGAATAAAGAGGTAGATGGGGTGTTTCATTACCTCCTTAATGGACAGTTTTATCCCCTGATGAGTCTAGTGAGGGAACAGTCTCTGAGCTATGGCAGGGTTCTACAAGTCATGAGGGAATGAATGCCTCAATCAACCCTCGCTTTTTATATCATCATGTGCATTTTCTACTTTCTGATAATTACATACATTCTGACCCAGACATAAATCCTTTTGGGAACAAGGCAGGGTACAAATAAATGCATAATTAAGTAACAATAACAACAATTATAATGTTTCTATTTTCTTAGCCCCAAATTAAAATGGTTTGTTCTTGCTCGTTTACTAATTAGCTGTGTGATTTTAGGAAAGTAATTAACCTATGCTCTTCCATTTCCTCATGTATAAATTAGGGAAATATTCTGCCCTATTTTGATTGGGTTCAGAGAATTGAATGTGTGAGTAAATCTAAAAGGACTTGGAAAATGAAACAAACAAACAAAACCCCCAAAACAAATCCCAAAACATTCCAGGTACATAAGGTGTAATATTTGCAAAGCTAGGTCAATAAGCTAGCAGAGACCACATTACATATAACACATAAAACATCTGGTACAAACAAGTACTTAAATCATGAAAGCCACAGAGAAAGACATGAACTTTGAAGTGCCTGTGATTCCCATAAACCTGAGCATCATTAACATGACCATCCCCTTCCTGTCACTAACCACTGAATGCTTACATGGCACTGCTCTAAGGCTTTACACCTGGTAACTCAGCTGTCCTCACAACCTTTAAGGTTACAGAGGAGGAAGCTGAGGCATGTAACATGCCCACAGCCATGCAGCTGACAAGTAGTAGAGCCAGCAACTGGACCAAACAATCACAGGCAACCTGGCTCCAGAGCCAGCTCTCCACCACCGCATCATGCTGCCTCCACCTCACTGGGCATAGGGTGGCTCAGAACCATACCGGAGTGAAGAGAAAGGGCCCTCTGAGGTCATCTGGCCCATCCCCTGCCTTTAATCAGATAACAATGATTTTTAAATTTTAAGACATGATTATTTAAGACATGATTATTCCCCTGGACAGAGGAGGGAGCAGAGCCTCAGAGAAATTAAGTCTCTTGACAAAGTCCACCACAGCCCAGGGGCAGAGAAAGGTCTGGCCCCTGGCATAACAAGCCCATGTGAGGACTGTACCTTTAACCTGCACTGTGTCCTCATAGTTTCCCTGGACAGTGGCATCTGTGCTGGGGGTTGAACATTTGTAGTGGCCTTGGTCTGAAGGCTGGACGTTCTTTATGTGGAGCTCCACGGCGTCGTTGGCAGTCCGCCTTAACAGGATCTCGCCCCTCTGCAGCCGCTCCTGGTACAGCTGGGCTGGGAACCCCACCTCCCAGGTGCTTGCAAGCTCCACAAAGCTGCTCCCCAAAGATGAGAAGCTCCAGTCAAAGTTTTGCTCGCTGGGGCCATCATAGTCACTGACGTTGCAGGGGATGACCAGCTCAGTGCCCACCACTCGAACCAGGGTCGCTGTGGGGACTCTCACCACACGCCCTCGGCAAAGAGCTGCAATGATAAAAGATGAAAGGCAGGTCTTTAATCACAGAAAGTCTTCCCAGGACAAATGTGGCAAACCTGTGGATGCTCCTGCTCACAGGCATGGCAGAAACGTGACAGCCAAACTACTAGGGAAAATGTATCTATGCAGAAGGTTAAGCCTAACCCTTAAATAATGAGCCAGGAATGCAACCTCAAAATGAGCATCTCTCACACAACCAGTTTCCCAGGACCAACAGGGAGGAAGATAAGCATTAAAAGCAGGCTAACTGTAAACCTCAATAGCTTCTTCCCTCCAGTTACTATTTAACACACCCTAACCACTCCATGTGATGTAAAAATATTTTAGGTTTTGTGTGAAATAAAAGGGCACAGCCAGTCAAGTGTTTACATTTCTGCCCAGCCATCAGCCCTCATCCCTAGAGACCATTCCCTGGGGCTCCTGAGACCTGATTTACAATGACGGATGCCAATTTTTAAATCCTAGAGCAGCCTGCTGATAAAATGATTTAACTCCTGTTATCTGACATTGCCTATAAATTAATTTTAAAATATGATGATTTTACCAAGTATTAATTTTCTATTTTCTGGCTCATTTCCTTCTCTACTCTTTGTTCTGATCTAAATTCAGAATGAGGATGTGGAAGCACAAAGGGAGAGAGGCAGGTTGGTTGCTGGGTGTTCTTAGGAATGCAGCAGCTGGTTGCCGGGTATAAGCCCAGTGGACACAGGCAAGACTTCACTGGTTTTCCCTTCCCTAAGAGTGTGCAATTCCCAGCCCTCTCTGGTAGGGACCCTACAACTGGCACCTGTGAGTCCTTTAAGATGTCTTCATTGCAATGAACTTCAGCATGATTTTGCAGTGTATTTACTACCTGTTTAGCATTTCAATTGCACCAAATAAACACATATAGCTCCTTTGTGATGTTCTTGCAATAACATATAAAAGAGAAAGCATGTCTGAAATCAAGGAGACCTAAGTTGCAATCTGAGAGACCTCTCTTACCTTTGACTTCTGCCACTATGAATTGGGACAAGGCAGCTTCACTGAGTTAATGAAATAAAATGTCTAGGTGAGAGTCTACCATGTAATAAGGGCTCCAGGAAATGGGAACCTTTTATTAATTTTGTATTTTTATCATTTGTTATAGGTTGAATTATGTCCCCATCCAAAATTCCTTGTGGAAGTTCTAGCCCCCAGTACCCCAGAATGTGACCATATTTGGCAACAGGGTTGTCACAGATATAATTAGTTGTGATGAGGTCATACTGGAATAGGGTGAGCCCCTAATCCAATACGACTGTATCCTTAAAAAGTGGGTAATTTGGACACACACATGCCCACAGGGAGAAAGCCACATGAAGATAAGGCAGAGATTAAGTGGATATGTCTACAAGCCAAGGACCTCCACAAATTGCCAGCAAGCCACCAGAAGCTAAGGGAGAAGCACGGAACAGATTCTCCCTCTCAGCCCTCTGCAGGAACCACTCCCCGACACCTTGATCTTAGACTTCTGGCCTCTGGCATTGTGAGGCAATAAATGTCTGTTTAAGCAACCTGGTTCATGCTACTTTGTTGCGGCAGCTCTAGCAAACTAATATACTACTGCCACTCTTTTTTCACTGGTTTAATTCATGTTTTGAAATTCTGGGTTCCCAGGAAAACGTGGGAAAGTTTGGAACTTCCTAGAGACTTGTTGAATGGCTTTGACCAAAAGCCTGATAACGACAAGGTCCCAGCTGAGGTGGTTGCAGATGGAGATGAGGAACTTGTTGGGAACTGGAGCAAAGGTGACTCTTGTTATGTTTTAGCAAAGAGAATGGCAGCATTTTGCCCCTGCCCTAGAGACCTGTGGAACTTTGAACTTGAGAGAGATGATTTAGGGTATCTGGTGGAAGAAATTTCTAAGCAGCAAAACATTCAAGAGGTGACTTGGGTGCTTTTAAAGGTATTCAGTTTTATAAGGGAAGCAGAGCATAAAAGTTTGGAAAATTTGCCTGACAATGTAATAGAAAAGAAAAACCCATTTTCTGAGAAGAAATTCAAGCCGGCTGCAGAAATCTGCAATAAGTAATGAGGAGCCTAATGTTAATCCCCAAGACAATGGGGAAAATGTCTCCAGGGCATGTCAGAGGTTTTCATGGCAGCCCTTCCCATTACAAGCCCAGGAGTGGAAAAAGTGGTTTCATGGGCCAGGTCCAGGGTCCCTGTGCTGTGTGCAGCCTAGGGACTTGGTGCTGCTCCAGCCATAGCTGAAAGGAGCCAATGCAGAGCTGGCCATAGCTTCAGAGGGTGCAAGCCCCAAGCCTTGGCAGCTGCCACGTGGTGTCAAGCCTGTGAGTGCACAGAAGTCAAGAATTAGGGTTTGGGAACCTCCTCCTCTATTTCAGATGTATGGAAACACCTGGATGAAAGGCAGAAGTTTGTTGCAGGGGTGGGGCTCTCATGGAGAACCGCTGCTAGGGCAGTGAGGAAAAGGAAATGTGGGGTCAGGGCCCCCACAAACAGCCCCTACTGGGGCATGGCCTAGTGGAGCTGTGAGAAGAAGGCCACCATCCTCCAGACCCCAGAACGGTAGATCCACCAACAGCTTGCACCGTTCACCTGGAAAAGCCACTGACACTCAATGCCAGCCTGTGAAAGCAGCCGGGAGGGAGGCAGTACCCTGCAAAGCCTCAGGGGCGGAGCCTGCCCAAGACCATGGGAACCCACCTCTTGCATTAGCGTGACCTGGATGTGAGACGTGGAGTCAACGGAGATCATTCTGGAGCTTTAAGATTTGACTGCCCTGCTGGATTTTAGAGTTGCATGGGGCCTGTAGCCCCTTTGTTTTGGCCAAATTCTCCCATTTGGAATAGCTGTATTCACCAAATGCCTGTACCCACATTGTATCTAGGAAGTAACTAACCTACTTTTTATTTTACAGGCCCATAGGCAGAAGGAACTTGCCTTGTCTCAAATGAGACTTTGAACTGTGGACTTGTAAGTTAATGCTGAAATGAGTTAAGACTTTGGGGGACTGTTGGGAAGGCATGATTGGTTTTGAAATGTGAGGACATGAGATTTGGGAGGAGCCAGGGGCAGAATTATATGGTTTGGCTCTGTCCCCACCGAAATCTCATCTTTAATTCCCACATGTTGTGGGAGCGACCTGGTGGGAGGTAATGGAATTATGGGGGCAGGTCTTTCCCGTGCTGTTCTCATGATAATGAGTAAGTCTCGTGAGATCTGATGGTTATAAAAAGGGGAGGTTCCCTGCACAAGCGCTCTTCTCTTTGCCTGCCGCCATCCACATAAGATGTCACTTGCCCCTCCTTGCCTTCCGCCACGATTGTGAGGCTTCCTCAGCCATGGGGAACAGTAAGTCCAATTAAACCTCTTTCTTTTGTAAATTGCCCAGTCTCGGGTATGTCTTTATCAGCAGCGTGAAAACGGACTAATATTCCTTGGCCTCTCAGAGTGCTGGGATTATAGCATTATAGCCACCATGCCCAGCCTACTTATGTTTCTTAAGGTAAAGGTAATTTCTGTCACTGGCAACTCAAAGAACGTTGAAATAATATATCACTACCCAGCAGTGACTAATTCTCTGAAGCCATCATTACCACAGTTCACAAAGAAATGAGGTGATCACTTTTTTACATTTAATTTTTGAGACAACCAGACAATTCTGAATCTCCCAATGAGATCTTCTAGAAGAAAGCATCATGGTGGAGACTCTTTAGAGGCAAAACAGCCTTGTGCTTAACCCTCTTGTGCCTCAGTTTCCTCACGTGTGAAATGGAGACCGTGGTCACCACCCTCCCTGAGGGCTGTGGTAAGGATTAAATGAGGAAATGTACTTACAGCACTCATGATCCCTGGCCTATGGCAAGGGGCTGCGGTTATGTGCTGAGCAGGCCACCTCTAGGATAAACCTGATCATAGTCATTCACCTTGCTTCCTTGGCTAGGTTTACAGAGGAATTTCCTAATGTGTTAATCTTTTCCATTCCTATCCCTTGTCAAGAAGCTGGCCAGGGTGGACAACCTACCCACAAGCATGAGACTGCATCCTTGTAAGGTCTCTATCTTTATCCTTAGTGATCAGAGCTTTAGAAACTGATTCATCTCCTTGTCTGAACTCTCCAATCCTTCCACAGGGCTGCCAAAATCATATTTTCCACATACAAATCCGATGTCCCTTCACTGATCAAGTCTTTAATGGCTCCTTATCACCTATAGGACAAAATCAACCCATCAGCCACCCCCAGTGCTGTCACCCTGGCCCCGGCCAGCACCCGTCTCATCTGCATTACTGCAGTGTCCCTTACTGTTCTCCTGGCTTCCATTCTTGTTCTCTAGTCTCAATACAGCAAAGTGATCTTTGAAAAATTTAAGTTGGGTTATATCTTACTCTGTTCAAAGGTCTCCAATCACTTCCCATCTCATTCAGATGAAAGCTGAAATCCTTATAGAGGCAATCCTTACAGGACCTGGCCGTTTTTGTTTCTTGGACTTCCTGTCTGTTCCTCTTCCTCCACTATACTCCAGCCATGCTCTGCTCCCAAGGTTTCACCTACTGCAACCTCAGGGCCCTTGCACATTTCCTCAACCCAGGACACTCTCAGACATTCATCCCACTAGCTCCTTCACCAGCTTCAGATCCATATTCTAATGTCACCTTCTCAATGAGGCCTTTCCTGAGCACCCTAAAGTGGCACATCCCCATTCTTGCTCCTGCCAAATTTTCTCCTTATCAATTATTACTAAAATACTTTATGAACATTTATGTTTTCACTATTATTTGTTTTCTTTTTCTTTTTTCCCCAGTAGAATGTAAGTTCCATATGAGTAGTGATTTTTGTTTTGTCCATTGCTGAATGACAGTGCCTAGAACAGGACCTGGTAAAATAGTAGTTGTTCAATAAATATTTGTTAAATGAATGAATGAATGAATAAAAGACATACAAGACCACTCATGATCTGGCTCATGGATACCACTTTAGCTTCATCTCCAACTGTTCTCCCACTCTCTGATGCTTCTATCCCACAAAACAAACATCTCTTCACTTTCTGGAAATGCCATACTCTCTGGTGCTTCATGGCCTCTGCTTTCATGCCTCCATCACCTGGAATACCCTCTCATCCATCTCTTCACCCTCTTGTAAGAAGCAGCTGCAGCACCACCTCCTCTGTGAAGCCTTCCCCAACTCCCCTAGGATCACTTAGGTACTCCTTCCTTCATGTTCCAACTCAACCTGCAAAAGTACCTTCAACATTGGCTATATGATAGCTCCACTGGGAAAAGTAAAGCAGATATGAACAGATGCTTGAAAGATCAAATTCTAATCCGAAAAGATATAAACCTGAGCACTGTCTTGCATGCAGAACTAGGATGTCCCCTCATCCATGCAAATCAAGATCTTAAATTTTGGTAACAGAATTTCAAATTGCCACCAAGCAATCTGGTATTTAGCACAGATTTCTTGTAATATTGTTAAATAACAGCTAATGATATTTAAAAATAAATATAACTTGGAAAAAATAGAGCATATGGCTCTTTTCAAATCAAAAAGAATATCTACATAGCCACATGTTGCCAATTTTTGTCAAAACCTTTTGTAACAGTTGATAACTGAGGGAAAAAGAGGAAAAGAAAGTTTTCCTCTATTTTTCCAAGTTCTACCAGTGTTTCAAACTGAAGGTCCCAAACACTTCTTTACCTGAACTGTATTAGTTTAGTTCCCCATAAAAATGCCGCTACTAAGTAACAATCTTGAATTATGGCTTCATTTGTTTTCAGGAGTCAATATAAGAAACCTTCATACGAAAAACATTTATCAGCCTTAAAAGTCCTATTGAGGACACTACTGGGTTGTTCAATGACACAAAAATTCACATAATAAAATTCCATTAAAATTTAATACCAGAAAAAAAAATACCTGTTGATGGACCATTGTACATTCTTTCAAAAAAACAGGAACTACACAGGTTTCTCTTACCTCTCGGGGCAGTTACCACAGCCTCAGAGTACCTTTGATACCCAAGACAAAATAAGGGCACTTTAACTATCACCTTCATGCAGTGTTTACGTATATGTATGTGTATTTCATTGGAAGTTGACTCAAATATTTGGGGGTGGTAAGCAGAGTTTAAATTTCAAAAGACCAATAATTGAGATTTCTACTTTTAGATTTTTGCTTTTTGCTATCATAGAGTAGCTAATATCAGATCACTCCCCACCCCCTGCCCCCACCCTCACTCCCACTACAGAAACCATAAAAGATAGATAAAAGCTAACTGAATGCAGTGGTGAGCAATCAAGGCAGCCAGGCTCAAGGGTCCAAGATCACAGAAAGATACTGAAGTGGACTCAACAATACCCACTGCCTTTTCTCTTCAGATATTTGCTATTTTTAAGTGGTGCAGGCTAGAAAGCAAGTAGAAGTAAGTAACTCAGAGCTTCCAGCACCTTGTGGGGCCAAGAAGACAACTGAAGTTCAAGGATACTAAGAAGGTCAGAGTTTGAGGAGCAAGATCCTACGAAAAAAAGGCAACAGCAGAGAAGTGAGCTTGACATACTACATTGTTTTCCCCTCAAGGTAACTGACATGAAAGATACATTGAAGGGTATGGGGAGGTGGTAAGTGGCTGAGAAGCTAAGCAGAAAATAAACACTAGGGGGCTAAAGGTTAAGTAAAATTTTTGACCATTTCACAATACGGGGAAACAAAAACTAGAATTCTGAGTCCACAAAGGAAGGTGGTAAACACTCAGATTCTCAGTTACAATCCTGGAAGGGCTATGCTCTTGGAATAAGAGCAAAGCGGAAAAAGCAACTAGCTCTCATCAAGACTAAAAGACAGTCTCAAAGCATCTCAATTCCTCATTGGATAAAGATGAGCTTCTCTTACTCTACTGGCCTGTTAGGAAAAAAGTAAATCTTCTCAGATAGAAGATGACATCATACAAAGCCACTACAATTTTTCAGTGTTCAATTAAAACTTACCAGGTATTCCAGATGACAGAACCAAATAAACAAAAACAAAAGAGAAAAAATAAGACAATAGAAACAGACCTCCAGGGATCCAGATATTGGTTTTATCAGACACAGATTGTAAACTAACTATAATTAATTTACTAAAGAAATAGAAAACAGGATTTCACCCAAACTGAAATATATTGAAACAATCAAATTGAAATTTTAGAACTAAAAAAAAAAATACAATATCCGAAATTAAGAGGTCAATAAATAGGTTTGGCAGCAGATTAGATGCAGCACAGAAGAAGTCAGCAGCCAGGCACAGTGGTTCTCGCCTATAATCCCAGCACACTGGGAGGCTGAGACAGGAGGACTGCTTGAGCCCAGGGGTTCAAGATCAGCCTGGGCAACATAGTGAGACCCTGTCTCTAACAACAACAGAAAAAATTAGCCAGGCATGGTGGCACACATCTGTAGTTCCAGCTACTCAGGAGGCTGAGGTGGAAGGACTGCTTGAGCCCAGGAGATGGAGGCTGCAGTGAGCCATGACTGTGCCACTGTACTCCTGCCTGGGCAACACAGTAAGACCCTGTCTCAAAAAAAAACAAAACAATCACAAAAACAAAACAAAATAAAACAAAAGTCAGTAAAAGTTATCCAAACTGAAGCCCAGGGTATAAAAAAGAACTAAAAAAGCCAGACAAGAATCTATGAGACACAGTAAAAAGGCCAAACATATGTGTCACAGAGGCCCAGAAGGACAGGGAGAGACTGTAGTAGAATTAGGCATAATTTTTGAAGAGATAATGGCTAAGATTTTTCTTAAACCAACAAAAGACATCATGCCACAGATGCAAGATAAGATATGTATCATAAACAGAATAAATACAAATAAAACCACACCTAGGTAAATCATAGCAAAACTACTGAAAGGCAGAGAAAGGAACAGGAATACAACTGATGGCTAACTTTCAACGGAAATGATGCTCATGAGAAGACCACAGAATGACATCTTTAAAGTGATGAAAGGAAGTAACCACCAACCTAGGATTCTATACAGAGAAAAAAAATCCTCAAATAGGAAGGCAACATAAACATGCTTTCAACCAATTCTCAACAAGGGAAAAAGAATTAATTGCACCAAAAATAAGTACTAAAGGGGGTTCTTCAAATAGAGGGAACATAATCCCAGTTGAAATCATGGAAATGTGAGAAGGCAAAGTGAGCAACAGAAAGAATAACTATGTGGGTAAACCTACTGAATATTGACTATAAATACAATATTAGTAATGTCTTCTGGAATTCAAAATATATACATAATTAAAACATATGACATCAATAGCAGAAAAAGTGAGGGGAGGGGTGGAATACATTGGAGCTTAAATGTTGTAAGGTCTTTCATTATCCTGGAAGTGGTAAAAGGATCACTAGTAAACACTAACAGATCACTGATACGTGTTCTAATCTCTAGAGTAACCACAAAAATGAAAGACTGAATAACAAGCTAATTGGTGGGGGAGGGGGAGGGTAGAATAAAAAATACTTGATTAATCAAAGACCCCATAATTTCAGCTAAAATCATATAAGCATTTCTCATAGTATTTATTTCATGATGTATTCAGTTTGATTTACTATCAAGTCTCCCAGTCTCTCTCCACAACAATATTAGAATCGAGTAAGAGGAAGAATAATAATGTACAGTGTTTCTTACATGGCATGCACTGACTGACTGAGCCAGGCACTATCCACAAATTGTCTTAATCCACAGAAGACAACCATAAGGTAGCTATTACCACCCCTATCACAGATATGAGGAAATTGAGAATCAAAGAAGTTGAATAACCTCCTGAAGGTCATAACAGCTATAACGTGAGGGACTCAAACCCAAACTTGATAGTGCAGCATAAGCCAAAGATAGGTCGGATTTCGTTTGCCTTCAATTGCATTATATATTATCATCCTCTGTTGATTTTTTGTCTTTAATCTGAGTAGGAAAAAGAAACAGCTTAAAATTCCCTATATTTCATATTCTCCATGGGCAATGGAACCAAGATAGGCAGCAAAGTAACACAGAAATGAGTCACTGAAAGAAGAAATATTATATATTTTCAATGTGAAGTAGACAGATGAGAGAATAGAAGAAACTGGATTGTTAAAAATTTCTTCAAAAATTTTTCTGATGTACTACCTTTGTTATTTTAAGTGATACCAACTTTAACACCACGCATATTTATACTCAAAAATGGTGCAGAGAACTTTATTCCAAAATCATACAGGAGGGACTTTTAGAAGTCCTCTGCTCTGACTTCTCAGCAGTAGAAAATTAACAACCAAGAGTTAATTGTTTCCCGATTACCATTTCCCTACCTCTGGAATACTCAAGAAAGTAATTAAATGCCTTCGACTTTCTTCTATCAGGTGGAATCGATGGGGACAGGTAGAAAAAGGCAAGTTCTTCAAAGTAAACAACTACTCCTGCAATGTTTATTTAAATAAGTGCTATTGCCAACCATGAGGAATCATTAAGAAAGACAAGGCAATGAAGACTACACTTCATTTATCTATGCTTTTCCACCTCCTTCTGATATCCATGGGAAATGGATTTTATTTCTCAGGTTATCATCAACATTATTCTAAATCAAGACCTGCAGAGTATAGCATATTTGCTAAAAATTCTTGCAATTGTTTCTATTTCTGCTCAAATTTTATTATTTCACTGAGCTGCCTAGAAGCAAACAATCTGACTTTCCAATCTGAACCATTTGTAAGATAAGTATCAGCAGTTATTGAATCCAGTGGTACAGGTGAGTTGAAATGCTGAAACTAAAGAGGTTATGGTTTTCAGCATGCCTTGTAAATGGGTGCCTAATTCCCACTTCCCGAGTCCTTACAAGGCTTTTAGGAGAGACTCGGGGCCTATGGATTGCCACATGGAGTTCCCAGTCCACATATGAGCTAGAAATGAATGCACAGAAAGTCAAACTTATAAAACCTTATAGTGCCTTTATTGGAGTACCTGACTCAACAAATGAAAAACCTTTGTCTCCTCAAGTCTGCCACTGAGAGGTCTGACAGGAAAGGATCATGCCAACTTTCATCTAGACAGTCCCTAAGTCATGAAAATGCAGCAAGGCACATTAAACAAGCTATAGACAGCAGAGAATGTGTAATGAAGTCACATATGGCAGAACTTCAAAACCCCATCCAGAAGCAAATAAGGTTCTACTAGAACAGTGCTTATAATCATTAAAAAAAAAAAAAAAGAAAAAGTTCAGCTAAGACCTCACTGAGATACACTAGACAAATGTAAGATAAGATAACTCATTCAACACACAGCTACTGAGCAAAAAGTCCCTGTGCTAGGTGATAAGTGAGAGTGAAAGGTTAGTCAGCTTGTGGATCTTCTTTTAAGGCACGTATGGTATGCTAAGAGTCAGGAGGTGTGGAACAGTGCAAACTGTCATACAGGCTGTATATCCTTTATTCAAAACGTTTGGGACCAGAAGTGTTTGGGATTTCAGATTTTCAAATATTTGCATTCCTACCAGTTAAGGATTCCCAATCTGAAAATCCAAAATCCAAAGTGCTCCAACGAGCATTTCCTCCGAGCATGACCTCTGAGCAACGTATCAGTGCTCAAAAAGTTTCAGATTCTGGAGCATTTCCAATTTTGGATTTTTGAATTAAGGATGCTCAACCTGTATAAGGAAGGATATAAATAATCAAAGAGATGCACTAACAGGTGCCTCAGGGGTCAAAAGAGAATGAGGACATTTCCATCCAAAGGGATTCATAAAAAGCTTCATGCAGTGTCAATATTCGAATTTGGCCTTTGAAAAATGGTTGGATGAGGGGGAGGTTTAACAGAAGACATGAAGGAGGAAAGTGACCAGAGATAAGGGGTGTAGCATAAGCAAAGACCTAAAGGGGCCACGGGGGACACAGGCAGGTAGTGGTGAAGACAGGGTGACTAAAACAGTGTATCAAGAGCAGACTGGAGAGGAGACATGGAGGCCCAGAGATCATTCAGGGACCCTCTATCAATGGTGGGGAGAGGTAATAATAATGAAAACAAGGGCAATGACAGGAATCAAAAGGCAGCAGCTCTGAGAGCCACAACAGAGGAAGGGTCAACTGGTAGACCTGTGAGGGGAGACAGAAGCCAAAGGGAAGCTAATCACTGGTGAAATCTATTTTCTTATAGTAAGATTTTGACCAGTAGAAATGTCCACCGGACAGTTGGAATGGAAACCCCTAGAAGATATTTGAGCCTAACATCAATGTGGAGTCACATGCACGGAGGGAGTGGGGGGTAAAAAGGAAATCTGCCCAGCAGTGAAGACGTGGGAGTCGATGACACCATCGGGAGACAGATTACTGTATAGAAAAGAGGGAATGGGACAAAACCACAGCAAAGTCCTATGTTTAAGGCATGAGCAGAAGAAAAAGAGTCAGCACAGAAAAAAGAAATAGTAACCAGTTAGGAAGAAAACCAGGAAAGGCTTATGCCCTAGCAGCCAAGGGATGCAAGAATTTCAAGAAAGGGTTTGAAGTAACACTTACTGTTTCTTTATGAACATTACTCATCTACTTGCTCCTGGCAGACTGCAAGCTCCTTTAAAGCAGGAGCTGTTTCCTACCCATATCTGCATCCTGCACAATATCTAAAGCAGACTCCTACTATATGCCTTTGTTTGAAAAAAATGAACAACAATGTCAAACATGCAGAAAAGTCAAGGAAGGTGGGTGCTGAGAAAAGAGAAATGAACTGATGGCTAAGTAATCACTGGCAACCTCCAGGAAAGCGCATTTTCAATGACGGGTATGGGATCTGGAAAGTAAGAGCCAGGAGAGAAGGAACAAAGATGTAGGGAAGAGAAGGCACAACCATGAAAAAGGCACTGAAGCAGCAAGCAGGGGGTTCATCCTGCAAAGTCAGCCAGTCAGTCCCCCAAAGCACCTTCTAGGCACTGGGGACACATGGCCACCAGTCCCTGCCTGCAAGAAAACTGTGTTCTAGGAAAGAGACAGTGATGAAGTAGACCCACTGACAAATGCTATTCAGTTAAAATATGACAATATGAAGTGTGGTCAGGAAAGGCCTCTCTGAGAGGGTCATGTCTGAGTTTAGACCAGAATGACGAAGAGACAGTGATTGAAGCTCTGGGGCAAAACTGCTCCAGACACAGAACAGCAAATATAAAAGCACTGTGATGGAGCAAGCTTGGGTGTTTAAAGTACAGAAAAAAAAGATCACTGTGACTGATCACAATGAATGAGGGGGCAGGGGCCCTGGATTCTGGTTGAAATGGGAAGCACATCAACGAGAAAACGATAGAGCCTACTTTCTTTGTAGAAATTTCAGTCTGACTGCTGTGGGAAAGACAGATTATATGGGGCCAATTTGGAAGCAAGGACACCAGCATGGGGGAAGTTTCTGTAGACCAAGCAAAAGCTGATGAACACCGGCCTTGGTTGACAGTGGTGGTGACTCTCAGGAGTAGTCAGATTCAGGACTTAACTTGTGTATGAATGAAAAGACAAACTGACTTTTTGAATGTGGGGAATGAAGAAGAGAGCAATCAAGAATGATCTAGGCTTCTGGCTTGAGCATCTGGCATACAGGGTGATGCCACTTACTGAGACAGCAAAGTAATTAGAGGGAAGCAAATCTGTACCAAGGAAAGCAAGAGTTGTCTTCTGGTCATTTTAAATGTGAGGTCCCTATCAGACACCAAGTGGAAGTGCAGTGGAGTAGGCAGCTGGATGTTTAAGTCTGGAGCTCAGTGGGGAGGTCCAAGCTGGAGATACTCACTAGAGAGTCATCAGCACACACAGAGTATTTAAAGCCACAGGTTGCCTGGGGTCACTTGGGGAAAGAATACACATAGAGAGGAAAAAGAGCCAAAGATAGAGCCCTTACTTTTTTTCAGGTTAGACAGAGAAAAGGAGTAAAAATATTAAAAAGTTTTGAGGCAAAAGCTTGAGGTTTCTTTGGTCTCTATTGTCTCAGTAAAATAGTAGAAAGGAGTTCAGATGCTAAAGATCCTGACAAAGGTTTAGAATAAGCATCAGAAGAAATATAATAGGAAACCATCACAAAAGGAACACAAAGGAGAGCTGAGCTGCGGTAAAGATGCCAGGACTTTGCTGGAATCTCAGATGGGCAGACTTTGAGATTTTCCCCAGCAAGATAATAAAGTTCAGGCTTACAAACTACGATTGGTGTGAATTACTGAAATGTAATACAATGTGAGGTCTGGCAAAGAAATATGACAGAGGGTCCCAGGTTGTTAACAAGCTCACTGCTGAAATGCTGACCACCAGAGTCTACCCTGGATTCAGAGCCAAGTAAAGTGAGAATGGCCTGATGGACTGAAAAGGAAGAATGTTCAAAATCAGGGAATCACAATTAGGATGAAGAATAGGTTCAACAGATAGGAGGGAATCTGAAAGGAGTAAAGCAAGGAGGTTGTGGTCACAGAGGGAAATATCAGAATTGACAATCAAAAAGGTGAAAGAATACTAAGTGATGACAAGGCCCAGGTGTGGCCATTAAATCTCACAAAGTCTGTTATTTTTTCCAGGGGCTAAAATTATCATAGCAGGCACTCTCTGAGTCCTCGTTAGCCTGTGCCTGGCTACAGAAACACGAGGAAGGGGCAGTGTGACCAACAGGCCACAGGGGGTAAGAAGGGTGGTCCAGAGACTTAAATCTTGTT
Source organism: Homo sapiens (assembly GCF_000001405.40). Lineage (NCBI taxonomy): Eukaryota > Metazoa > Chordata > Mammalia > Primates > Hominidae > Homo > Homo sapiens. Next base: position 116,928,037 of record NC_000001.11, on the reverse strand, counting down.
TCTAATTGACATTTACATGGCAGTTCTGGCTCTAATGTTATCTATCCTGCCATTTATATCTGGAAATCTTCTTTCAGCCTTCATACGCATGTTCTCCAAATCAAACAAGATTAGAAAGGAGGCGACAAAGACTTTGCATTTCATCAGTACTGACAGGCTCTTCAAAGTCAATGCAACTTTTCTTAGTTTTTGCTGCCAAGACAACCATTACCTCCTGCATCACACCTGTAATCCCAGCACTTTGGAAGGCTGAAGTGGGAAGATGGCTTGAAGCCAATAGTGCAAGACCAGCCTGGGCAACATAGATCTCGTCTCTATAAAAAAAAAAAAAATTTAATTAGCTGGGCATGGTGGCATGTGCCTATGGTCCTAGCTATTTGGGAGGCTGAGGCAGGAAGATGGCTTGAGCCTGGGAAGCAAAGGTTGCAGTGAGTCATGATTGCACCACTGCACTCCAGCCTGGGCAACAGGGAACAGGTCGAGACCCTGTATCAAAAAAAAAAAAAAAAAAAGGTAAGCAAGGCAGAAAGACATACAGTGCCACCAACAAGTGAGGAACAAAAATGCACGGTACTTCTTCAAGACTGGATCATTAACTAACTGAATTCCTTCTTACTAGTAAAGCACTAGATCATATAACTATGACATTGCTTCCAGTTTTGTGGCCTTTGAGAGATCCTGGGAGGCCAGAACCATGTCAAACCTTTAATTCTACATTATGAAATTGTGAGGTTTTGTCACCTGGCTAAGCTGGAACTACATATCCCAGAATCCTCTTATCTGTGTAGTTCCAGGTTAGGGTTGGACAAAATAGAACTTCATGTCAGATTTGGGAGATGGAAGTCAAGCGGCAGCCATTACTTTGGTATATGGCTCGTGGTTAAAGGCAGTGTGGGACAGATGTGAAGGTGCTAGTAGACACCCGTTTGTCCTTGCTCTTTCTGCTTCTGTTTTCTTCCCAAATGCTATTCTTATGGACCAACATGACCCCAAGACCACTAGATGCTTGGCTGCAATCTCGGGGCTAAGTGATTACCCTTCTTCAGAACCCTAAACCAGCCCACTCTGCCTGGTTTCCAGATTCCTCTTCACGCTTCAACTTGTCCACCTGCCAGTGCTTCAAGACAGCTGACTAGTGACTTTTCCTTGATACTTTAACTCTCCTTTTTAGGCCTTCACTTCTCCAACTCCTTCCATAATTGTGTAAGGTCTAATTCCTCTAATACATGTGTTATTCCACAATATTTATAAGGGTTCTGCTTCCCTAATGGAATCCTAACACAGTAAACCAAGTATTGAGTAGACAATTTGCCCTTAAAGACTCAGTAACTGGCAAAAAAAAGACACCTTACATGCATAGCATTGCTTTATAGTTTGCAAATCCTGTTCATATGATTTAATATTCAACCTTGAGAGTATTAAATAAGGAAACTGAGGTTCCGAGAAGTTATGTGACCAAGCGATAATAAAAAAAAGATGCAAAAACCACTTAGAGGCAATCTGTACTGATGATTAACCAAAATAACTCAATAAACATGAAATGACTTAAACAATTCTCTGTCCAAGGACCAGAGATAGAAAAGGCTGAGGCAAGATCTATCCACAAGGTTTATTTTAGCGCATTCTATAAAATTAGCAGCTGCTAGAGGCCCAAGCACCGCTCAGCATCCCTCCCTGCTCAGCCATTTTCAATCCTCTCCACGTTCAAACTGGCCAACATCATCTGCCAAGTTCTGTGTGAACACCTGGTCCTCTTTTTAGCCTCTAGTTTAAGAGAATGGGAGATTCATATTGTGTTTAAACTTGCATATGAGCATAAAAGGCACCTGAGATAATTGGGGAAACTCCCCACCAACCCGACTCCCTTCCTTGGGCAGCTCTGTCCTCTCTCCCGTTATTTGACTGTTCCCTAGATCCACTGTCTGCTCCTCCTTTGCCTCATCCACCCCTCCTCCCCAACAACACTTTAAGCCTGCCCTTCTCATTTGTAGACACAGTGCTAGAAGCCATGGGTGATGAGGGGTCTATGCCGAGCTTCCCTGATGAGGCTCAGTAAGGAGTACAGTGTTGTTTAACAGTTTGGCTTGCAGGGAATTAAATTAAAAAAGACTCTGGGTTCACATGCCCTTTAAGGAACACTTTAACTACAGTCTGATACTTCATTCCTTCATTCAGTATTTTTTTGCTGCACGCCTACTGTGTGCAGAACCACATCATCACGGAAAGTTGATGAGCTAACACCTGGCCAAGCGTCAGAGTCGATAAAGATGAAACAGTATGTTGACTTATAGAAAAGTTGGAAGGAGATGAGTCCCCAATAAGATGAGGACCTTTTAAAACATCAAGTAAATAAAGGAAAGGAGGGACCTCCAGCTTTTTAGGGAAGGCAGAATCAGGAAAAAACAGACAAATTCATCTATGATGTTAGACTTAAGCTCCTTCAGGTGACACACAGGCTCTTTACACTCAGGACTTTCTCTCCAGTCTCAATCCTTTCCCTCTAAATGACCCTACAACTCAACCCTCCACACTAGCTGCAAAAAGTCTTCCTCATTTATTAAAAACCAATATCCTCCTATGAATGGTTTTATCTTTTTTTTTTCTTTTTTTTGAGAGGGAGTCTCTCTCTGTCGCCCAGGCTGGAGTGCAGTGGCACAATCTCAGCTCACTGCAACCTCTGCCTCCTGGGTTCAAGCAATTCTCATGCCTCAACCTCCGAGTAGCTAGGAGTAAATGTATGTGCCACCATGCCCAGCTAATTTTTGTATTTTTAACGAAGACAGGGTTTCACCATGTTGGCCAGGGTGGTCTCGAACTTCTGGCCTCAAGCGATCCGCCCGCCTCAGCCTCCCAAAGTGCTGGGATTACAGGTGTAAGCCACTGCGACAGCTGGTTTATCGCTTTCTCTGTGCTCTTCCCTCTGCCTAAAGTAAACTACCCACCCCTTCTCTGCCAGACAAAAACCTACTCATCATCAAGACTTAATGAGTTCAAATGAGTCCAGCTTGCTGAAGGCTTTCCTGATCCTTCCCCACCTCAGCCCCCAGCTCAGGCAGAGTTTAGAAGGTGCCCACTGCGGGTCTGCTTGCCACCACGATCACCTGGAGCCAACTGCCTGTCAGCCTCCCTGTGAGACTCTGGAGGGACTGCTCATCACCACACCCCCAGCCCAGCAGCATGCCTGCTGATGCAGTGACTGTGATCACTCCTATCTCAATGAGCTTCTGGAATGTTAGGGCCAGAATTGATCTTTGGATCGTCATCCAGGGGCTTAACAAAAAGTACATAATCTCATTAATTTCAGAAACAGCCCTTCATCAGTGAATTTTCAAAAATAGCCCTTCACCAGGCTCAATACAGAAAGCGCAGAGCATGTGGCTGGGGCAACTGTGACACACAGCGTCAATCAAGGGACCAGTTCTCAGCACCTTGGGAAGTGACACAATCTCAGGATTCTAAACCCCAAAACTCACCTCATCAATTTTACTTACACTCTTCTTTGGGGCTAGTAAAAACCAACTATCTGGGTGCTCTGGATCCTTACAAAAGTCCCCAATCCAGACATGGCACTAATGCCTTTAAAACTACATGCAGGTTGGGTGTGGTGGCTCACGCCTGTAATCCCAGCCCTTTGGGAGGCTGAGGCAGGTAGATCACGAGGTCAGGAGTTCAAGACCAGCCTGGCCAAGATGCTGAAACCCCATCTCTACTAGAAATACAAAAATTAGCCGGGTGTGGTGGCAGGCGCCTGTAATCCCAGCTACTCGGCAGGCTGAGGCAGAGAACTGCTTGAACCTGGGAGGCGGAGGTTGCAATGAGCCGAGACTGTGCCACTGCACTCCAGTCTAGGCAAAAGAGTGAGACTCCGTCTCAAAAAAAAAAAAAAAAAAAAAATACATGCACAGGTAGAGACGAGACATAGGTAGTGATATAAACAGGTACAGGGGATCATACTTACCTTTTCTGCAAAAACACCTCTGCCTAAAGTACTCCCAGAATGCTCTCCCTTTTCTTTAATGTTCAGTTTGTTTCCCCTTTCGTTTAACAATCCTTGGATGACACTTCGTCCATGCCACCTCTCTTCCTGTGTGTGTGTCATCCTCCACATTTAGACTGGTTGCTGGAGGAGTCAAAGGACTGTGTCGATCTATGTTTTTAGGTGCCCCCAGATCCAGAATAATGCTCGACATGGGGCAGATAATAAATAGTGGTTATTAACTACCCAGTGAGACCAGGCCCACGCTACAGGCGGCAGTACTACTGCCCCTTTGCTCAGATGTGGCTCAGTGTGGGCTGCTCCCTAGAACAGTGATGACAAGCAGATGATCCATGGTTTGAATGAACCCAGCCACGAGGCACTCGACGCATACACTGGGACTGAAGAAGTCTGCTTCTCTAGACTATGACCAACCAGGACGAAGCCCAAGAAGGGAGCCTATGCCATTCTGGGGTGGAAACGGTTGTATCAATCCTGCAAAGGGAAGGGGTGGAGGCAGTGGAGAAACAATAATGAGAACTCATGAGTCATCTGTCTTCCACCCAAGCTGCCAAGGAAAAAAACGAGAAAATCCACAGGAAGAAGAATGGAGACTTTTCTCACCCCTTCTTTAACATGTATAGATTTCATTTTTTCCTACTCTACCACAAAAACCTGTCTTAGAAATGAAGTCACACGCAATTCTTTCCAAACAAAAGAAGATAAATAAGCACACATAAGAAAGATAGTAAAAAGGACACATAGATATCTTCTGCCCCTGTTATAACTTAACGTCCACAATTTTAAATATATATAATATACACACCTTATAGGCATTTTTCTAAGCACATACATTAATTCAATTATTCAAAGATTCAAGTTCCTACATGCTGGGGTAAGCAAAAACAGACATGATCCTGCTTTCGAGCTGCTTACGGTTGGGTGAGACACACAAATGCTCATCCTAATAAACAGATCATCACAAACCGATGGCTGTGCTCTCAAGGAAGGTGGCTGAGTGACAGCCCATCACCAAGAGCTGACGCAGGCTGGCCCATGCTGTAGGCGGCAGCGCTCCTGGGTCCAACATGTCCTCATTTCACTGAGGAAATGAGGCTTTACTTGAAATCCAAAGAATCAAATAACTGGAAATAATTCCAAGACAAATATATAAACCAAAGAAGGTGTTGTGTGCATCTATCTTCCAGTCGTTTCTAAGGACTGGTGGGAGGGGTACTTGGGAAAACCTCAAGAGGGGTCACCAACACTTGATTATGTGCTCAGTTTTCACACTTCTTTGTCTTGAGGCCCAAATGCCTTAAATGAACATACTGGACAGAAAGCAGAGCTTGCCTCATCACTGCTGTTTTCTAATGACCCAAAGTCACATCCTGCTGCATGATAACTACCTTTCAGCCTGTGGTGTGAGCTAACTCGGTGCTGGAATGTGGGGTCCCTGAGGGTACCACTGGGCAGCATATGCCACCTTGCTACCTCTGTGGCCCTCCCTAGATGGGCTAACAAAGGTACCTTCCCCAATTATTTATGAGCCACGTATGACACTAGGCTTCCTGGGATTCATACTACTGTTTCCGCTGAAACTTGTTTGTGGGATAAATGGTAATGAAAATAGGACTCCGATGAATAGATCACATGATTGCATAAACCTTGTTTCCATAGAAAACCAACTAAAATTCCCATCATTGCTCTAAAACTTATGTGTCTCTTATCAGGTCATAGTCCTTTGAAGAAATGCTCTGATAAACTATCTGGGGGGAACATCAGTAATTGTTTTGTGAGTTGTTTTTCTTATAAGAAACAACCAAAAATAGGATTATGGCCTGACTTATCACCTTAATTTAGCAGGCTGGCTTCCTGTAAGCTCCAGCGGACCTCTCCAGCCTCACACATGCCGGCTCTTAGCTGCTCTGTGGGCGCTGGTGATGCTGCCAACATCTTTCAGGGTGACTTTGCTCACATTCTTCTCCACCAACCTCCCTTCCCCAGAGTTTAATATCCACGTCCCCTAAGGTCTCTATTACTTTTCCAGCTGAAGTTAGCTAATCCCCAAATGGGACACCAACCTGTACACATTTATCTACTCCCACCTCTGAGAAACCGTACTGCCCACTTTCATACCTGAAATGCATTTCCTCCTGCTCCTGGCTCCCGACTCTCCAGCCCCACCTGCTCCATGGAACTTTTCAATAATAACAGCCCCTGGCCTCAGTTTCATCTCTATAATTGTGACAGTCCCATATGTACAGTGATCTAATAACTCATTCACCCAAGCCTTTAAAAAACACCTATGATCCATTCTGCCATTCACTTATAACTGGTTCCATTCCATTTTGGACTTTGTAATCTTGCACAATGTCAGAAACAGAGTCAATATTCCCTTAATGCTGCGGAAGTACTAAAAAAAAAAAAAGATTACAAAGCAAAGTAGCAATGTCCTGTATTGAAAAGTAAAGTTGGACACAAATAATTTATTCCTTCAAGGGTCATAACTGTTTTTACTTTGACTAATGTGACTCAGTACCCTGTGCTGTGTCATGCCGTGAGTTACACACTATGGTCTTAACTTGGAACTTACTGTAAGGATTTCTCAATCAAAGATGATGGACTGTAATGTCTTCTAATAAATAAGAAAACGTTTCAATGCGCCAGCTTTCAGAAAATGGGAAAACGAATAGTTGTACCAAAAATGTGTGTGTTTTTTAACTCCTCGCTGCAACATAAGCAAAGTAGTGTACACTGGACAGACACCAAATCAGCTAATATTCGCTTCTCAGTACATCCTAAAGGGATAAGCCTCAAAAATATCTGCATCCAAAACCACTGAGATGAAATCACTAGGCTTAGCAGCAGCATCAACAGTAGCACCTCAAAGTAGCCAGGGAGGGCCAGACAGCAGCCAAGATGCAGTAAGGACTGAGCTCATACACATAAGTTTCTTCTATAACACATAGACTTTCTAGAATGTATCCTTTTAGTAGGTGGTATTTATCCAGCATCATTTTGAACCTTCCTTGTTCAGACCAAAGCAATGAAAAGGAAGAAATTCCCCAAATACTAGGGGCACATTTTTTAGCCAGCTGAGTCTATTGGTTGGAGATGTCAGAATTTCAACTCTTCGGCTAGACATGGTAGCTCACACCTGTAATCCCAGCACTTTGGGAGGCTGAGGCAGGTGGATCACTTGAGGCCAGGAGTTCGAGACCAGCCTAGCCAACATGGTGAAGCCCCGTCTCTACTAGAAATACAAAAATTAGCCCGGTGTAGTGGCACATCCCTGTAATTTCAGCTACTTGGGTGGCCGAGGCATGAGAATTGCTTGAACCCGGGAGGCAGTGGTTGCAATGAGCCAAGATTGCCCCACTGCACTCCAGCCTGGGCAACAGAGCAAGACCCTGCTTCAAAAAAACAAAAGTATTTCAACTCTTCTACCCTTCAGGAAGGGTGTAAAAGCCAAAGTAGTAGCAATATTTATACACATCTCAAGATGTCTGTGTCTCTTCTCACTGTGGTCTGGGGCATACTGGGAAAAGGGCAACCTGTGGAACATCTTCCAGGCTCTTTCCTAGGCTGAAGGGAGAAGACACAAGTCACATTTGTGAGGGCTGAGGCTTGATTAGTCAGCCCCAGCTTACTCATGGCTGATATCCTCAATCAAAACTTGCACACATAAAAGAAAATTGGTAATGATACGAAACAGTCTGTCATCTAGAAATGGCTTATTAGTTTTACTGTTTCTGTGACTTCCCCCAGGGGTCTGCCTGAAAGCCCAGTTAGCCTGGTGGTGGGGACACTTCTGTACCCTAGAGAACCACAGGGAAAGATCCTTAGTGTGCAGGAAATGGGCTGCAATCAGGCAGCAGTCGCCTACACAAGGACCGAACAATTTCCAGAGCCCTCAGAGGCACCAACCCACTGTTGTGAAGAGGCACCAGCCAGGTGAGAGACAACAGGCACAGGCTGCAGGATTATAAGGAGTGCTCAGAAGATGGGCAGGAAGCCAGGGCTGGGCCAAGAGGCCACATGGCCAACAGCAGGGGTCAGCATGAACTCAAAGAATTCTGGAGATGGAAGGGGAGACCTTTGGGATCAGCTAGCCCAACCCTTATTTTACAGGGGCTGAGAGCTGTTCAGCAACTTGTCCAAGGTCACAAAACTAGTGAGTAGAAGGACAAGGGCCAAAATCCAAGCCTCCTGTCTTGAAAGACAAGGAAACAAATGTTATCACAATTTAGCTAATTATATCAATTCCTTTCAGTGTTTTCAAAGATATATTTTGACTAACATGGAAAGACAGACTAGTGTACTGTGGTTATGAACCCACACTCTGGAGCCAGACTACCTGGGTTTGAATCCCAAGTCTGCCACTTACACTGTGACCCTGAGCAAGTGACTTCACCTCTGTGACTCAGTTTGCTCATCTATTAAACAGGGGTAACAACAGTGCCTACTCTCATGGGGCTATGAAGCCTCCTAAATAAGTTCATCTATGGAAAGTGCATTAGCTGGTTCCGGCTGCTGGGGAGGCTGAGGTGGGAGGATCACTTCAGCCAGGGAGGTTGAGGCTGCAGTGGGCTATGACTGCAACATTACACTCCAGCCTGGGTGACAGAGACCCCCTCTCTTTAAAAAAAAGAAAAGAAAAGAAAAGCGTAGTGCCTGGCACAAAATAAATGCTACAAAAAAGGTAGACAGGAATTTATTGGGAAGGAAAGAACCCTCATATTGGTTTCTCTTGCATCGCACCTGGTCCCCAACCCCCAATTCATCTTAGTCATAGGTTACTGCCTTTTCCCCACAACGCCTAGGGCTAATGCTTCTAAGTCACACCCCTCTCTCCTAATCCATTCAGGCCCAACCCAGTCAGATATTAGCTCAACCAGCCAAAATGGTGGAAGAGGCAGAAACTCTGAATAAATGCTTATGTCACTACTAGCCATCCAGCCTATCTCCCCTTAGATCTCTGCTGCCAAAACCCTGAACTCAGAAGTTACCTCTCTTGATCCTCACCTCCTACTTTCCTAGACTACCCATTCCCTTGCACCTCAGAATCTGCTTTTATGCCATCATCATGCCCTCCAGGCCCTCAAACCTTCTGCAGGTGCATCAAGCCTGGAAGCCCCACTCACCTGCCTATCCCACGTGTACTCCTTGGCTAATCTTTCCTGTGATGTTCTCATCAGTTCCCTCGGTTCCTTTATCACTCATCCTTCCACTCTCATTCCATGGAGAGACCACATGATGCTGTCCCTCCTAGGCTGCCAAACTTGGTGGGATAAAGCCACGAAACTAGGCCCACTGCCTTTACTACAGACCTATGCTATCCTCCATCCTTCACTGCTAACTGAATGACTGTCACATTCCCGTGGGGTCCAGCCCCAGCCCACTCTCCTCCAGCTCAGACTCTGACCATGGCTTTGCCTCAGTCCCACTGAGAAAGCCCAGACTACCAAGTAATTTGTATGCCAAACCTCCTCCAGACATGCTTCTTAAACTTTAGCATGCATTTGAATCCCCTGCGGATCTTGTTCAAATACAAACTTTGATTCACAAGTTTGGACCTGAGATTCCCCCAGGTGCTGCCAATGCTGGTGGTCCACAGAACACAGTTGGGGTAGCAGAGTTCTAGGAACTTACATACACTAATGTTTGCATTCTTCTAAATATATTGTTTTTAATCTTCATGGAAAAACCTCCAAGAGAGGTATTATTCCCATTTCACAGAGACAGAAAGTGAGATTCAAAGAGGTTAGAAAACCTGTCCAAGGTTCACACTGAGGGAAGACAGGATTCAAATGAAAGGCTGATTCTGAAGCCTGAATCCTATTTTTTCCTCTTTTAATTGGGAGATGAAGTAAGGCTGGAAGGGTATAAAGAACAGAAGTAGATTTTAAAAACACACATGTAATGGTTTATTTGTAATACAAACTATTAAAATCTTCTTAGCTAATGTGAATAAGAGAAAGATGGATTATAAAATGCAAGAGTCCCTGTGCTAGAGATTCTGCCTAACAGCCAAAGACCTAAAAGCTATCAGAGAGTAAGTTAATTCCACCAATCAACACAGAAGAAGACATCCAGAGGGACACAGAGGAAACTTTATATGTGTGCAGATAAAGAAAGGGAACATACAGGCCGGGCGCAGTGGCTAACGATATTTTGGGAGGCTGAGGCAGGAGGATCACTTGAGGCCAGGAGTTTGAGACCAGTCCGAGAAACATAGCAAGACCCTGCCTCTAGGAAAAAGATAAAAAATTAACCAGGCCTGGTTGTGCAGTCCTGGCTACTCAGGAGGCTGAGGTGGGAGGACTGCTTGAGCCCAGGAGTTTCATGCTGCAATGAGCCGTGATTGCACCACTGTAATCCAGCCAGGGTGATAGCGTGAGACCCTGTCCTAAAAAGAGAGAGACAGGGAACAAGGGAACATATAGAAAACCTCTAACTAGCATGTCTGGGGAAGCTTTGGGGCTACTCTTAGGGCTGAAAAGTCTGAGATCACTGCAGAGACTGCATGCCATATCAAACTGCTCTCTCCATGCTCTCCTCTCCCTCTCCCTTCCCTCCTCTCTGGCTCTTCAAGGCTAGGGCTTCTATTTGCACCCCAACCCCCCTGTGCCACCTTCTCTGGAGTCCACACCCAGTAGTCATGCCTGCTCACTGCTCTTCAGCCTGTCCTTTGCCACCAGAGTCTCCCAGCTGGCCTGTGGGCCTGCTTAGAGACGCCTGGATCCTGTTTAAGTTGATCTGGTTCTGCCGTGCCCTGAGCCACTACCCTCACAGTGGTCTTCTGCTCCACACCACTTGAAAAGGTGGGCGATCGTTTCTGACTCAGAGTTCCTTCCCCACCCCACCCACTTCTCAAGTTCTGTGATTTCCCTTCCTCCTTCACTGGGCAGACTTCACAGTGCCCATATCCAAGGGCTTCTCTGTCTTTATCCTTCCAGTTCTGTAGCAGCATGTGACCAATCCCTCTTTAACAAGTCCACTCACACCCATCTCTGCTTGGCTTCCGACAGCGTGCTCTCCCAGTACTTCTTCCGTTCCCTGACTACTCCTAGAACTCTCCCTTTCATTTCCTGTCTCCTCACTGCAGGCATTTCCAAGAACCTGCCCTTGACCCTCATCTCAATCGTCCACTTTCTGACATCTAGTGCATTTTGTCCAACTCTTTGAGGGCAGATCTGAGTCTGCTCTGCTCATACAGCAATCCTCAGAACAATGCCCGGCGTGTAATAGTAGGCGCTTGCTCAATATTTGCTGAATAAATGAGCTGCTAGCCGTGTTACTGAGCTTCTCACCTTGCATCTTCAAACAGCTCATTCCAAAGCTAGGGCTAAAGGGCTGTAGTTCACCAAGTGAAGGAGAGAACTGCCATCCTTCGTCAAATCATAGCACACACAGGAAATGACAGTATCTGTACAGCTCTCTGGGTACGCAGGCCTTTGGATTTAGAGGCAGCTCCTGCCCTGTGGGTATCAGTATCATGACAACCCACCTGAAATCCATGTGAGTCCCTTACTGAGGCCCATAAGCTGGGGAGTTCTGTCTAGTCCAGCTCTAAAGAAGAGCAAGGAAGAGCCATTATCAGAATATTCTTGGCTTGGAGTCACTTTTAAGCTCCAAGAAGTAACTCATCTGTCTGCCCACTATCTCTATTTCATTAGGATTCCAAGGTAGCACCCACTCTGAAATGTGCCCGGAACCCTTAGGCACAATTCCACTCTTCGCTATTCTAAGCCAAATTCATCCTAGACAGAGCAACAGTAGCCACGGGTTCTTCTCCACTCCTATGAAATATCCCAAGTGAGGTAAATATTTTCACATTCCAGCTGCTTGTAAAGGTGTGAAACAGGATGCAATTAAGGTCCCAGAACATTTTACTTAAACTTGAATCATGCTGCTTAGTGACACAATACAGAGTATTGTGGAGAAATCAGCCTTCAAAGAACACAAGCGAATGCACAGAGCCATGATCTCCAGCCTACTGGAAACGCATATTGCTGGGACACGACAGTGTTAACTTCTGGGTCTAATTCTGTTGCTTCCCAAAGACTACAGTTGGTGTGGGGAGAAATAGTCCAAGATCGAAAAAACCACTGACTGTGCCAACTGCAGCACTTCACCTTTTCCAGAAGATAAATTATGAAGAATTTTTGCCAGTTCAAGTTATTTTCCCAAAGCAGAGTCAAATGACCCTTGCAACCCTGCCTTTAAGAAACCAATGCAATTAAACAAAACAGCTATGAACTGCCTGGACAGCATCCTTCCAACTTCATTTGATAAAGTGAGACGCAGACACACATCGACAGACAAGCACACACCTTATTTAACTGCCAGACGCAGTGCCAATATGAAAATGTACATTCAATCTACGGGGGGAAAATCAGCTCAGCAGCTCATCGCTAAAACAAAACAGCCACATAAATGCCGACTAGCCTGCTGCCTTGTAAGGAATGATCACTGACAACTAGAGTTCCTATTCAGCAGGCTAATAAGAATAATTATAGCCAGGGCAGGCATTAATCAGCTTGGCAGATACAGGAATTCTGTTAACAAGGCTAAAATAAGTGCCAAGGAATCTCTGAAGGCCACAGCACTTCAAAGACTGTTAAAGCTGGATGGATTCACTAGGGTTCCTCCCACTGGCCTTCCTCCTCCTTCAGTGCTTTCCAGAGGCAGTTGCATTTCGGCCCGTCCTCAGAGCCGGCATGGCCACCTGCTAGGGTTGCAGAGATGCCACACCTCTGAGGTGCATGCTGGCACTGCCCTTCCCTTCAGGAAGTGTACCTGGGCTGCACTAACCCTGGATCCTCCTATTTTTAAATGCACTTTCACTTTCAAACCACTATCATCTTTCTTCACCTAAGCTAATCTCAAGCAATACGCAGCATAAGGTTTAGCGAACATTAGTAAACTTTTCCTTAGCAGAGACAGAATGGAGTCCTGAGATCAGATCCTAGGTCTGCTAGGAAGAATCTGTATGTCTCTAGACAAGTTAACTAACTTTTCTGGGCATCAGTTTCCTTATCTGTAATAAAGACAAAATAGTGACTTTCTCAAAGTATTGTTGTGAGGAATAAATACCAGAATGTACGTCAGAGCCTGACGCTTGATATGCAATCGAGAAATAGTAGCTATTATTAGTCTGTGCCTATTAGGTGCAGAGCCTTGTACAGAAGCTATGAGGAAAAAAAAACAAAATACTCAGTATGCAGAGACACACACACGTTAGGCAGGAGTGGCTGTGCCTGGGCAGGAGGGTGGACACATTTTTTTCCTTTTTTTTTTTTGAGACAGGGTCTCGCTTTGTTACCCAAGCTGGAGTGCAGTGGTGCGATCACGGTCCCCTACAGCCTTGACCTCCCAGACTCAAGTGATCCTCCCCACTCAGCCTCCCAAGTAGCTGGAACCACAGGCACATGCCACCATACCCGGCTAACTTTTCTTATTTTTTAGTAGAGATGGGGGTCTCACTATGTTGCACAGGCCGGTCTCGATCTCCTGATCTCAAGCAATCCTCCCACCTTGGCCTCCCAAAGTGCTGGGATTGCAGGCATGAGCTGACCTGTTTAGCCCAGATTTTTCTTTTGACCTTATATCCTTTGTAAGTAACACAGAGACTGTTAGCTGTTCCCTCAAAATCTGTCTTTCCCTTCTTCCATAGTAGCTGGCACATGGCTTCCCAGCTTTCCTTACAGCTAGTGTGGCATGGGCCCAAAGTCTCTCCAATAGAACGTGTGCAGAAATGATGTGTGCCACTTTCAAGTCTGACCCACAAAGACTCCAAATATTCTACTCTACGCTCTTTCCTCCTTTGTAGGGGCTGGAATGGTGATGACGACTACCAAAGTGATCTTAGAAACTGTGAGTTGAAGACAGCAGAACTGCCACCAGCTGGGGAGCCAGAATGACTGTGTAAAGCAGGGTTCCCACCCAACCCTTTCCTCTGAAGCATCTCCCTCGCATTGTTATATAAGACACATCTATTGTCTGAACCACTATGCTTTGAGTTTGTTAGAGCAGTTTAGCCTACCTGATTAATACAAAGTCCTTTTATATCATTTGAATTTTAAAATACAGATGTAATGCTTTTGACACTTAAAAAAGTATCTCAATAGATTTGCAAAAATAAAGACATAAAGAGAATGTGTTAATCCCACCCTACAATCTCCATGCCTTCTACTCTCCAATTTATGTTGCACTAGTTGAGGGTTTATCCTCCTCAACACATTACCCTGTCCTGTTAATCTCGCCCTACAAACTTTTAATGGCTACCCATTCCCACAGATAAAATGACATATGTAAGTATTCAGTCAGCCAATATGTATCAAACAACCAGTATGAGTTATATATCCTATTCGTAATAGGGACATTGTAGTGAACAAAATCAACGTGGCCCCTGCCCCCAGGGGAAACAATCAGAGTAGGGAACAATTACATACAATGAAGGAAATATATGCTCTGATGACAGGGCACAGACTGGCTGGCAGCACCCAGAGCACCAACAAATCTACCCCTCCCAGTCCAGACTCCTTAGCACAGCATGCAAAACCTACAGGATCTATCCCAAACCCACCTTTCCTCCCCCATTATTTCCTCCTCCCCCAAATAATTGCACCCCCATTATTTCCTCCTCCTCCCAGCTCCAGCTACAGGGAACTTACGTGCCATTTCTCAATGAGCCATGTACTTTCACTCATCCACACTTTAGGCTTTTCCCCAGAGCCCAGAATGCTCTTCTATCCTTTCTTTCAAAATTCTAATTATCCTCAAGGCTCAACTCAAATGTCACTTCTTCAGCAAAACCAGCCCCAACCCCCAAGTCAAAATTAATCATCCCCTTCCTTGTTTCCCACACTTGGTTTCCATGTCAGGTATTTCATTCAGTCCTGTGGTTAGCTATTTTATTCTCTGTCTACTCACACCCACCAGCCGCTCAGGGAGATGCTGTGTCTTTGTCATTTGTCTGGGACTCCCAGTATTGAACACACAGTTGCACACAGAGTGGCCACTCAAGAAATGCCACATTGAGTGGATGGGCAAGACAGGTCAGACATAGGCAATGGATGTGAAACCTGCTCTATGTGGCTGGGTGGGTTCTGGTGTGATCATGGTAGGTAGGCTTAGGAAGGCTTCATGGAGAAAGTGAGTTTCAAGGGAAAAAGGAAATATTAATACGCAGGCAAGAGGTGAGAAGTAGAAGGGGCCAGAAGGTTTAATATAGTCTACATAAAGGAGAGCAAACAGGTTAGTTGGAACGAAGTGTCTGAGCCAGAGAAGACCAGAGGGGAGGGACACACAAGGGGCAACATCTCCTTGGAGGAAACTCATAAGGACACAGTGAGAACAGGTGGGAGCCCCAAAAATGATCATTTAGGAAAAGGATGAGCTTAAAAGGGAGGCTGGAGGAAATAATCAACCAGGAAGACACCAACTGTGTGGGAAACAATCAGGACCTGGGCTAAGACAGTAGCCGTAGAAACAGGAAGGAAAGAAAGAAGCTGGAGTCTGTGGTACGGGGAGAGCCAAGAATTGAGAGACTACGTGAATATGGAGGTCAAAAAGAGCAGCGATACCACGATTATACCCAGGTTACACCCCAGGAGGAAAGATGATCTTGTTTATCAACATATTACATTTCAGGGATCAGTACAGTGCCAGAGCAGTGTAACACAGCGAGACCTTCCCAGAGGTCAGGCTGAAGCCACACCGAGTGAGATTCTGTGACAGCAGAGTTATCAGGAGGGTCATCAATGGTTCAGAGAACTGTTAGGTGAAAAGGTACTGGCTGGTGACACCACAGAAATTCCCTGTGTAATTCATAGGAGGCATCCAGCCAGGACAGGATATGCTGGAGTACAATCAAGATTTCCCCAAGCTGTGCTTTCCCCACTTCTATTTTGTTTTTGTCAGTCTCTCTTTGCCCCCTCCCCTCTTCTCCCTTCATTATTACTCAAGGGCATTGTTTTCAAAGTTCTACCTCATCCCACCCTCATAACTGGTACCCAGGTTGTTCAGAGAACTGCACAGCTCTAGGGGGAGTTATTCACACAGACTACAAAGTGAACAGCAGCTCCCGAAGTTGTACAGTGCACCATCTGTGCAAACCTAGGCCATGGCCCTGCTTGACCCAGACACATAAAGTCAATTAATGTGTGTGGACTATAACAGCAGTGCGCCACTAACATACAACTTACAAGGGTCCCAGAGTGAAAAGTAAAGATTAAAAGCACTACCACCGGGTGTGGTGGAGCATGCCTGTAATTCCAGCACTTCAGGAGACTGAGGTGGGAGAATGACTTGAGCCCAGGAGTTTGAGGCTTCAGTGAGCTGTGGTTGTGCCATTGCACTCCAGACTGGGTGAAAGACTGAGGCTTTGTTTCAAAAATAAAAATAAAGCACTAGGATCAGGGACTATAGAAAAGATGCCATAAAACTAAGTGGAAGATCTGGAAGCTTTCTGCACATGGGCTGAAGCTGAAGCAATGTGGCTGGACGAGCTCTCTGAGGGAGTCAGTTCAGAAAATCCCTTCAAGGTGAAGGAAGAAAACACAGCAGCCAGCAAGGCTGGTTCATCAGCAGCAGGAGTCATGGGGGTTACAGCAGTGTGGGCCCCGGTGTCCCCAGCAGGGGAGTAGCTATAGAAGGCCTCCTCTGGAACCCTCTGACCATAAGTGCAGAGTAATCATTTGCCCTGTGTGCAGCTGGGACCTGAATGGCACGGACACCGCACATCATGCGCTCTGTGAAAGACTCAGAGCCGCCTTCTCTAGGGGCTTGGAAGAGAACCCCAGGCCAGGTCACAGGAATCATCTTGTCCTGGTTGACACTGACAACAAGGATCCAAGAATATCAAAACATTTAAGAGTCGGCCCTGGGGTACCATGGTGGGCACTTAATAAACATATTTCCGTGGCTGGCTAGGATCACCATGTGGATCTACGTGAAGATGGTGTCTGTGTATGGAGTGAATGGAAAATGGAGAGGGAAAAAACCCACAAAAGATTCCTTGGGTGGGGGGAGGGCGCTGGGCCAAAACCTCACGGGGCACCCAGGGTTTCCGGAGGGTGGAAGACGAGGGGATAGTAAGGGAGGGAAAGTAACAGGTAGAAAAAGTTGGAGAAGCCAGGCTTTTAGGTCTTTGTGTATAAATACGCAGCTAGGCAGCTTCAAGAAAAGCTAAAAGAAAAGACTGAGGCAGAAGATCTAGCCACGACGAAAATGACGGCAGGACTCGCCCGCCGATTTCCATTGTAACGCTCCGGGCCACCCTGTGACCTTCGTGGAAGGAAGTTGGAGGATTCTCTCGCTTCCCTGGAAAGGCAACTCCGCGCGGGTTGGGTGAAGAGCGACCCGGCCGGCGGCGGCTATGGCGGGGCATATCAAAGGCTCACATTTCCGCTCTCGAGCCGAGGACCCGGGCCGGGACCGCAGCACCTTCCGGGCCGGGAGTTCAAGGTGAGCCGGGCTCCCGGCGGCCAACAGGTAGGGAGACCTGGGGGAAAGACGGCCCCGGGCCACTCCCCCCGGCACATGTTGGGGGCGAGGCTCGGCCTGGCGGAGCGGCCACTTGCACCCCGCGCGCGGGGCCCGAGCGGATTCGCGCCAGGCTCCGGGCGGCCCCGCGGCCGCTCCCCGCCGGGCCGAACAACCCGCGCACCCCGGCCGGGTTTCCCGGGAGCAGCCCGGGCACCCTCGGCGCCCCAGGCCGCGCGCTGCAGCCGCGCCCCGCCGAGCCCTCCAGGGCCTCGCCAGTCCCCGTGTGCCCCGCTGAGCCCCGCGCACACTCACCCAACGACAGGAGCGCCAGCAGCAGCGGCCTCGAGGCCAGGCGCCCCATGCTCGCCCGGCGGGAGCGACTCTCCCCCTCCTCCTCCTTCCCCGCCGCCTCTCCTCCTCCTCCTCTTCCAGCTCCGGCTGCTCCAGAGTCGGCGCTCCTCCGCCTGGGCCGCGCGCCTGCTCCGCTCTCCTCGCGAGCCGATAAATCCCAGCGCTGGGGCGTACGTGCGCCCCTGGCTCCGCTCGCTCCCTCCCGCCTCCTTCCCTCCCTCCTCCAGCCGGCCGGGCCCGGGAGCCGGCCCCGCCGATCCGAGTGTGCAGCCCCGACCGCTTCCCGAAAGCAGAAGGGAAGAACCGCAGCGCCCGCCCGCGCCTCCCATCCGGCGCTTTGCCAGCAACAAACACAAACTTTCCCAAGCCCCTCCCCGCTCCAGGTAACGGAGGAAGAGCCGGGGCCACCCGCTTAAAGGCGAGGAGGCGTCGGAGCCCACCCTGCCATCCCCTCTGGGCCCCCACCCCACGAGAAACTTTCCTCCGACCTTTAAAAGTTGGCCTGGGAAAGACTCGTCTGGAAATCCCATCGCTTTAGCCCTATCCCGGGACACCCCGCGTTCCATCACGCTGGAGTCACCCACGCGTGTCTAGTCTATCCTCAGCCAACTCCCCGCTCGTTCGGCCTCTCGTCCTGAGCTAAACACCCCACCAACCAGCCGCTTGGCCTATGCCAAAAATTATGCAGATAGGAGCGAAGGAGCTGAAAGGACTTTTAAAGGCCACGGATTCCAACCTCTACCATACAGAGGCCTTAAGTGTTTCGGTGAGGTGCCCAAGGATTCACAGGGAAGGGGCAAAATCAGAACCCCGCTCTCCTGACTCTGCCCACTCCCCGGTGGCTAGGGTGGGCCTGTCTCCTTCCTTACCCAGCTCCCTCCCTCTCCTCGGCGCCTGTGGCACTGATTAGAACAGCACCCCACAAAGACACCCATTTAAAAAACAAACAAAACCCAAGTGTATTAATAGCTATAGTACTTCATATAGAATGTACTCTTAAGACTTAATATTTATTGCTCTAAGTGGACACCACTGATTGCCAATAAAGACTCATTTTTCCCCCTACAATAGAGTTTTGTGCTTTTGATTTGAATACAAAAGGCCCGACTTGGTTGGGAGAAATGGAGCATTCCTTGCTTGAAACTTAGCAAGCATGATTCAAACACGCAAGGAGCAGCACTGGTGCCCACTGCCCGTCACTGGGCTTTCATTCACATGCAAAACGGATCGCAGATGCT
Organism: Homo sapiens; assembly: GCF_000001405.40. NCBI lineage: Eukaryota > Metazoa > Chordata > Mammalia > Primates > Hominidae > Homo > Homo sapiens. The sequence goes on along the minus strand of NC_000001.11, from coordinate 116,908,975 downwards.
TATGCGGAAACTGCCCACACTGGGGAAGAACACTGCTTTTACTCTCATGCATCCGTCTTTCAACCAACAAATGTTTCTTATTTCCCCACTATCAAATGTGTGATTAGCCAGGTATCTTTGGAAAGAGACTTAAAAATTCATTCCTGGTGGTGCAACGTTATTGTACTTAATGCCACTGAATGGTACACTTAGAAATGTTTAAAATTGCCAGGCCTGGTAACTGGTACTTGTAATGCTAGCTACTCAGAAGGCTGAGGTTGGGGGGGCAGGGGGAGGCGGGGGGCAGGGATGGTGTTGCTTGAGGCCAGGAGTTTTTATTTGTTTTGTCTTCTTTCTTTCTTTCATTTTTGAGACAGGGTCTCAAAATGAGGATCTGTCACCCAGGCCGGAGTGCAGTGGTGCGATCAGGGATCACTGCTGCCTTGACCTCCCAGGCTCAAGCAATCCTCCCACCTCCACCTCTCAAGTAGCTGGAACCACAGATGTGTGCCACCACACTCTCGCTAATTGTTTTTATTTTTTGTAGACACTGGAGTCTCCCTATGTTGGCCAGGCGGGTCTCGAGCTCCTGGGCTCAAGCGATTCTCCCGCCTCGGCCTCCCCAAAGACTGGGATTACAGGTCTGAGCCACTGGGCTGGCACTTTTTCTTCTTTTTCTTTTTTCTTTCTTTTTTTTTTTTATTTGAGGCTAGAAGTTTGAGACCACTCGGGCAACATTGTGAGACACCGTCTCTAAAAAAAAATTTTTAAGGTTAAAATGGTAAATTTTGTGCTATGTACATTTTACACAATAATTTTTTTAAAATTTATTTCTGCCGCCAAGCCTTTCCTGGTTCTGTTCATACACACTGTAATTCCTTTCTCTTCCCCATCCCAATTCTTCCCTAGAATCTCGCAGGGAAGTTTCCCAATTTCATTCAATCAACCTTGAATTCAAGCCTAATGTTAGGCCTTGGAAGGTAGTGGAGCTTCAGAGAAATGTGAGGCCTGGCACCTTCAGAAGCTCAGATTTCAGCTCATCCTCCATCTTTCCTTTTCTTAACCACCCAGAACGCTTAATGTTTGAACCACACATTGTGGCACTTGGTCACATTCAGTTTAGCAAAATGTATACACTACCCCCATCTCTGTCTAATAATGCATGGGCCTAAGAGGCTGTCACATTTTCACCTTGTATCCCACCTTATGGCAGAGTAGATGTTTTAAAAATTCTTTTGTTTAATAAACAATGTGTGTCAGGGACTGTGCCTAGCACATGGTAGGTCCCAATGTATATTTATAGAGTGAATTAATGGCAGACACTGGGCTAGATCCTGGGGGTACAGGGATGAAGCAGACAGTTCTTGCCCTTGAGGAGTCGACATTTTGTGCATTGTGATTGCATATGCAAGGTAGAGTTGTGACACCACAAGGGAGCGGCCAGTCCAGGAGGAGGCTGTCAGAGAAAGCTTCACAGAGGGGATGACTATGCAACGAGTCTTGAAAAATTGGTAGGTCTTTAGCTGTGGAGTGTAAGGATAAGCTTACAATAGATGTTGTGTATTTAATATGATAGAGATTCTTCTCACCTCACCCACCCCCAGGTATTATTAAATTAATGGTGTATCTTACAATCATGGAAATAACAGTGGTTAACCATTGAAATGATGAGAATAAATAAAATTGTCTAGGTAAGGCAGGTAGAATGAGGACTGAAGTGGGTAGCCTGCTGGTGGCTGGCAGTTAAATGTCATGGGAGTTAACCAAAGAGCCACTTTTGTAGCAAAAAATAAGCATAAATTAATAAGTCTAGACTGTTGGTTATAACCACCACACCCTTTGCACCTTCCTGACTACCAATGGATAAAGGAAGAAACACAGCAGACTGGCACAATTTGTTAATTCATGACTCTGGAATCTGATGATGCTTTTACTATGAAAGATATTTATTTACCAGAGTGAGTAACCTTCTATACAGGTAAGGCTTTTGCCCCAACCAGTTGTTCTCCTATCTTAGTCTATAGGCTTGCCTGGGGCAGGAAGACTCACTCTCCAGCAATTCTAATTGATTCACGCCCACCCCCAAGGAGAGTACCGACATGGGTTTCTTTTCTCCAATCATAGTGCCCCCAAGGGGCACTGGTCACAGCAGTCCGACATTATGGTCTTTTGGTCACACATGTCTTTCTGCAGGTGATACCCCTAAAACCTCACAAGAGTCCTCATACTGTTACGCCAAACAAGTTTTCCCTGCTGAGATCAGGCAAAAACATCATCATGTTATTTAACTTTGTGAATGAAAATGTTAAAAGGTTCCCAGTGAATGAAATTGCTGATTGTTCTAAGACTCACCTAGACTTGGAGTTGTTGGCCCTGCCACCTCTGGCAGCCTGTACACGCACACAGTCTCCAAATGACCCTGACCCCTACCTACTTCAGCAGGGGCTCAGGGGAAGGAGTATATTCCATGGCACCGTTTCATTCCACTAATCATTTTCACTCACAGTCTTCCTTGTTCTGTGTCCAGATGTATATTTTCCCAGTTAAAGTTAAACAGAGATTACTAAACAAAAAGAAATTTAGGATTATATTATAGAATTAGAAAATGAAATTAAAAGTTAGAAAGGGAGGGGTGGGAAGAGGAGGCCTTTATTTCCCCACGAGTGAGAGTCCTGCAATACTGGTGAGATTAGTGGGGAAGCTGTAGAATGCTCATGTGACAAGTTTGAAAACAGCAAGGGACCTCATCTGTTTGGTATGGGCTAAGCAGGGTCCTGCCTGAGGGCTGGTCCTGCTCGTCACCACCCAACTATCAATTCTCCCCATCTTTTCTTCAGCCCTAAAAGACTGAAGTGGGACATGGTGGAGAAAGTGTTCTTAAATGACTTAGAACTGTTCCAGATTCCACCTCCACCAGGCCAAAAGTGCCTCCCTGGGAAGCTACCCCACATAGCATCACGCCTGCAGGAACACTGGGGTGGAGAAGTGTGAGGAGAAAATAAGGAATTGGATGGAGGTGAGCCTTTGGCAATAAAAGCTCTCCCCAAGACTGAGGCTATTTCCTATGTTACGAGCAGACAGGGCCCTTGCCCTGGAGGGGCTTATCATCTAATTTAATGCATGAAAAACCTGGAATACAGTGAAGGACGGGGAGGAGATGGAAACCACAAGAGCAAAGGAATTGAAAGAAAGGTAAATGGATAAGAGAGACACAAGCCATTATGTGTTGTATTCTGCAAATATGCCATCATCTGGGCTGAAAGTATCTCTTAAATGAATGGAGACAGCAGTCCCTTGTGCAAAAGAGGGGCTAACACATTAGAAATAGTTGCAGGCACTATGGATGTTGGAGTAAGTTCTTTACCTAAGGTCATGGCTGCCAAGTAGGATGGTGCCCAAGGGTGCCCCATCGAGCCAACATTGTGCCCTGTCTCTGACCTGCTATGCCCAGGAGAGGCCTTTATCCCCTCACAGGAAGGGAGTTTATCCCAGTCTTCACACATAAATTGGGAGGGGGAGGGAGGGAGACGAGGATGAAGATGTCCTCTTCCTTTCACCATTTCCCCACTTGCCTTTCTCACCCCACGTGAGCTGCACTTCTGTGTTCAACTAGAATATTATCTTAAGTTCTAAGCATTATATTTTAAAAACAACATTTACAAACTAAAATGCATCCAGAGTAGGGAGGGTTGCTAGCCAAAATACAGAATGCCCAGTAAAATTGGAATTTCAGATAAATAAGCAATATATTTTTAGTATAAGTATGTCCCAAATATTACACAGAGCATACTTAACACTAAAAATGTATTCATTGTTTATCTGAAACTCAAATTCAACTGGGCATTCTATATTTTTATCTGTGAAATCAGGCAACCCTCATCAGGAGAAGAGTTACCTTATATGGAAAGAGGTTCTTCTGGAAGACTTGGAGAAGACAACAGGGAGCTCTGAGGAGTTGTCTTCAGTTGTTTTTGAAGTGTTGCACTTTAAGGGAGGAGTAGACTTTGATTCGAAGTCTTACTCTGAGTCACTGTGTAAAAATTGCTAAGAGAAAAAATTGGCCTAGTTTGTGATAACCACTTAGCTCAATGATGAGGAGAGTTAAATTATACAGTGGTATCCTCTCCTCTCGAGGTAAAATGTTTACCTCCAAGGCATTAAGGCCCCTCTAAGGGGACATTAGGTGGAGCCATGGACAAACTGACCTTGGAGGAAATCCTTTCCAATCTCAAGATTTCGAGATTTACCTAAATCCAGCCAATTCTCTTTTCTAGTCCATCTTCCAAAGTTCAGTCTTTGTCCTTGCTGCACTTCTCTTTCTCTAACTTAGGGCTGAGCCATAGGTGTGCTCTGCAGCACTAGAGAACAGAGAAACTCATAGACAGATGACATGGCTTTATTATGAAAAACTGGGATTACAACTCCTGCTCCCTGTGTACTCTCCACTGGAGAGGACTCACAGATCGATTGTTCTAAAACGGAGCCATCATTTTGGTAGACATGGCTCCATTTTTTATCTACTTTATAACTCATAATCCCCTTCAGCCAGTCACTTGTTGCCCAGATACATTTTGCAACATTTTGCAACTTTGTCTATCTTGGGGGATGTACATGGAATGGCATTTTGCACAGTCAGCCATGTCATGGGTTCTTTAATGAATGGTTGTTCATCCACCTGCAGCAGAAGCAGGTTTGTTGCACCTGCTTTAATATTTTTTCCAGCTTAAAATTATTGTATCCATGCTTTATGATATAAACTTTATGAGGTTTCGATCACCCATTGACCTCTGGGTTGGAAGGCAAAGTTACTTTCTGAGGAGAATCTAGGGCGCCCTCCCCATTAAAACACCGAAGGTCCACTTCTGAGTCACAGCTGGCTGTCCTGATGTGGCCCCACCTAGAAAAGTCATCATCTAGATGAGGATTTCAAACGTACTGCCCCTCAATATTTTTTTAAATGCTCAGCTGGGAAAAAATAGTATTTATGGAAGATTATTGAAGTAAATGCAGTCTGTACATTTTTCTAGACACCCAAAGATCTACCCCTAAGTTATGAATTAAGTAGAACATCAGTAAGCTTAGTACCTGGATATACCATATTGGCACCCTCATAAAGTTGCTTTTACTGAATTGCATTTTGTCATGATACCATCAGCCTATATTGAGGGATGTCCTAAGAAACAGCTTTGTGCACTTTGTCATTTTGTTTCCCAGAAGGACAGGTTTACAGATGCTCTTCGTTAAATCAGGCAGCAGCCTCTGCTTAGGATGCATGGAGGAATTTTACTCTCATCTCAGAACCACAAATAGTTGTGCTTTTCCTTAGTGACTAGTTTCTTTTTTCGTATGGAATCTGTAAATATTGTAACTGATAGTATTTTCCTTTTCATGGTAGTGATTGGGAAGGTTATGTTCAATTCTATGACCTCCCTCTAGCAAATGAATAAAACTTTTTTTTTTTTTTGAGACAGAGTCTTGTACTGTCACCCAAGTTGGACTGGAGTGCAGTAGTACGATCACAGCTCACTGCAGCCTCAACCTCCTGGGCTCAAGTGATCTTCCCACCTTAGCCTCCCAAGTAGCTAAGACTACAGACATGCACCACCATGCTCAGTTAATTTTTAAAAAAATTTTTTTGTAGAGACAGGGTCTCCCTGTATTGCCCAGGCTGGTCTTGAACTTGGGCTTCAAGCAATTCTCCTGCCTCAGCCTCCCAAAGTGTTGTGATTACAGGCATGAGCCACAGTGCCAAGCCTTGAAGAGGACTTATAGCATGAGTTTTGCATAACCTCTAGCATAACCTTCTAGCTCCTAGTTTTGCATAACTCTAGTTTTGCATAACCTTCTAACTCCTCCTTACCTTGCCATCATTATTTTCCCTTTCCCTCATTTACTGTTTTTTCATTTTCATTTCTTTTATTATGTTCATGCAGTTGCACAATGCAGCAACTCCTTCTTACTGTAAAATTCTAGTCCACTCCTCCTGCCCTTCAACAGACATTTTAAATTCTAACTCCTCATTTGCCGATTAAATGCAATGAGGTAATAATCACAATGAGCTCTGCTTCCAGGGAAAGACTGGAATGTGATGAGGCTGTGTCAGCCGCCCTAGAACTCAAGGCGGAGTGTGATGAGAAAGGGCACTGCCATCCACTAGAGTCACAGGAGCTCCTGAAAGGATGTTGTTTCCAAGAGCAGCAGATAGTTGACTCTCCTAACCCTAGAAAACTGCACTGCTCATCTGTCTGCACTGAGTTAGCAAATATTAGGGTTCATTTGCTTTCTCTAAGCACACAGTGGTTGAAGGCTGGAGTGGCCTGCGTGTCCAGGGCAGATGAATGGGAGTGTGCCCGATTCTATGCAGTCAACAGCTCAGGTGGTATGGTCCAGCCGGCACCAAGCCGCTTATGGCTCCTGTGTACTCTGCCATCTCCTGCTGTCCCCTCCCTCAGAAATGCGTTTCACATGTCACATGGCTACTCCTGTAGGTTGGGTTCCCTTGAAAGCAAAGCGTGAGACACTGATTTGGCTGTGAGTTCTTTATCTGGGAAGTTATCTCAAAAAGCAGTGTTGAGGGAATGGGAGAGCAAGTCAGGGAACAAGAGAAAGTCAATAAATATGTGTTATTGAGGTAAGCACAGCTGTGAACAAACTGTGTAGAATGTGCCTTTGAACTGTCCCTCAGGGGACAAGAGGCTCAGGTATTTACTCCCTGATTCTCCTGCCTCAACAGCTGAGCTTGGCCCCTACGGCATTCACTCCTCCTTGTCTCCCGTCTGTACCTGTCTGAGTCTAGAGCCCTGAAGCAAACAAGTGGAGAGACAGATATGTGTGAGGCGGGCCACTCCAGCATACTCTGAACTGTCCACATGGCTGCATGGAAACCCCAGGAGGGGCCGAGGGATACAGCTACTCATTACTCCCCCAAGAGTTCTCCCTGTTTCCCTAGCTGCTGTCTCCACCGTGTCCATGTCACCAGTTCTGCATCTGATGCTTGTTTCAGGGTTGTGTATCTGTCCTAGTTTATGTGTCTGTTTCCTCTACTAGAATGAAAGTAGAGGCTGTGTTCCCCTCAGCTTTGTTTCCCAGGCACCTAGCACAACGTTCGAAACATAGTAGGTCTGCTTAATAAATGCTTCAGCTATACTTAGAATACTTCTGCTTTGATCTCTTTTATATATTGGAGTGCCACATAAAATTTTGTTTGAGGAAAAAGTCATCCAAAACCACTGATCTAACCCAACCCCCTCATTTTACAGATGAAGCATCTGAGGCTCAGAGAACCTAAGTAACTTCTCCAATATCACACAGTATATTAAAGTGATTATGGAATATTAAAATGACTTCACAAAGTACATCAAATGCAGACAAGGGAGCCGACTGGAGTTACAATGTGAATTATTAGCACTTCAAATGGAGGTTTGTGCTAGATTTTCACCAGGAAATTGCTTAAAATAAAATAGCTTGGAAAGCTCCTGAGCTCTGATTAAAGAAGTGAATGGCTTGAGTGAGGCTTTCTTTTCTAGGGGAAGATATTCACCCACTGTAAACACATTTTCAGGTAATGTACCAAGAACTTTGAATCAGAATGAACTCATTTTGCATTCTCTTCCTCCAACCTGTTCATCTAACATGGCAGCTATAGGGATAGTAGCATTTTCATTTGTAATTTAAAAATGAAGTCTGGCATGTACTACCATCTCAATAAATTGTGTTAGGTTGATTGCCATTATTTTTAATTGCAAAAACCACACTTACTTTTGCACTGACCTAACAAAAGTCCTCTCCCAGACCTGCCCCTTTCCTGTGCTGCCTTCCTGCCCCTAGCCCATCCTTGTGCTGCAGCGTTTGGCACATGTGTGGCATACAGAATGCCAGGGACAGCCAAAGCTTATGATGAAAACCGAGAAAAACAGAAGCGTACCACTTCTCACTGTGTGCTAGTATTAAAAAAAAAGGTGAAATTTTTGATATTGGGGTGGGGGGTGGTGTCCTGTGAGTCGTGGGAACTAGTCATTCCTTCCCAGTGAGAAAGTTAGGATTTATTTGAACAGACATACTCATACGAAACCTTTCTTATTTGCCCAGACATGGGTCAACATTGCTCCAGAAAAGAGTGGCTGGTGTAACGTTTCCATGATCCTTGATGCCATGATGAAAAAGCACTTGGTGAGTGTGAGGCAGACACCTGTTCCTCATCTGTGTGGCCCATTCTCAAAGTGTTCCTTCTGACACTCATCTGAGCCAAACGATGAAGAGCGATTCAGTGAAATTTTTCATCAAGCAATGCAGAATAAAGGTTGAGAGAAGCAGATGTGGCGTCACAGACCCTGGGGGAACATCCTGGCTCTGCCAGTTACAAAAGCTGCTGACCTGGGGCAAGTTATTTAACCTTTCTGTGTGCAGTTTCCCCATCTATAAAATGGAGACAATAATAATGTTTATGGCAAAGGATTATTCTGGGGATAACTGAGAAAGGATTTTAAAAAGTATTTATGTAGGCCAGGCACAGTGGCTCATACCTGTAATCCCAGCACTTTGGGAGGCTGAGACACGCAGATCATTTAAGACCAGGAGTTCAAGACCAGCCTGGGCAACATGGCAAAACCCAGTCTCTACTAAAAATACAAAAAATTAGCCAGGCATGGTGGCATGTGCCTGTAGTCCCAGCTACATGGGGGCTGAGGCAGGAGAATTGCTTGAGCCCAGGAGGAGACTGCAGTGAGCTCTGATCATGCCACCTCACTGTCGCCTGGGTGACAGAGTGAAATCCTGTCTCAAAATAAAATAAAATAAAATAAAATAAAATAAAATAAAATAAGTATTTATGTAATAGAAGCTGTTGGGTTGTCTCTCAAAATTGCTTCCACCTCTACCTCCATCTTGGCAGACAACCAACTGTCTACCAGAATACCAATGTGTCCCATTCCACACTGTGGTGATATCAAAGGAATCGGCTCTCCTGCTAGGGGCTATATTTCCAGCTCCCTTTCCATCTAGATGTGGCTGCATGGTTGGTTCTTGACAGTGAGTGTGAGGAGAAATTATATGTGTAACTTGGATAGAAGGCAGGTTGAGAAGTAGTTGTGTGGCTTCTCCATACTTTCTTCCCTGGCCTGCTAGTTAGAAGCAGAGGCCAAAGATAACTGAGCCACAAGATGGAAGAGAAATAAGAGTCCCTGAATCTCCACATGGAAGAAAGCTGCCCCCAACAGGAACATCTGCATTGTTCTGCTATGGCAGGGAGAAGTGAGTTTTGATGCTGTTAAGACACTGAAATATGGGGGCTTACTTGTTACATCTGCTACAGCTACCCTAAGTCATACACTTCCCTTCCTCTTTTCTTTGAATTTTCTTCTTCTTCTTTTTTTTTTTTTTTTTTTTTTTTTTGGAGAGTCAGGATCTTGCTATGTTGTGCAGGCTGGTCTTCAACTCCTGGACTCAAGTGATCCTCCCACCTTAGCCTCCCAATGTGCCGGTATTATATGCCTGAACCACTGTACCTGACCACCTCCCTGTTTTCTAACAGAACCTCAATGTTATTGAGGGGTCCACCCAACCTCTATTGAGCCATCTGCCTCAGGGGAGACCGGCTGAATCCCTAGTCTGAGTGGGTGATTCCTGAGTGCCCTATGCCTGAGCACTACGGGGTTCTAAACTTCAATTCTTCCAAATCTTACTCCTTGTCAGTGATCAGCTTAAGCATGAATATATGGGGAAATTCTGGCTAATGAGATGTGAGGAAAAGTCTTCTGGGAATGATTTGTAGAAAGGTCTTCTTTTTCTCTTTTCTTTTCTTTTCTTTCGAGACAGAGTCTAGCTCTGTCGCCCAGGCTGGAGTGCAGTGGCATGATCTCAGTTCACTGCAACCTCCACCTCCCCAGTTCAAGAGATTCTCCTGCCTCAGCCTCCTGGGTAGCTGTGATTACAGGTGCCCACCACCACATCCAGCTAATTTTTGTATTTGTAGTAGAGATGGGGTTTCAGTGTGTTGGCCAGGCTGGTCTTGAATTCCTGACCTCATGATCTGCCCACCTTGGCCTCCCAAAGTGCTGGACTGCAAGCATGAGCCACTCCACCCGGCCAGGTCTTCTTTTTCTTATATTAATATAGCTACTCTAGCTTTCTTATGATTATCACTTTTTTAAAAATTGTTTTTGGTTTTTATTTTTAGCTTTATGTAGGTATAATTTACATATGATATACCAATTTAAGCATACAGTTTGATGAGTTTTGACAAATGTAAGCAGTCATATAACCACCACCACAATTACGATAAGGAATATTTCTATTTCCTCCAAAAGTTCTCTGTGCCGTTTTGTAGTCAGTTTCCTCCCTCCGCACCCAGTCCCTGGCAACATCTGATCTGCTTTCTATTACGATAATTTTGCCTCTTCTAAAATTTCATATGAACTGGATCCTCCAGATATATGGCTTTTTTCACACAGCATAACGCTCTCGAGATTCACCTACATGGTTGCCTGTGTCAGTGAATTGTTCCTTTCTGGTGCTGAATAGTATTCCATTGTGTAGTTACAACACATTTGCTTATCCACTCACCAGGTGAGGCATGTTTGGGTTATTTCCAGTTTAGCCTATTATAAATAAAGGTATTATGAACACATATGAGCAAGTTTTTGTGCAGACATATATTTTCATTTCTCTTAGGAATAAACCTGGGAGTGGAATTGTTGAATCATAGGGCAGGTTTATGTTTAAGTTTTCAAGGAACCCCCCAACTATTTTCTAATAGTTTGGAATATATTGTTTGGCATTTCCACCACAAACATATGAGAGTTTCAGTTCTTCTGCAACCTTGTCAATACTTCGTATTGTCAGACATTTTAAATTTAAGCTATCCTAATGAGTGTATAATTATGGTTTTTATTTGCATTTCCCTAGTGACTAATTATGTGGAATATCTTTTCATGTGTCTTTTTGCCATATATATATCTTCTTTGGTGAAATATCTATTAATATATATTGCCTATTTTTAAATTGGATTGCTCTTATTAATGAGTTATAAGAATTCATTATATATTTTAAATATAAATCTCATCACATACATGTTTTGCAGATTTTTTTCAGATTCGTGTTTGTATAGTATTTTTTTTTATTCTTTTACCTTTACCTATCTGTCACTTTATAATTAAAATGCAGTTTTAGTAGACAATACACAATATATAGTTGGGTTTTGCTTTCTTTTTTTTTTTTTTTTTTTGACACGGAGTCTCGCTCTGTTGCCCAGGCTGGAGTGCAGTGGCCCCATCTCGACTCACTGCAAGCTCTGCCTCCCGGGTTCACGCCATTCTCCTGCCTCAGCCTCCCAAGTAGCTGGGACTACAGGCACCTACCACCATGCCTGACTAATTTTTTGTATTTTTAGTAGAGACGGGGTTTCACCGTGTTAGCCAGGATGGTCTGGATCTCCTGACTTCGTGATCCGCCCACCTCGACCTCCCAAAGTGCTGGGATTACAGGCGTGAGCCACCGCGCCTGGCCGGGTTTTGCTTTCTTACCCTTCCTGACAATCTCTAACTTACAGTTGAGGCATTCGAAACATTTACATTTAATGTGATTTCTTTTCTTTCTTTCTTTCTTTCTTTTTTTTTTTTTTTTTTGTAGAGACCGGTTTTTGCCATGATGACCAGATTGGTCTGAAACTCCTGGCCTCAAGTGATCTGCCTGCCTCAGCCTCCCAAATTTCTGGGATTACGAGCATGAGCCATCGCATTCAGCCTAATGTAATTTCAATATGGTTGAGTGTTTAACTCTATGATACTAATTTTTTTTTTTTTTTTTTGAGATGGAGTCTCCCTCTGTAGCCCAGGCTGGAGTGCAGTGGCGCGATCTTGACTCACTGCAACCTCCGCCTCCCAGGTTCAAGTGATTCTCCTGCCTCAGCCTCCCAAGTAGCTGGGAATACAGGTATGTGCCACCATGCCCAGCTAATTTTTTTTGTATTTTTACCAGTAACGGGTTTTCACCATGTTGGCCAGGCTGGTCTCGAACTCCTGACCTCAAGGGATCCACCCACCTCGACCTCCCAAAGTGCTAGGATTACAGGCATGAGCCACTGCACCCAACCGATACTGATATTTTTAAAGTTTATTTTAATTTTATTTATTTTATTTTTATTTGTTTTTACAGACGAGGTCTTGCTCTGTCACCAAGGCTGGAGTGCAGTGGTGCAGTCATAGATCACTGCAGCCTGGAATTCCTGGTCTCAAATGATCTTCCCACCTCAGCCTCCTGAATAGGTGGGACTACAGGCACACACCACTGTACCCAGCTAATTTTTTAATTTTCTTGTAGAGGCAAGGTTTTGCCATGTTTCCCAAGCTGATCTCAAACTCCTGGGCTCAAGCAATGCTCCTGCCTCAGCCTCCTGAAGTTCTGGAATGAGCAACTATGTCCAGCTGATCCTACTATTTGTCTTGTTTCTTTTTTTCTTTTTCTGCCTTTTTTTTGGATTGTGTTGTTTTGTTTTTTAGTGTTTCATTTTATCTCTTATTTTAGCTTTTAGCTATATTTCTTTGCTATTCTTTCTAAAAGTGGGTTCTAGGCCAGGCATGGTGGCTCATATCTGTAATCCCAGTACTCTGAGATGCTGAGGCAGGCAGATCACTTGAGGCCAGGAGTTCGAGACCACCCTGGCCAACATGGCAAAACCCCATCTCAACTAAAAATACAAAAAATTAACCGGGCATGGTGGCATATGCCTGTTATCCAAGATACTTGGGTGGCTGAGGCAGGAGAATCACTTGAACCCAGGAGGCAGAGGTTGCAGTGAGCCGAGATCATGCCACTGAACTCCAATCTAGGTAACAGAGCAAGAGTCTGTCTCAAAAAAAAAAAAAAAAAAAAAAAAAGGTGGGTTCCCTGCTTACAATCTGCATCTTTAACTTGTGGTGTACCTGTACATCATATTATACCGGTCATGTATAATGTGAGAGCCTTTCTTTTTTTATTTTTTCTTTTTGAGATGGAGTCTCACTCTGTCGCTCAGGCTGGAGTGCAGTGGTGCGATCTCAGCTCAATGCAACCTTTGCCTCCCGGGTTCAAGCGATTCTCCTGCCTTAGCCTCCTGAGTATCTGGGACTACAGGTATGCACCACCACACCCGGCTAATATTTGTATTTTTAAATTAGAGACGGGGTTTCACTGTATTGGCCAGGCTAATCTCGAAATCCTGACCTTGTGATCAGCCTGACTTGGCCTCCCAAAGTGCTGGGATTACAGGCATGAGCCACCACGCCTGGCCAACATTCTACTTTCATTTCCTCTTCCCCTCCTTTGTTGCTGTTGTTTTCATTCATTTTTCTTCTACAGATGTTGTAAATATCAGACTACATTAGTGTTATTTTTGTTTTAAATAGTCATTTCTCTTTTTTAAAAATTTCAAAATAAGAAAATAATATCTGTTATATAAATCCACATGCTTACATTTCCAGAGCCCTTTATTTCTTTGTATAAAGAAAGTATCAAATTTCACCTGGTACCGTTTTCCTTCCACTTGAAGGACTTCCTTAATATTTCTTATAGTGCATTTGCTGGTGATAAATTCTCTCAGCTATTATTTACCTGAACATGTCTTTATTTTGTCTTTATTTTTGAAGGATACATTTCCCCTGGATATAGAATTCTAGTTTATAAGGTTTACTTTTCTTCCAGCACTTTATAGATGTCATTTCCATTGTCTTCTGGCTTACAGTGTTTTTGACAGGAAGTCAGCCATCACTACTATTTTTGTTCTCCTGTATACAACGTGTCCCTTTCTCTAGGTACTTTAAAGATTTCCTCCTTTTTGCTGGTTTTCAGCAATTTTATTATGATGCATTTTGCTGTGATTTTATTTGTGTATATCCTGTCTGGGGTTTATTAAAAACTCAAGATCTGTGGTATAAAATTTTCATCAAATTTTGAAAAAATTGGCAATTACTTCAAAAAAAATTTTTTTGCCTCCACTACCCTTTTTTCTTCCTGAGACATCAATTATATGTATGTAAGTCTCTTGATATTATCCCATAAGTTACTGTGGTTCTGTTCATTGTTTTTCAGACTGTTTCCTGTTTGTGCTTCACTTTGGATAGGTGTTATTGCTGTCTTTGAGTTCATTGATCTTTTATTCTGCAGTGTTGATTATGCTGTTAAGTCCATCAGTGAATTTTTCATTTCAGATATTGTATTGTCAGAACTAGAGGTTCCATTTCATTATTTTTACAGTTTCCATTTATGTCTCTCTCATCCTTATATTTTACCTTGAACTCTTAAACATATTTATAATAGCTGTTTAAATTATTTTTTAGAAAATTCCATCATGATTGTCACTTTTAAGTCTGTTTCCATTGATTTTTCTTCTCATATGGGTCACATTTTTTCTGCTTCTTTACATATTTTGGTATCTATTGTATGCTAGGCATTATGACTATTATACTATTGAGTATCTAGATTTTGCTGTCTTCCTTTAAAGAGTGATGAGCTTTGCATGGGTAGTTACCTTCATATCAGCTTAATTATTTTGAGGATTGTTTTTAAGCTTTGTTAAGGGAGATAGCCTTTACTCTAGGGCTGTATAATCTTACTACTAAGGCATGATCTTTCTGGGGACTCTACTGAATGCTCAGGTGTTCAGTGATAACTCTCCACCTTAGCTGACTGGAATACTAACAGTTATCATTCCTGTGTGAACACTGGGAATTGTTCAGTTTACAGATCTTCAACGATTATTTTATTGCCAGTCCTTGTGCAGTTTTAATCCAAGTCTATGCAACTTAGTATTCATCCAAAGATTTACAGGTTCTCTTTATGCATATTTCTGGGGGTTCTTTCCCTGTGTAGCTTTCTCCTTTCCAGTATCCTCCCCACAACATTCCAACCTCTACCTCCCTAAACTCAGATCTCAATCTCCCAAACTCAGAGAGCCTGCTGTGCTCTGCTTGGGATGTCCTAGTGCTCTGTGGTCCAGAAAGTACCCCCAGGAAGGGAGTTGGGCAAATATAGGGCTCATCTAATCTGTTTCCCTTCTCTCAGGGATTACCCTGTAATGCCTGTGTACGATGTTGGAAAACAGTTGTTTCATATATTTTTTCCAGTTTTCTGGTTGCTTTGGCAGGAGGGCAAGTTTGATACCAGCTACTCTTTCATGGTCAGAAATGGAAGAGTCTTTTTTTTGGAAACGGAGTTTTGCTCTTGTTGCCCAGGCTGGAGTGCAGTGGCGTGATCTCGGCTCACCGCAACGTCCGCCTCCCGGGTTCAAGTGATTCTCCTGCCTCAGCCTCCCACGTAGCTGGGATAGTTCAATCCCAGGCTCCCCCTGACTTCAAAATTACACTGTTATTTAGTCTTCCTAATGTAGATGGTCTGTGGATTTAATCTAGATTATAGGTTTTTTTACTTAAAAGAACCCATTGATTAATGAAAAAAGTACCTTACAGGACACCTGAATGTTTGCCCAGACTTAGGGAAAAAGAAAGTTATAATCTGAATCCTGCATCCTAACTTTCTGCCTACCTATTTCCAAGAAGAAAGATGTGTGTGCTGCCTGCTAGGGTAGCTAGCTTAATCATAATAAAGAATACCTGAACGGGAAAGCTAAGCAAGCAACTGAGAATTAGAGTTAGGTCTCCAGAAACATCAGAAGTGCAGCAATGTCAAAATATACAGCCTGGGAGTGTCACCAGGGCCACCTGAGCTGAAGGAAGTTTTCAAGTCAGTCAGTGACACAGGAGATGCGAAACAACAGTGGCTGGGGAGAAGCCCCCAAGACCCATGTCATGATCCTATTATGGTCAAGAACCTGAAGTTTGTTAGTTTAGAGATGCTAGAAAGAGCCCATGGTCTCTAAGTCTTACCCTGTGTCTACCAGGAATGCCAAGACAAGAGCGAAACTCTGTCTCAAAAAAAAAAAAAAAGGAATGCCAAAGTCAGTTTTTTTGAGACGGAGTCTCGCTGTGTCACCCAGGCTGGAATGCAGTGGCGCAATCTCAGCTCACTGCAACCTCTGCCTCCTGGGTTCAAGCGATTCTCCCACCTCAGCCTCCTTAGTAGCTGGGATTACAGGTGCCCGCCACCACACCCAGCTAATTTTTATATTTTTAGTAGAGATGGGGTTTCACCGTGTTGGCCAGGCTGGTCTCAAACTCCTGACCTCATCCACCCGCCTCGGCCTCCCAAAGTGCTGGGATTACAAGCATGAGCCACCGTGCCTGGCCCAAAGTTATAGTTTTAAGACTTGGGGAGATATAAAAAATGGAACACATTGTGGTGGCATACAAACACAATAAATCTCCTAGTAAATTCTTACCCTAGCCACTTAGTGTAAGTGAAGTTTCTGAGGGCTATTATCAGTGGGGAGGAAAGGAGAGAGGGAACTCGGGAGCAAGGAAAGAAGACGGGGACTGCTGAGGTGGGCAAAATGCCCGGCGCTGGAGCTCTATGAGGCAAACATCACCACTGCATCCTTTTGCAATGTTCAGCTCTAGAACAGGCATAAGGCTAAAAGGGCACATTTCTGTTCCTAACTGGCACCTTTCCCATAGAAGTTAGACAATAACTGGAGTGAGTGATAAGTGAAAACATTACCAACCAAGAAGAGGGCACCTGGAGGGTGTGTGTGTGTGTGTGTGTGTGTGTGTGTGTGTGTGTGTTGAAGGGGTGGTGAGAAGGAAGGAGACTCACCCTTCTCTCCTCCAATCCCAGAAACCTGAAAATGACAATAATTTGGGTAGAACTGCCTTCAGAAGTAGGAGTAGACAAGAGAAATCTAGGTATGACTGATGAGTAAAAAGAGCAACAAAAAGTGCATTAGCCATAAATGAGAACATGGAAAAATGGAAACAGTGAATTTGTGTGGGGGGGAGGGGAGATGATTATAGATGGTTTTTTAAAAGTCTGTTATTCCAATAAATAGTTTTTTAAAAAAGGACATCCTGTGTTTGAAAGTCAGGATTCTGTCTGGATATTCCTGAGTCTCCCATTCCAGGAATGTAACTCCCTGCCCTACAGGATGGCAGCACTTTAAATTAATCCTAAGAACAAAGAAGGGAGACTTTGCCACATTTTAATGGCCTCCAGCTGCAGACCAGCCCCTCCCCAGCCTTGGCCTTAGCCGCACCCTCTGAGTGTTCTGCTTTGGTGCTCCCCGAGGTTTGGCTGCCTCTGAGATCAACCCCCTGGAAAATGTTACGGCTGGTGTCACCATTTGCAGAAACCATCCAGCCTCTGGTATGAGGAGTCTTGCTGGCTTTGCTCTTCCCGGGTTCTCCTGTGATGAGAAACCCACGCAGCTTTGATTCAGGGCCATCTCTCTTCTCAGCAGCTGTAGGGTCAGCAGAGAGACTTTGCTGAGAGAGACTCTGCTAAGTTATGACCTGGGCTGGTTGGTCCAGAAATCTGAAGGCCTGACAGTCCCATCCACTGGCCCATCCAGCACAGATGAAATGATGCAACATATAGCTCCCTCCAGCTTCACTTTCACAACATCTCATAGGGAAGGTACAGCCAGCAAAACCCATTTCATAAATTACCAGATTCAAAGGTCACTCCCATGTTCTCCCAGCAAGGAGAATCTAGATTCTTAAATTATTTCCTATATTACAAACGATGAAGTTTTTAAATTTAAAAAATTAAATGGAATGGTATTGTGGTTCTTCAAAAAATGAAAATAAAATTACCCTATTATCTGGTAATTCCATTCTGTTTTATTTACATCATATTTACATTGTATAATTCCACTTCTGGATCTATACCTGAAAGATTTGAAATTGAAAGCAGGTACTTATACAGATATTTGTATTCCTATGTCATAGCATTACAATAGTTAAAAGATGAGAACAACTCAAGTATCCATCAATGGATGAGTAAACAAAATGTGATATATATACACACACACAATGGAATATTATTCAGCCTTAAAAGGGAATGAAATTCTGATACATGCTATAACATAGATGAACCTTGAAGACATGCTACATGAAATAAACCAAACACAAAAGGACAAATGCTGTATGATTTTACTTCTATGAGGTACCCAGAACAGTTAAATGTATAGGGACAGAAAGTAAATAGTGGCTACCAGGGGCTGGGGAGAGCAGAAGGATCAAGGAGTTAGAGCGTCAGTTTAGGATGATGAAAAAGTTCGGCCAGGTGCAGTGGCTCAAGCCTGTAATCCCAGCATTTCGGGAGGCCGAGGCGGGCAGATCACGAGGTCAGGAGATTGAGACCATCCTGGCTAACACGGTGAAACCCCCGTGTCTACTAAAAATACAAAAAATTAGCCAGGCGTGGCAGCGGGCGCCTGTAGTTCCAGCTACTTGGGAGGCTGAGGCAGGAGAATGGCGTGAACCCGGGAGGTGGAGCTTGCAGTGAGCCGAGATCGCGCCACTGCACTCCAGCCTGGGCGACAGAGCCAGATTCCGTCTCAAAAAAAAAAAAAAAAAATTTCTAGCAAAAGGTATGGTGTTGGTTGCACAACCGCATGAATGTATGTCACTAAGTTGTCCACTTAAAAATTGTTAAAATGGTAAGTTTATGTTATGCATATTTTACCATAATAAAAAATGAAATGTAGTAAGTAACTAACTCATTCTGTCTGGAAGTATTTATGGAGAATTTATTCGCCAGCACTGAACTAGACAGAACACAAAAGAGAGTAAACAATCTGACTGCCCCAGGGAGGTTGCCATCCAAGGTGCTAAATATACAATCTTGCCAAACTGCCCTCATTTCTTCCTAGACCCTGTCAAGAGAATCCATGGATAAAAAATCCATTGATTTCTGCAAGATTTATTTTTAGCCTTGGTCCCCTCTACTCAGTCCCTTTTCCCATGCTTACGCACATCTATATGTACCCATATGAACACTTGTAACACTGTGATATAGTCACTGGCCTGTATATTCATCTCCTCTTCTTGACTCTCATCTTCCTAATTCACCTGTCCCTAGACTCTAACACCGTGACTGCTGTGCTCCTGAGTCAGGTAGAGAATGCGGGATGGAGCTTGCCACTCGAAGTGTGGTTTGAGGACCAGCAGCAGCAGCGTCCCTCAGGAGCTTATTAGCAATGCTGACTTTGACCCACTCCAGACCTATTTAATCAAGGTCTGCACGCTAACTGGATCCCCAGCTGACCTGTATGCACATTCCGATTTCAAAGCCTTGGGTTAGAGGCTAATACAGGTAGATGGTGAGCTTGTGTTTGGGCGTGTGAGTTCACACATGCTTTTTATGGAGTCTGACCTCCCCAAGAGGAGGCCCTAAATGGTATCCTCTGAAAACATCCTCTCTGATCACTCACTCTGGCTCTAGGCTCGCCCACAGCTTTGTTCCAAAACGGTGGCTAAACTGGGCTTATGTAAGAAGTAGAGGAAAATGAGCCACAGTAAAGAGAGGATCCCAGCCTGCCTGGGTGGGGCAATGGAACCATTGCTACTTCCTCAGATCAAATCTTATTACCACAGCAATATTTTCATGGCAAAATCCCTTGCAGAGTAGATTTCTAAATTCCAGCTTACTTCTTCTTTCAAAAACGAACATCAAAGATTCATATGATTTTGAAGGCACGCAGTTAACAAACATTTGTTAAGCTTCTACTTTAGTTGCTTTCACAGAAGAGCAAGCCAAAGGCCGAGTGAGTTTGGAGATGCCTGCTGTGATTTGCCCTCTAGGATCAGGGCTAGACCAAAACTGTGAGCATCCTGGAAGGCTAACAACTTGGTGCCCCTTAAAATGGATTTTTTTTTTTTTCTGAGACAGAGTCTCCCTCTGTCACACAGGCTGGAGTGCAGTGGGGTGATCTCAGCTCACAGCAACCTCTGCCTTCTTTGTTCAAGCAATCCTCCTGCCTCAGCCTCCGGAGTAGCTGGGACTACAGGCATATGCCATTATTCTCAGCTAATTTTCATATTTTTAGTAGAAATGAGGTCTCTCTATGTTGGCCAGGATGATCTCGAACTCCTGAGATCAAGTGATCCACCCGCCTTGGCCTCCCAAAGTGCTGAGATTAGAGGCGTGAGCCACTGCGCTCAGCCTCAAATGGATATTTTTGAAATATTTGTTCAACATGTATTTAGTGACTTCAGAAATAAACTGATTTTCTATTAATAAAAGTTCTATGTTGAAACAGATTATTAATTTATTCCCAGCAGCCAAAACAGAGTCCGGGTACTGATAAAACTTGGCAAAATATTTTTCCCTTTTCTGATGTTCTTATTCTTGCTTCAGCTTTCCTTTGCAATTTTCTAAACAAGGCAACTTAATGATAGGAGTATGAAAGGACTTAAAATGTAAGTAAAAATAATTAGATTACTTGATCTCAGTAAGTAGCACTATTGGGGTTCAAAACCCTATTAGGTTTCAAAACTTATGCAATTGTGATTTCCAGTTTCAGGGTATGGTTGCATCAAGCCTCTTACACATGGACATGGTACATCTGCATGTATTCCACAAGGATAGATCAACTCTGGAAGAGTGGTTTTAAATTGACCACTTACAGGTGCTGTGTCCTGGGAGAGAAACCAATGTTCACATGACTGGGGGGAATTAAGTGGAGTCATTCAGATTTATATCCATGGTGTTCTGGCACCCTGGGCAGTTGTTTGTCTGGATCCTCTTAATCCAGCTTGGACTGAAATTCAGATGCATCAAGGCATATCTGGAGGATTAAAGGGGCAGGCCACCAGAGACTACTTACATGGAGGGCCAAGAAGAGTTGGAGAAGAGGCTATTGGAAAAGGAGTCATCCTAAAGAAAGAGTCAGATGCAGAAACTTGTCCCAGTACCTCTTGTTCTCTAGTGAGAGTTCTTCCTGCCCCAGGACAACAGTAGGGGCTGCTGGAAAATTTCCTGACCCCCTCCCCTTCCCCTTATCCCTGCAGAACATTTGAGTTGACCCAAAATGGTGGCTCCAGCACTGAGCACTAGTTCCATCTTCCCGGTTGCAGGCACCAGCAGTAAGCCATGATGGGACTGATGGAAACCAAAGAAGGAGGGGAGGGGAAAGGAGGACCACAGGGCAGCTGAAAGGGCTTGTTCATGAGCATGCACAAATCTTCCTAGGGTCTTAAGTAGGAGAGATTGAGGCTGACTTGGGCACCAGCAACAGTGGTCTGAGGGTGATTCCGTTTATAATTTAAAGCTTGTTTGTTCTGATAGAATAAGCAATAAGCCAGGAGTCATGACCTCTGCTCTTTCCTAGTTGGGTGACTGTTGGCAAGCCAGCGACCTCTGAGCATTTGTTTCTTCATTTATAAAACAGAGCATTAATAACTGCCTAACCTCCCTGTATTCAGCCATTCTTGCATCGCTATAAAGAAATACCTGAGATTGGGTAAGTTATAAAGAAAAGAGGTTTAATTGACTCATGTCATGGTTCTGCAGCCTGTACAGAAAGCCCTGGGGCATCTGCTTCTAGGGAGGCCTCAGGTAGCTTTTACTCATGGCAGAAGGAAGCTTGTGTGACTTGTGGCCAAAGCAGGAGCAAGAGAGAGAGTTGAGGGGAGGTGCCACACACTCTCTAACAGCCAGATCTCATGTGAACTGAGTGAGAGCTCATTTATCACCAACGGGATGGCCGAAACCATTCATGAGAAATCCACCCCCATGACCCACACACTTCCCACCAGGCCCCACCTCCAACATTGGGGATTACATTTCAACATGGGATTTGGGTGGGGACAAATATCCAAATTACATCATGAGAGTATTGAGTTTCATGTGATATAAAGTATTTGAAAGCGTTTTGTTAACTATAAGTGAAAGTAAGGTGTTATTATTTTAGCCTGAAGAAATGTCAACTCCCAAGGTCAGAGCTAGGCGAAAGGGGCTGTAGACAAAGATGAGAGTGACAACTAGGAAGCTCCTATTAGAGACTTTACATTTGTTCCAAGAGAGCTAATAAACAATGTGGCAACAGGTGATTTGCACAGCAGCATGAGTGAACGGTGCCCCGCTGGAGCTGTGAAACATGGCAGCTCAGGTTCTTTGGACCCCAAGTTTCTTCATATTGTACTAAAACTTGATTGTGTGTTTGAATCACCTATACTAGAACACACTGTGTGGGACTATCAGTGGGGGTATCTGTTGTGGAGAAAGAATCTAAGGAAGGCTTAGAAATGATGGGCATAGTCTGCGAGTAGATACATCCACCTCCATATTACCCTGAGTGGTGGCAGAAAAAAATTTAACCTAAGCTCTCCCAGACCATCATGTCATATCCTGTCTAGAAGGAGGCTTTCCCAGGCAGGGAGGAAACCCACTCAGCATTCTGAAGTTTATTGCCATGATGTCATAGTCTTGGGATTTTCAATAATAGACAAGCAACTCACCAAGAAACACAGGTTATGGCATGCAGTGCTCCAACAGGTTCTGGCAATGCAAACCAATGTGGAGCCTTGGGTATCAGAAAGGCCTCTGTGGGAAATTAAAATGGCCTTGGTTATGTTAGAAACTGCTGTTAGCCTCACCCTGGTGGATCCTATCACAATGGAAATTTGGAATGTTTTCCCAGCCTAAATGTGGTGTGCTTTCCTTGGAAAGGAATACTACAGAATGCTGTGCTGATCACATTTAGACAAAAAGCATTGCAGATATTTCCTTGTTCCATACAGAAAGCCTTAGCAGTTAAATCTGAAAATGCAGTCTTGGCAGGCACTGCTGGGGTTCCTGGAAAGCCATTCAGTGCAGACACCTGGGACCAGATCCTAGGAGTAGCAGCGAGGTATTCCCTTATTCTGCTGGCCAGTGACAGCTGCTTTGTGGTTCATCCCCCAGGGTCCTAAATGGTTCAGTTTTAATCAAACAATCCTCAGTCATCAAAGTTCCTTTAAGCCCTACATTTCTGAGTCTGTCATCAAATATTCATTGAGCAACTAAGTAATCAAGGCACAATCCTTGGTACTGTAGAATGGATATGGTTCCTTCTTCCCATCCCCCTGTCATCCCCAGAGCTTATCTATTTGAAAGGTCAGTGAAAAAGCTAGGTAACTATATTCTCATTTATTTACCATCTTCTGTTAACACATTGCAAGCACATTATTTTTCCAGTTAACTGAAGCTTATTCCATTGAAGTGCCAAGATTTTATTTGAATCTGTTTTGATGGAAATATTTTCAAAATGTACTAAACAGCTGTTTTCTTCCAGTGATTGTACAGAACATTGTTACCTTGAATATTCTAGGGTTACTATTTATTTGCAACAATTTATTCAAAAAGTATTTATTGAGTGACTGTTATTGGTTGGGTACTCCTAACTACTAGGAAAACAGTGGTGAAGATTATATAAATCCTGCCCTCCAGGAGCTTCCAGGTAATGAAGGAGACAGAGAAATTAGCAGGCAATTGTCCTATGGCAAACCACTGCCATGATAGGGTAAACAGAGAGGAACATTTTCTATAAAACCTCCAGGTCAGAAAATGACTCCAAAGGGGTGCCCTGCAGGATGAGGACTGGAGTACCAGTAAAAATTAGTTGAAATGAGAATGAGGAAGTTGAAGGGAATACTCTGGAAAGAGGGAATTGTAAAAGCAGACATCGGCAGGCAACATGGAGCTTGAGGGAAAATGCAGAGAAGACTAGGGCAGGGTGCAGGGTTGTGGGTGTCCTGTGGCGGTTTGTGCAGGGCAGTTGGTGCAGACACGGCTTGGGGAAGGTGACATTAACAGAGCATGGACATGAAGAGCCTTCTGTGCCATTGGATAAAAATTGGATCTTCATCTTCTTTCCACCTGTGTACAGTGCAATTTAATTAATCAATGAACAAATATTAATTGGCCACCTACCAAATGCCACATGATAATAATTGCTAACATTGAGGGCTTACTATATGCTAGGCATTATACTATGCACTTGCATGGATTAATTTATGTAATCCTTGTGAAGTAGGGATTAATCTTATCCCTATTCTATGAAAGAGGAAATTGAGGCTCCAAGAACTTAGGCAGCTTGCCCACAGTCACACAGCTCATCTGGGGCATATTGTGCTATGTGGCACAGGTGATGAGTATGTGAGTGAGATCCTTGTAGAAGTACATGGCATTTTTATGGCCTAGCCTCAGAAATCACAAACCATAATTTCTACCATACTCTATTGGTCAAAGAAATCACAAAGATCCGCCCAAGTTTACAAGGAGAGGTCATTTGACCTCACCACTCCACAGGAGAAGTGTCAATGTCACATTGTCAGAAGAGCTTGAGGGATGGGAGATACTGTGGCTGCCATCTTTGGAAAATGCAATCTGCCTTAGGATACCTTAAGAAAAGTCCCTGGATTGAGGGCTTGATCCACTGCCTGCCTGGCACCACTGTGCCATGTACAAACTACAGAAACATGCAGCACCCTTGCTACCAGCAGTTTGGCTTTGGGAAATCCCTGGCTGAGTAAATTATAGAGATAGAGGGTGTTTTCTGGATCTCCATACTGTACTTCCTGGAATCATTTTTCCTTTGTATTGCCAAGGTCTTAGCACCAACACTGGTGTGGCAGGGTACACAGTTAGTATTAATTCCAATGATGTTGATGTCTTTAGTCTACCAAGCAGTGGGGATAGCTGCCAGTGGGGGTGGCAGTAGTTGTAATGTTTGTTCATGAAAGTTGAAAACATCTGGCTGGGCACAGTGTCTCATGCCTGTAATCCTAGCACTTTGGGAGGCCGAGATGGGCAGATCACCTGAGGTTGGGAGTTTGACACCAGCCTGGCCAACATGGTGAAACCCCATTTCTACTAAAAATACAAAAATTAGCCAGGCGTGGTGGCACGTGCCTGTAATCCCAGCCACTGGGGAGGCTGAGGCAGGAGAATCACTTGAACCTGGGAGGCAGAGGTTGCAGTGAGCTGAGGTTGCGCCATTGTACTCCAGCCTTGGTGACAAGAGTGAAACTCCATCTCAAAAAAAAAAAAAGAAAGAAAGTTGAATACATCTGAGCCACCACTTCTCTCTGGCAGACAGCAGTAGGTTGTTTCACTGAGAATTATGAACAAGATAGTTATCCCTGGAGAGCTTATCTAGGAAGGGGTATCCTGGACAGGGCTGAAATTTCTGCTAGTAAAATGATTGTAGGCTCAATGTATCCAAGAGACTTCATTAGCTCTCCTCATTTGCTGGTATTCCAGCAGCCAAGATACAGAGAGAGGAAGTTTAAAAAAAAAAAAAACAGGAATTACTGGATGACCAGATCCATTTTATTACAGTGGGTAGTATAGGGATGAAATAGCAGGAGGGGAGGTTGAATAAGCAAGTTGCAGAGGGCCCAGAACATCAAGCTAAGGAGTTTCTTTTTGTTTTGTTTTTTGAGACAGGGTCTCACTCTGTCACCCACGCTGGAGTGCAGTGGCACAGTCATGGTTCACTGCAGCCTTGACTTCCCAGGCTTGAGTGATCCTCCTGCTTTAGCCTCCTGAGTAGCTGAGACCACAGGTGTGTGCCACAATATCCGGCTAATTTTTAAATTTTTTATAGAGACTGGGTCCCACTGTGTATAGAGACTGGGTCCCACTGTGTTGTCCAGGCTAGTCTTGAACTCCTGGCCTCAAACAATACTCCCACTTCAGCCCTGCAGAGTGCTGGAATTATGGATGTGAGCCACTGCGCCCAGTCAGGAGTTTCTTGCTTAGTGACTTCCAAGCTTTTTTTTTTTTTTTTTTTTTTTTGAGATGGAGTCCTTCTGTTACCCAAGCTGGAGTGCAGTGGTGTGATCTTGGCTCACTGCAACCTCCGCCTCCTTGGTTCAAGTGATTCTCATGCCTCAGCCTCCCGAGTAGCTGGGATTACAGGCTCATGCCACCATAGCCGACTAATTTTTGTATTTTTAGTAGAGATGAGATTTTGCCATGTTGGCCGGCTGGTCTCAAAGTCCTGACTTCAGGTATCCACCTGCCTCTGCCTCCCAGAGTGCTAGGATTACAGGAAGGAGGAACCACGCCTGGCCTTCTTCCAAGCATTTTTGATCATGTGACCCATTAGTATGAATTTTTTTTTAGCATTTTTCTGTCAAAATGAATACTTATCACTGCTGTACTAATATATGATGTACATCCTAAAACCTATTCAAGAATAGAAATTTAGCCAGATGAAGACAAATAATTATTAAATATAATTCTTTTTTTGGTACCCCAATAGATTTGTGTGCACACACCTGTGTTGGCAGCCACTGACTCAGACAACAGAAAAGGAGAGCCATGCTCTCAGAATAGGTGTGCTTAAGGTGGCATAGAAGGAACTGTAAGCCGGTAGAGTTTCAATGGAGTTCTTGATAGCTCTAGATCTGGGCAAGCACTGGCTCTCTCTGTGGTTTTATTACCAAGAGAATCTATTATTCAAGTGTGAACTCACCTGGATCCCTCCTCATTTTTCACATCTTTCTCCTTTCCCAGCTGTTCAGGGTTGGAATACTCATTGCATTGCTCCATATACTGAACAAATTGCACCGAGATCCGTAGACCTGCAACACTTCAAATAAAGGAAAATCATGTCTCATTCTGTCAAAGCTTTTTCTTGATCCAGCCTGAAAAGATATCCAGTTTGTCTTCTTCTTTTACCATGTGCTACAGCTTCTCTCTCATCACCAAAATCTTGATAGCTCCCTTTCTCTGGCGGCTTGTGTTGGAAACTCATGAATCACCCGATGGGCCAATACTGCTGCTCTGCGTAGGAGAATGTCTGAGAATATTGTGTAATATGCATTCAGCAGTGTGAATACGCACAGCTGTTGAACGTTAATTCTCTCGGCAAGCTTAAAAACACAAGTGCCAGTGCGTATTGAAGTTACAGTTCTGGCTGTTTGGTCCTTTTGTTTGTCCACAGTTGGTTGGAGAACATGGGCTTCCACTTTCCACCTGGTCCTGTGAAGGCTATCAGCCTATGCCCTTCTACTACTGCTACCTTAGTGGATGTGGCCCATTTCTTCACCTGCCAAGGTCAAGGACCTAGGTTCAACTAGTTATTCTAAGCCTAACAGGGGCAGGGAGTTGATAAGGACAGCAATGACTAAGCCAGAGCTTTGCTGCGACATTAGGGCAAGGCCAGCAGGGTGAGCAAGTGAGATGCTCAGGGCACAAAATGTAAGGAGGCCCTCATTCTCAGGGTCACACAAGTGCAGGGCCGGCACTTGCAAGTGATGCCTCCTTCAATTTTGCCCACTAGGCACCTCACTTGTCTCTCCCTAGTCCTGGCTTTCTTAAACCCCTTTGCCTGTCTGGATTGACTTAGCAACCAGGATTGAGCTTTCGGGATACGGGGAGAATGATAATTATTACCAGGGTTTAAGCTGAATCTCATCTTGTCTAAGCATACCCTAGATAGGGAGGTTTTCTCATTATTTCGGAAGGGCTGAGTCCAGATGGAGTTGGGAATACAGTCAGTGGTGATTCAGAGTTTTAGAAGTCTCGGCCAGGTGCGGTGGCTCACGCCTGTAACACCAGGACTCTGGGATGCCGAGGTGGGTGGATCACCTGAGGTCAGGAGTTCGAGATAAGCCTGACCAACATAATGCAACCCCATCTCTACTAAAAATACAAAAATTAGCTGGGTGTGGTGACAGGCGCCTGTAATCCCAGCTACTTGGGAGGCTGAGGCAGGAGAATCACTTGAACCCAGGAGGCAGAGGTTGCAGTGAGCCAAGATCGCACCATTGCTCTCCAGCCTAGGCAACAAGAACGGAACTCCGTTTCAAAAAAAAAAAAAAAAAAAAAAAGCAGTCTCTATCTGAGGCTAATGAAATATCGAGGTTAGGGGAAGATAAATAATTCCCGTCTCTTGCATATTCACACATGTCACCACAGCCCTTGGCAAGTGGACAGTAGCGGTCCCTCTGGTTACTGAGAACATTTGAATCATATGCCTGGGTCCTGTTGGTTTACGGAGCCCAAGCCTTTTGAGCTCTGACCAGTGGGCCATCTGTTACCAAGTTAAAAATGTTGACTCTGCAAGTCTGCTGCTCAGCCTCCTTGGCCTGTGTCTGTTACATACACCATTCTAGCACCTTGGCAGCAATACTCTGAGCGCAATTCCATTCACCATTTCATTCCTTCCAAGTCCTTCAGCAATGAATAGTACAGAATGAAATTCTTCCAGCTCATACACTTTTAACCTTTGCATAAACCTTAAGGATAAGCTAAAGGTTATCAAAATAGCTTCAATTGCACAGGTTAAACATCTCTCCTGCGTCTGGACGGTCAAGGCATTTGATAAAAGGAAAAAATGAGAGCAAAGAGTTTGTTTATTTTTCAAATTTTTAAGTGGAAACAATCTAAATGTTCAAAATAGGGAAGTAGCTAAGTCAATTATGGTACATCAACTTGAAGGAATGCTACCCAGCAATTAAAATGTCAGAAAATAACCTTATGAAAATACACTTATAATACAATGTTATAACATCAGGAAATAATCATAATACAGAATTATATTTCACTATATGGAACATGTGAGTGCAAGGATCAAAAAAGCATGCATATATAAAATCAGTTGCTTTGGGGTGGTAAGTTTAGTAGTGACTTCTTTTTCTCATTTGAACATGCTTTTAATGATGTTATTTACATAATGGTTATATAATGAATTTTTGATGTTTAAAGAATTCCTAAGCAATTTGGAAAAAATCAGATAATCTGATGAAGACTGGAGATTTGTTGTTGTCCAGTGACTGAGTAGATCCCAGTCTGAGAGGCCAGCACATGGGCTCTGAGTTCAAACTGTCTGATTTGAGACCATAACTTTGCCACTTTCTAGCTGTATTTTTACTTTTTATTTATTTATTTTTAAATTTTTATAGAGATGAGGTCTTACTATGTTGCCCAGGCTGGTCCCAAACTCCTGGGCTCAAGAAATCCACTTGTCTTGGCCTCCCAAAGTGCTGAGATTACAGGCGTCAGCCATCGCACCCTGGCCACTGCCACTTTCTAGCTATATAACCTTGAGAATATTCTTACCTCCTCTGTCAAATGGAGACAAGAATGACATCTGTTTCACAGGCTCTTGCAAGTCTAAGTGAGTTGGTAAATGCTTAGAAGAATTTCTGGCCCAGAGTGAGGACTTAGTAAATATTGGTTCTCATGATTATACTGTGGATAAGCCATGTGCCCTAAGCCACATCAACCTGGGCAAAAAAAAAAAAAACTAAAGTCAGAGGAATTTCTCTGGTTTGACAGTGACCCATGCTTGTGGGTCTTCCCTGACTTTTTCCAGAACGCTTCAGGGTATCTGGCAAGCAAGGGTGCCGGCTGCCTCAGTTGGCTGCAAGAAGGGAAGGCTCGCTTAAGGCCCACTGTCCAGGTGGAGAGGCTGGTTATCCCTTCCAAGGACATGGAGGTGCCTGCTGCTGAAGCGGCAGGGCTGGCAGTCAAGGTGGCGGCTACTGCAGATGCCACAGCTGGTGCTGTCTCCTGCTGGTGCCCACAGTCACACGCTGGCTGCCCTGTGCCAATCGACTCTCGACCCTGCCACCCTGTTGTGGGTAAAAAAGCACATCTTTGACTTTCCTTGTGCTTGCAGCCCGCCACACTCAGTCCACCAGGACAGAAGACACAAGTCTGAGTGACAGGCTCCGATTTACTCTTCATGCTCTTCCTTCTTCTTGTCGCTGAAACATCACACAGTTGGAGCCCGTGTAAAACTAACTCTCCCCTCTCTCCCAGGAGGGCCCACAGGCTTCCTGCCACCGCTTCCTCCTTGTCAGAGGGACAAGTCCAGACCTGTCCGAATGCTCATGCTCATGTGAAGGCAATTCTGCTCCAGCTGAGACCCCTGCAGCACAATGCCGGACTGACAGCCAACCTGGAGAAAATGTTTGGATGCAGGAATGAGGAACAGATGCCCAGATAGCTAAGGGCAGGGATGGCCAAAAAGGAGGGAGAGGGAGGCGCCTGAGCTGCTGCTGACTGGACACTAAAGGTGGGGGAAGGAGGAGGGAGGGCAGGCAGCTGCTGGAAAGGGGGAAGGGAGGTCCCTGGCAGATGCTAAAAAAACCCTGAAGCTCATTTGCCCAAATCAGCTTCAACCTCCCCAGAGTGTCTTCCTCACCACTCCATGTCCCCCTATTCTTCTCTGGCTTCTAATCTATACAGAAAAGGATTTTTGAGGTTGGGGGGTGGGGTTGTTCACCAGTGTGATTGACTCATACGCCTCACCCCAGAGGCAGACCTATTATCTCAAATAATGCTTGCTTTCTCCCTCACCTGAGCGGGATTAGAAATGGGGACAACGTTCATTAGTAAAGGGGGGAGTGTCTGAGGAAAACTGGATGTTGTGGAAAGGGAAGATGCAAAGTAAAAAGCCCTGGTGGAAATAAAGTGCTCAACCGGTCCTGTATCCATTAAAGTAATAACATCGTTGCATGGCAGGTTTATCACTCCCTTCCAGCTCCTCAGCGTGGGAGCTGTGGCTCTTTTTAAAAATGAGAACAGAGTCGCGTGCTGCTGCTCCAGTGTGGAAGGGCAGGTCTCCCTGTCCCTCCCCCAGCGCTCCTCTCTTTACCCTGCCCCCAAGTCGTGGACTTCTCCCAGCCTCTGGAACCAGCGCTAAAATTCATTTCACTCTTTAATTAGATTTCATGGAGTAAGGGATTGAGAGGGGTGCTGGGAAAGGCGTTCATATGCCCTCTTTCCGTGGAGAGGGGTAATGCTGTTGATAGGGGAGGTGGGACAATGGTTGCCATGGAGACATATTCCCAGACATACAGACACACACTCATTTTAATGTCTTTCTTTTTTTTCTTTTTCCAGCAGGGGAAGGATCCGGTGCCCTATTTTTAGTGTCAGATTTCAGCAAAACAATTCACTTTCATCACACACACACACACACACACACACACACACACACACACACACTCTGCTGGGTTTTAAAGTAGGTCACATTTCCTAACTGTATCAAGAGCTCAGATCTGTCTTGCTTGAGTAGTGCAAGCTTCCGCGGAAGATTTTACTGATTGAGACGAAGATCTCAGACTTGCCTTGGTACAGTTTTCTTTCATTTTGGTTTGACAGGCATTAGAATAGGCAGAATGAATAGCTGTAGGTAAATTTACATTTTAAAGACTAAGGCAAAATGTCTGGGCAGTGATAATAGGAAGGGGAGGTACAGAAATTAAAATGACAAACTCATCTGTTATTTCATTATCAGATTATCACTGATTATTTTTTTTAAAAATATTCCTTGAGTGCCCATACTGCAGAGCCTTTTAGGGAAGACATAAGTCCTGATTGGTAGCTGTTCAGTTTAAATTTTTGATTCTTGTTCCAGATAAACTGGGTATGTCAGAACATGTGAATCCAGAATTTGGGGTTTTACTTCTGCTCTATCCCAAGCTGCAATTTTTGAGTGTTTCTGTCTGCATTTCTTGCTTTGTGATCTTTGCCAAATCTCACAGTCCTTCTGTGACTAGAATACCCTATTGACTGGAATCAGTACTAGATGTTCTCCTAGCAGAACTAGCCCACGGCGAGACTGTAAATTGGTCAAGTGTCTTCAGCAGCCCCAGACTCACACACACCCCCAGATCTTCCCAGCCCTTCCTATTCCTATGGGGTTTCATTCCTCTTTCCAAGATGGCAGCAAATCTAGCCTAATTTAGGAAGGGCTATTATTTCTTCACTTGAAGCTCTCTATTATTAACTGGAGGCTTTTGGTTTTAATGGGGAGGTTATTTTTACACTGGTAGGGATTTCTGGCTTCCCTTTCACAACACAAAGTGGGGAACTCCCTGTGTATAGAACCAAAGGGAACTCCACAGTCCATAGCTTTAAAAACAATAGCCTAATAAAAAAAGAAAGGCTGGAATGAAGCCCTCAAGATATAACATTGACAATGTCTTCCAGGTAGTGGATGTTCAGTAGGTTTTTATTTCCTCCTTCATAACCTTTTGTATTTTTCAAAATTAGTTGAGCATACATTGCCTTCTTAATCTGAAAAGAAAGTAATAAAAATAAAAACAAGAACTGAAGCCTTATATTGAATGAATGTTTGTGTTAATTACTATACTAGGAGTCTTTTGTGTATAATCCTTATAACCACACTCAGAGATAGGTATTATGATCCCTATTTAACAGATGAGGAACCTAATAAGGAAAGAATTGCCCAGGTCATACATACAACTAGCAAGAATGAGGATCCAAACACAGATCTGTCCAAATTCATACCCACGTTCCGATATCATAACTGTGAGCTCCTCAAATAAGTATAGCTACCATTTATTCAACACTTAGTAAATGCCAAACTTATATATCTATTTGATATATATTATATCAAATCAAATCTACACATTGGGTAGGTTTGTTTTAATATCTGCATTCAAAGGTTCAGAAAGATTAAGTAATTTGCCCAAAGTCACATAGGCAGTAAGTAATAGGAATGGCAATATTTGAATCCAGGTTTGTGCAAAGCTCATAATAGCCCCACAGCGTTATGGGTTCAGATTGGGCAATTAAGAGAGCCTTAAATGGGCATTCTCTAATACAGATGCCCTATTGTCACATACACTAAATTCTATTGGCTGAAAATTCTGAGTTTTGACTAAGCAGCAGAATTTACTTTCTTATTGCAGATCTATACCTCTTAATAGGAAAATGTCTAAGATAAGACATTTAGTCAGACTATTCACTAACATGAGTCCTTTGCTTACGAAGACATAGACTCATGTAGTCTGGGTCCCTGAATCTCTGGAGCACCTATCCTGGACAGTTGCATGCGTGGTGGCTCATGCCTATAATCCCAGCACTTTAGGAGGCTGAGGCAGGTGGATCACCTGAGGTCAGGAGTTCAAGACTAGCCTGACCAACATGGCGAAACCCCATCTCTACTAAAAATACAAAAAATTAGCCAAGCGTGGTGGTGCATGCCTGTAATCCCAGCTTCTTGGCAGGCTGAGGCAGGAGAATCGCTTGAGCCTGGTAGGCGGAGGTTGCAGTGAGCCAAGATTGTGCCACTGCACTCCAGCCTGAGCGACAGAGCAAGACTCTGTCTCAGAAAAAAAAAAAAAAAAAAAAAAAGAAGGAGAAATGTATTTTTTGTATTAGAGTGATTAAATTCTTAGGTCAACTACTGGTAGCCATTTAACCTACCCTAACTAAACCATAAATTTGTACTGCAATAGCAGTGCTGGGAAGGGAAAAGCATGGTCCCTTTAAATGATATAGAATGGGGGAAGGGAAGTGCTGGGTAGAGGAGGGCGTGGTCCCTGGCTAGAGCTCTACCCACACAGACCTAGGTGAGACAGGCATTTTTGTTTTTCTTCCCAAATGTTGCATTTCCTAAGACCACCCTGGCCTGCCACACCCCCATCCTGTGCCTATAAAAACCCCGGAGACCCTAGCAGGCAGACACACAGGCAGCTGGACGGCGAGAGGAGCCTATCAGCGGAGGAATACACAGGTGGCTGGAGGTGGAGAGGGACACACCGACAGGCACCGGCACGCCAGCAGGCCACCAACCGGCAGAACGTCATGGAGTTGGGCTTGGGGCAGTTAGAGGAGAGCCTGGTCCGTCGTCAAGCAACTCGACTCCAGGGGAAAACCATTTCCCTTCTGGCTCACCCATCTGCTGAAAGCTACTTCCACTCAATAAAAAAACCTTGCACCCATTCTCCAAGCCCGCCAGTACACCAAGGCAAGAACCTCGGGATACAGAAAGCCTTCTGTCCTTGCAACAAGGTAGAGGGTCTAATTGAGCTGGTTAACACAAGCTGCCTATAGACGGCCAAACTAAAAGAGCACCCTGTAACACGCGCCCACTGGGGCTTCAGGAGCTGTAAACATCCACCCCTAGACACTGCAGTGGGGTCGGAGCCCCACAGCTTGCCTCTCTGTATGCTCCCCTAGAGGTTTAACAGCCGCTCACTGAAGAAGCGAGCCACATCCCCATCGCGCGCCCTGCAAGGGGGGCAAGGGAACTTTTCTCATTTCAGTACCAAGAGTGGGGCTGAGGGCTGGTGGTTATTGTTGCAAAATCCTCAATTCCATGAGCAGCAGAAGTGTAGAAAACTACAGCTAAATCTGTCCAATTGTTAAGATATTAGGGAAGTGGTACAGGCTATGCTCTCTGCCTTTGGCCTGCCATCTAAATTGACTAACCTAGGCTGGGCAACATAGCAAGACTGTTACAAAATTTTTTTTTAATTAGCCAGATGTAGTGGTGTGTGTCTGTAGTCCCAGCTACCCAGGAAGCTGAAGTGGGAGGATTGCTTGAGCCCAAGAGTTCAAGGTTATAGTAAACTATGACTGTACCACTGCATTCCAGCCTGGCTGACACAGTGAGAAACTGTCTCAGAAAATAAGAGGTCAGGAGTTCAAGACCAGCCTGGCCAACATAGTGAAACCCCATCTCTACTAAAAATACAACAATTAGCCAGGCATGGTGGCGCATGCCTGTAGTCCTAGCTACTTGGGAGGCTGAGGCAGGAGAATGGCTTGATCCTGGGAGGTGGAGGTTGCAGTGAGCTGAGATCGTGCCATTGCACTCCAGCCTGGGCGACAGAGACAGACCCCATCTCAAAAAAAAAAATTAATAATAAAAATAAAATGCTATTAAAAACTGTCTGCTAGACAATGGGTGACAACTTAGCTGTTACTATCCAATTAAAGCTGTTGCTTTCCTTCCAAAACTCAACTAGCTGCCATTAAACTGGGGCAAAGGGTGGGCAGAGGACAAAGGTCTGAAAGATCTGAGTCTTTCAGTTTAAAAACCATTTTTAGACAAGATATTTGGCTATTGTTACTCGCACATGGAACTGATGGAAGGCAAATGGAAAAGATGCCTACTTAGTTTTTGAGGGAATTGTACTGCCAAGCATCCAAGCCTAATCTGCCAAAGCCTGTGACTATTCAATGCCTAAAGCAACCTTTGTGCCTCCAACTATGTATTAACAAGAAACAGGCTATGAAAGCTGTGCAGCAGTCCTCCCACCCCAAAGGGCAAACTCATCACTTCCTGCCTCAGACATAACCATGGGGAATAATGGACACAGAAGCACCTCCCACAGGACGGACGGCTGACTCCTGATGTTTAAGAAGAGAGTCCCCTCTGTTCTTGCTCAGCAGGATTTGATAATTACTATAGATCGACTTCTGGGACTTTCACATTTTCTGACTGGTAGTTTTAATTGTGGTTTTCTTGTTCTTACTACATCACTGCATATGTAGTGGGTTATGGGAAAGATAACTAATCTTTTAGTTTATGGTTTGTGCTATGGTTTGAATATGGCTCCTCCAAAATTCATGTTGAAACTTAATCCCCAATGTCATCATAGTAAGGGGTCGGGGGGTAGTCTTCAGCAGGTGACGACATCACGAATGAAATTAGTACCCTTATAAGAGGGCCTGAAGGGAGTCTGGCCCTTTTTTGCCCTCCCACCATGTGACAATTCAGCAATAGGTGCCATCTTCGAGGCAGAGAGCCCTCACCAGACACTAAATTTGCTGGTGCCTTAATCTTCGACTTCCTAACCTCCAGAATTGTAAGAAATAAATTTATATTATTTATAAAGTACACAGTCTAAGGTATTTTGTTATTGCAACCTGAACAGACTAAAACAGCTTGCAAGATTGTGAACATCATATCTGGATTTGAAGACGGAGACTACACTTCACTCAGAGATCTTGACTTTGATCTGGAGGCAGTCCCTGGGTTTCTTCCCCTTGAGGAGGGATTGTGTCCTACATGGGGATGCCCATATATTTGGGGAGGCCAAAGGGATAAACTGTAGCAGAGAGACTGTTTAATTGTCTCACAACATTTGTTTTCTTCTATTTTAAAGTATTAGGACCTTAAATGTTTAGCTAGGCACCTGCTGCTAGAAGGACTGCTTCCCAGTCTTCTTGATTCTCTCCCGGTCATGGGATTAACGTTTGGTTAGTTAGATGTAAGTAGAAGTAGTGTGAGCAACTTCTGGAAAGTGTTCTTAAAGGCAGGGAGCTTTTCCTGCTCTCTACCTTTTTCTTCTTTCTCCTGGATGGAATGGGATATGCGGGATGGAGCTCAAGCATTCATTTTGGACGATAGGATGATTTAGGAAGTGGAGATTATGCAGTTAAGGCAGAAAAATAAAAATAAAAAAAATCTGATTCCCTGCACTGTGGAGCCCTTTACCATCTGTGGACTACCTATTCAGGCTTATATGAAAGAGAAATAAACTTTCATGTTGTTTAAGCCACTGGTTTTTTTTTTTGTTATTGTTTTTTAAGGGAGGTGAAGGTGTTGGGGAGTAGGGAGAGTTCAATATCCTGCTGCCAAACCTAATCCTAACTAATTCATGACAAGTTACTTTTTTGAGTTACTCCAGTTTCCCTGAAATGGGCAGATCTGGGGGCCAAAGACCAAAGTGGTTTAGAGAGACCACAAATTGAAGTAAACATGATGCCATCTTATTCTGTGACATGTCAGTTAGAGGAGAATTCCAAGCTTAGGGAATTTGCATTCTGTCATACCACAATTTATATCATCATCAGTATCTCTAGGAAAAAGGGTTACCTATCTCTCTTTGTACTGAGACACTGGAACTTTAGAAACCCAAATTCATTTATTCCTATGGGTTTTAGCCAAGGAACTTGCCTGCAAAGCTTCCTGATTAGACAACCGTCTGCCAGGTTGGTTTGGGAAAAAGTGCTCAACTGGCACAGAATATCTATGGCTCTGGAAAATGACTAAACTATTCCAAACGGTTTTAAAAGCAAATCCATTTTTAATATCTCAACAACTGTTTCAATTTTGTTCTACCTAGTTTGGTATAAATCTATTTTTAATTTCTAGCTCCTTACAGCCTCAATTGACTTCAGTTTTTATGTGGAAATTTTTATATCTTATTTCTTCCAAATTCTACTTTATTAATTTGATGCAGTTGTAGTCTGCCTCTGATTCCACGTAATTACTTAATCATTTCACTATAATATTGACTCAAAGATTTTGTTATTGGTTACCTAAATATTACTAGTTCCCTTCCATTTCCTCTCTTGCACAATGACAGCGCTTGTTTATAAACCTGCTTTGAAATCACCAAGGGTGAGGAGCAACATCAAGATAAAGTACTGTGTTGTTCTTTCCTTGGAAATATGCCTTGGCTTAAATTTGAACTTGGGGTATAAATTGTAGAAGATTCTGCCAAGAGCGCTCCAGTTCTGATATGTGGCGTTAGTTGAATTTCTGCTTCCAAGCAGGTTATTATGCAACTTGAGGGAGATGGGAAAGAAGGGTCAGGCAGGAAAGGATGGATTTTATTCCCGGGCTATAATACTGTCATCATATTCAGAAATCCACATCTCCTTTTCTCCTTCCTTTTCTGCTGTCTCCTTTCCTTCCTCATTTTCTTTTTTGTAAATTTTCCAGTTACTTCCCTCCCACCATCTCCCCTCCCTTTCTGCCTTCCTTCATCCCACAAGTATTCACTGAATACCCTGGTAGTTAATCTTTAAAGATGGTGCCTCGCCAGGCGCCATGGCTCACGCCTGTAATCCCAGCACTTTGGGAGGCTGAGGTGGGTGGATCATGAGGTCAGGGGTTTGAGACCAGACTGGCCAACGTAGTGAAACCCCATCTCTACTAAAAATACAAAAAATTAGCCGGATGTCGTGGCGAGTGCCTGTAATCCCAGCTACTCGGGAGGCTGAGGCAGGAGACTCGCTTGAACCTGGGAGGTGGAAGTTGCAGTGAACCGAGATCATGCCACTGCACTCCAGCCTGGTGATGGAAAGAGACTCTGTCTCAGAAAAAAAAAAAGAAAAAGAAAAAAGTTGGTGCCCCCAGTGAACTTGGAGGGGTCACATGTAGGCACTCCAGACAGTGGGCGGAGCTGAACTCCTGGCCAGTAGCCAGCATCCTGTGTCAGCCAAGTCTATCAGATGACTCCCGTCCCAGCTGCCATTTGACTCCAACCACATGAGAGATTCCCAAGGAAGAACCACCCAGTTGAGCCCAGTCAGCCTATGAGATTGTGAGATTCTAATAAACTGTTGTTTCAAGTCCCTGTATTTTAGGATGGCTTATGATGCAGCAATAGATCATTGAAATGAGCATTTACTATGAACCAGGCACTGTTCTAGAACCTGGAGAGTAAACAAAACAAAAATCTGTGCCCTCATATACCCATATGCTAATGAGAGATAGTCAATAAAAAAGATAAATATACAAAGGGTAATAAAAGCCAAGAAGAAAAAAAACAAAGAAAGGGAATATGAAGCATGGAGATGGTGGAGATGTTTTGGTTAGGTAGCCAGGAAAGGACTCACTCAGAAGATGACTTTTGAGTACAGAACTAAGAGAAGTGGGGAATCAGGCATATGGTTATCTGGGGGAAGAGTGTCTTGGGGGAGCAAATAGTAACTGCAAAGTTCCTGGTGTGGGCATCTGTCTGGTATATAGTCAAGGAACAGCACAGAGGCCAGCGTAGATAGGGCAGAATGAACAAGGGGGAGGTAGTTGGCAATGAGGTTGAAGAGGCAAGGGGTGCAGATCAGTAGGGTCCCGCAGGACAGAGGAAGGACTTTGGCCTTCATTCCCGATGAGAGCCTCTGGAAGACTTTGAGCTGAGGAGTGATGTCATTTGGCTCATGATTTAACAAGATCACTCTGGTTGTTCTGTTGAAACAAGAGAAAGCCAGGGCAGAAACAGGCCCATTAGCAGCGTTTGTGATCATGCAGGAGAGAGACGATGGTGACTGCGATCGGGGGGTGGCAGGGGTAAATGGTGAGGGAAAGGGTACATTCTAGGTTTATTTTGAAAGTATGATTGATAAATGTCTGGGCGCAGTGGCTCACACCTGTAATCCCAGCACTTTGGGAAGCCAAGGCAGGCAGATCACTTGAGCTCAGGAGTTTGAGATCAGCCTGGCCAACATAGCGAAACTCCGTCTCTATTAAAAATACAAAAATTAACCAGGCATGGTGGTGCATGCCAGTAGTCCCAGCTACACAGGAGGCTTGATAAGAGAATTGCTTGAACCCAGGAGGCAGAGGTTGCATTGAGCTGAGGTTGAGCCACTACACTCCAGATTGGTGAACAGAGAGAGACTCTGTCAAAAAAAAAAAAAAAAAAAAAAAAAAAAAGAGAGAGAAAGTGTAGTTGATAATAGATTAAATTTGGGTTGTGAGAGAAAGAAGTAAAAAATAAAGATCTGAGAAACTAGAAAATGAAGATCACATTAACTGAGTCGGAGAATGCAGCAGAAGGGGCAGTCTGAGGCAGAATAGCCGGGGTTTGTTCTTCATTGTCTAATCTGTGCCATTCCTTCTCTTTCCTTCTTTCTTTCCTTTCTTCTTCTCCTCCTCCCCCTCCTCCTCCTCCTCCTTCTCCTCCTCCTCTTCCTCCTTCCTCCTCCTCCTCTTCTCCTTCCTTTTCATCTCCTTCTTTTTCTTTTTCTTTTTTTTAAGATGGAGTCTCACTCTGTCGCCCAGGCTGAAGTGCAGTGGCGAGATTTCGGCTCACTGCAACCTCTGCCCCCCGGGTTCAAGTGATTCTCTTGCCTCAGCCTCCCAAGTATTTTTGTATTTTTAGAAGAGACGGGGTTTCACCATATTGGCCAGGCTGCTCTTGAACTCCTGACCTTGTGATCCACCTGCCTTGGCCTCCGAAAGTGCTGAAATTACAGGCATGAGCCACCGTGCCCAGCCTTTTCATCTTGTTCTGTTTCATTGAACTGGGATGCCTCTCTACCCAGTTTGAGATGCATATAATGTACCCAGTCATTTCCCAGAGCACATTATTCAAGACCCCCCCATGTTAGTAATTGCAGGAAGTCCAAAAGGGAAAGCTAGCCTTTCCCCCTCCAAATCCATAGCTACTATTTTAGGTCCAGGGAAACTTGAGTGCAAAGTGTCCAGTCCTGTTTGGTCTTACCTTAGTGTACTCACTGGGCAGAGAGATACTTGGCCAACATGGGTCATGTTCCAAACAAGGCAGTTGGGTAGTCTCCTCCTCTTGTAACAGCCACTGAGATTTGGGATAACATGCCTCGCCTTGGCAGCAGCATCATTCTAAGAACTGATCCATTCCCCAGAGTTATGCTAGTGACCTACTCACAACCCAATCTCTAGGACTGCTCAGGAGAAGGACACTTTGGTTCCCTCATTCCGTTGCTTTCTCAAGCAGAGTTAGGCATCTCATGGACACATAACAGCAGAGATCTGGGCTGAGGAGCAATATAGCCACAAGATGATTTAGAACCTTGGTAGAAGAAAAGGTAGGTTAGAAAATTCAAAGTGGTTGAGCCTTTCTGGTGGAAGGTAAGAATTTCAGGAAGTTGAAACAATTCAGAATCATCAAGTCCGGAAATAGAAGGAATACCTGAGCCCCATGCTCCACCTGCCTTATGGTGGGTCTTTGAGGAAAGGTGCTCTTCATATGCTCAGTTGTGAGGACCTTATACTGTAGTTGGTCTTAGCCAGTAAATACCGAATAGTGAGTAAGTCTTAAGGATTGCAATCAGGAGTGTGCTGCTAAATGTTTAACCACTGGCTTCCCTGGGGGATGCAGGGAGGAAACCCTGACTGATAGAGCTGGCCAATTTTCTTGGTGTAAATACACCCATCATGACTGATTTCAAGTTACTAATGTGACATCACTCAATGTGAAGTTGGAAATGCATAGTAGCTCATCATTTTGTATAAAATTTTTATCAGTTGCAATAGATATTGTCACACACGTCCATGTGAAGAGACCACAGAACAAGTTTTGTGTGAGCAACAAGGCTGTTTATTCCACCTGGGTGCAGGTGGGCTGACTCTGAAAAGAGAGTCAGCGAAGGGAGATAGGGGTGGGGCCATTTTACAGGATTTGGGTAGGTAATGGAAAATTACAGTCAAAGGGGGTTGTTTTCTGGCGGGCGGGGCAGGGGTCACAAGGTGCTCAGTGAGGGAGCTTCTGAGCCAGGAGAAGGAATTTCACAAGGTAATGCCATCAGTTAAGGCAGGAACAGGCCATCTGGATGTATAAGTGCAAGTCACAGGGGATATGGTAGCTTAGCTTGGGTTCAGAGGCCTGACATTCTTGTCTTCTTATATTAATAAGAAAAACAAAACAAAATAGTGGTGAAGCATCGGGGTGGTGAAAATTTTTGGAGGTGGTATGGATAGATAATGGGCGATGTTTCTCAGGGCTGCTTCGAGCAGGATTAGGGGCAGCATGGGAACCTACAGTGGGAGAGATTAAACTGAAGGAAGATTTTGTTGTAAGGGGTGATGTTGTGGGGTTGTTAGAAGGGGCATTTGTTGTATAGAATTATAGGTGATGGCCTGGATGCAGTTTTGTATGAATTGAGAAACTAAATGAAAGATGCAAGGTCCGAACAAGAGAAGGAGAAAAACAGGTATTAAAGGACTAAGAACTGCGAGGACCCAGGACATCCAATTAGAGGGTGCCCAAGGGGGTTCAGCGTAATTATTTGCTTGGTTTGGGAATTTTTGGACTCTATCCTTGGCAGAGTCCTCCTTTTTAAGTTGAAGGCTGAGCTTGGTGAGGTGTGTTTTTAAAAGACCATTAGTCTGTTCTACATTTCCTGAAGATTGAGGATGGTAAGGATTATGAAGATTCCACTGAATACCAAGAGCCTGAGAAACTGCTTGGGTGATTTGACTAATAAAGTCCGGTCTGTTATTGGACTGTATAGAGGTAGGAAGGCCAAACCCAGGAATTATGTCTGACAGAAGGGAAGAAATGACTGTGGTGGCCTTCTCAGACCCTGTGGGAAAGGCCTCTACCCATCCAGTGAAAGGGTCTACCCAGTCCAAGAGGTATTTTAGTTTCCTGGCTCGGGTCATGTGAGTAAAGTCAATTTGCCAGTCCTGGGCAGGGGCAAA
The DNA here is from genome assembly GCF_000001405.40 of Homo sapiens. Taxonomy (NCBI): domain Eukaryota; kingdom Metazoa; phylum Chordata; class Mammalia; order Primates; family Hominidae; genus Homo; species Homo sapiens. Next base: position 116,867,232 of record NC_000001.11, on the reverse strand, counting down.
TCCCCAAGCTTGACGTGTAGGGAAGGGAGGGGGCCTGAAGAATCCCTGAGGAGTAGTAGAATAGCAGATGGAACACTGAGAAGTGATTTCCTTGAGGATAGATTTCCATGATGGAAAGGAAATGAGAGGTTCTAAGAGGTGGGCTAGCAGCTTGTAACCTACAAGGAAGAGGTTATGAAAGGACGACAGAATAGAATGGGCCTGTGAGGCTGGAAGGAGATATTTTCCTTGGTCCAAGAACCATTTGCCTTGTGTGGGAAGAGATTGATAGGTGGAAGTTTCAGTGGGGGAGTAGGTGGAAATGACCGATGAGAAGGAGAAATACTGCCATGAGGGATATAAGTTGGAATGCTAGCTGCTTTTTTAGCTACTTTATCAGCATAAGCACTGCCCTGAGAGATGGGATCTGATGCCTTTTAATGGCTCTTGCAATGAATGACTAGTTTTTTTTGGAAGTAAAGCGACCTTGAGAAGAGTTTTTATTAAAGAGGCATTAATGATGGAGGACCCTTGTGTGGTGAGGAAACCTCTTTTTGCCCATATAACAGCATGGTGGTGCAGGATATGGAAGGCATATTTAGAGTCAGTATAAATACTGACACATAGTTCCTTTGCAAGAGTGAGGGCTCAAGTTAAGGCAATGAGTTCGGCTTGCTGAGAGGTAGTGGAGGGTGGCAGAGTGCTAGCCTCAATGATAGATGTGGAAGATACTGTAGCATAGCCTGCCTTTGCTGGTGTGTGGCAATTAGGCCTGGTGGAACTGCCATCAATAAACCAAGTGTGATCAGGGTGAGGAACAGGAAAGAAGGAAATATGGGGAAATGGAGTGAATGCCAGGTGTATCAGAGAGATACAGTCATGGGGGTCAGGTGTGGTATCAGGAATAATGTGGGAGGCTGGATTGAAGTCCGGGCCAGGAACAATGGTAACTGTGGGAGACTCAACAAAGAGTGAGTACAGCTGAAGGAGCCAGGGAGCAGAAAGTATATGTGTCAGGTGTGAGGAAGAAAATAGATTTGGGAAGTTATGAGAACTATAGAGAGTGAGTTGAGCATAGTTCGTGATTTTTGAGGGCCTCTAAAAGTATTAGGGTGGCAGTGTCCACTGCACAGAGACATGACGGCCAGCCTAAAACAGTAAGGTCAAGTTGTTTGGACAAAAAGACTACAGGGTGCAGTCCTGGTCCTTGTGTAAGAATTCCAACTGCACAGCCCTGCACTTCGGCTGTGTGTAATGAAAAGGGTTGGGATGAGTCAGGGAGAGCTAGTGTGGGAGCAGTCTCTAAAGCTGTCTTCAAGGAATGGAAACAGGAGTGGGGAAAGGATTTAGGATCTATGAGGTCAGCTAGGTTTTCTTTTGTGAGTTTATATAATGGTTTTGTTAGGATGGCAAAACCAGGTATCCAAAGGTGAAAGTATCCAACCCTGCCCAGGAAGGAAAGGAGTTGTTTTGTAGAAGAGGTCGAGGTTTGAGAGATCAGTTGGACACGATTGACAGGGAGAGCACGTGTGTTTTTATGAAGAATTATGCCAAGGTAGGTAATGGATGGAGAAGAAATTTGAGCTTTGGAGGGGGATACCCAATATCCTTTGGAGAATAAATGTTGAAGGAGCAGGAGGGTGTCTTGTTGAGAAGATTCAAAGGAGGGGCTACAAAGTAGAAGGTTACCAATATATTGAATAAGGTGAGAAGCAGAGGGGTGGAAAGAAAGTAAATCATGAGAAAGAACTTGGCTGAAGCAATGGGGGCTGTCCTTGAAGCCTTGTGGCAGTACAGCCCAGGTAAGCTGCTGGGACTGATGGGTGTCAGGGTCAGTCCAAGTGAAAGCGAAGAGAGGCTGGGATGAAGGATGCAAAGAAATAGTAAAGAAAGCATGTTTGAGATCAAGAACTGAATAATGGGTTATTATGAAGGGGTTGTGGAGGGAGGTATTGAGGATAGGAGAGTATATGGGTTTGGCACCACGGGGTGGATAGGCAAGACAATTTGGTTGATAAGATGCAGATCCTGAACTAACCTGTAAGGCTTGTCTGGTTTTTGGACAGGTAAAATGGGGGAATTGTAAGGAGAGTTTTATAGGCTTTAAAAGGCCATGCTGTAACAGGCGAGTGATAACGGGCTTTAATCCTTTTAAAGCGTGCTGTGGGATGGGATATTGGTGTTGAGCGGGGTGAGGGTGATTAGCTTTTAATAGGATAGTAATGGGATTGTGATCGCTTGCCAGGGAGGGAATAGAGGTGTCCTATACTTGTGGGTTAAAGTAGGGGGATACAAGAGGAAGATGCGAAGGAGGCTGGGGAAAAGGGTGGCAATGGGGTGTGGCTGTAGCCTAGGAATAGTCAGGGAAGCAGATAACTTAGTTAAAATGCCTCGACCTAATAAGGGAACTGGGCAAGTGGATATGACTAAAAAGGAGTGCATAAAAGAACATTGCCCAAGTTGGCATCAGAGTTGGGGAATTTTAAGAGGTTTAGAAGCCTGGCCATCAATACCCACAACAGTTATGGAGGCAAGGGAAACAGGCCCTTGAAAAGAAGGTAATGTGGAGTGGGTAACCTCCATATTGATTAAGAAGGGGATGGACTTACTCTCCACTGTAAGAGTTACTCAAAGCGTCTGTGATGGTCCTTTAGGCTTTTGAGGTGATTGGGCTGTGTCAGTCTTCAGCCACTAAGCTGAGAAGATCCGGGAAGGAATCAGTCAGAGAGCCTTGGGCCAGAGTTCCAGGGGCTCTGGGAGTGGCTGCTGGGCTGGACAGTCCGATTTCCTGTGGGGTCCTACACAGATGGGACATGGCTTGGGAGGAACCCTGGGCTTCTGGCACTTGAAGCAAGATCCTGGGGTAGGCGGTCCTGGAGGAATGCCTGGCCACTGCGGTTCGGGTGTTTGGAAGTTAATTGTGTGCTGGAGATGTGGCTGGGGTTTGTCTCACAGTGGAGGCAAGGAATTGCAACTTAGAAATACGTTGCTGCTTGGCTGACTCTACTCTATTAATGTACACCTTGAAGGCAAGGTTAATTAAGTCCTGTTGTGGGGTTTGAGGGCCGGAATCTAATTTTTGGAGCTTTTTTTAGTGTTGGGAGTGGGTTGGGTAATAAAATGCATGTTGCGAATAAGACGGCCTTCCTCTGCGGTCTAGGACAGTAAAGCATCTAAGGGTTGTTGCCAAATGGGACATGAACTGGGCTGGGTTTTTATATTTGATGAAAAAGAGCCTAAATGCTAACTGATTTGGGATAGGTCAGATAAAGAAAAAGGAGCATTAACCTTGACTATGCCTTTAGCTCCAGCCACCTCTTTAAGAGGAAATTGTTGGGCATGTGGGGGAGGGCTAGTCACGGAATGAAACTCTAAGCCAGACTGGGTGTGAGGAGCAGAGGTGATAGAAAGATTATAGGGTGGGGGAGCAGAGGCTGAGGAAGAATTGGGACCTGGCTCGGCCTGGCAAGGAGCAGCCAGGGGAGAAGGGGAGAGGTCAGATGAGTCTGTAGAAAAGAAGGATTCAAAGGACTCAGAGCTTGGGGTGGAGACTGAAGGAACAGACAGGAGAGAAAGAAGAAAGATTTGGGACGAGTCCCATTGGGAGCAGAGACTAGGGAGGAAACAATGTGTAAAAGAATGCCTGGACGTCAGGCACCTCAGACCATTTGACCATTTTTCAACAAAAATTATCTAGATCTTGTAGGATAGACAAATCAAAAGTGCCATTCTCTGGCCACTTGGAACTACTGTCGAGTTTGTATTGGGGCCAAGCAGTATTGCAGGAGAAAATAAGGCGTTTAAGTTTTAGGTCAGGTGTGAGTTGAAGAGGTTTTAAGTTCTTGAGAACACAGGCTAAGGGAGAAGAAGTGGGAATGGAGGGAGGAAGTTTGCCCACAGTGAAGGAGGTAAGTTTAAAGAGAAAGGTAGAGACACAGAGAAGGGGGTGGGTGAGCAGCCCTGGGCTGCAATATGGGTGAGCAGCCAAGGCAGGCATCCCCACCAAGGGAATGTGGGTGAATGACCAAGGCAGGCAACCCCGTGGTGAGCAGACACCAATGGAGTGTGGGTGAATAATCAGGCAGGCATCCCCACAGTGATTAAACACCAAGGGAAGACTGTCTTCCCGAGTCCATGACTGGTGCCAGAGTTTTGGGTCCACGGATAAACTGTGTTTCCTTTGTCTCTACTAGGGAGGAAAGAGAACTGGAATTGGAAGGACAGGGAGATTGAAGGGTAGCGAGAGAGGGAGATTGAAGGGTAGCAGGGGAAGCTGGAAAAGAGAGTGAAAAAACCGCCTACCTGATCTGAAATTGGTGAGATGTTCCTTGGGCTGGTTGGTCTGAGGACCTGAGGTCATAGGTGGATCTCTTCATGGAGTGAGGGTGACAGGGGACTGGTCTCCCGAAGGAGTCCCTCTGACCCGGGTCTTTGACACCAAATGTCATGCATGTTCATGTGAAGAGACCACCAAACAGGCTTTGTGTGAGCAACAAGGCTGTTTCTTTCACTTGGGTGCAGGCGGGCTGAGTCCGAAAAGAGAGTCAGCAAAGGGTGGTGGGATTATCATTAGTTCTTATAGGTTTTGGGATAGGCGGTGAAGTTAGGAGCAATGTTTTGTGGGCAGGGGGTGGATCTCACAAAATACATTCTCAAGGGTGGGGAGAATTACAAAGAACCTTCTTAAGGGTGGGGGAGAATTACAAAGAACCTTCTTAAGGGTGGGGGAGATTACAAAGTACACTGATCAGTTAGGGTGGGGCAGAAACAAATCACAATGGTGGAATGTCATCAGTTAAGGCTATTTTCACTTCTTTTGTGGATCTTCAGTTGCTTCAGGCCATCTAGATGTATACGTGCAGGTCACAGGGGATATGATGGCTTAGCTTGGGCTCAGAGGCCTGACAGATATAAATAACCTCAAAAGCATAGATAATAGGAAAATATGGTAAAATAATTACTGGTAAGTTTTGAATAATTATTAAATTTGTTTTAAATATAATGATTTTATTGAATGTTGATATAATTTAATATTTATTATATTATTTACATGTATCAGAATATCCCATGTATGATGTGCTTATTTCACATTGCATGCCCGTATCAAAACATCTCATGTATCCCCATAAATATATACCTAACGTGGACCCACAAAACATTAAAAATTAAAAAATTTTAGGCCAGGCACGGTGGCTCACGCCTGTAATCCCAGCACTTTGGGAGGCTGAGGCGGGCGGATCACGGGGTCAGGAGATCGAGACCATCCTGGCTAACACGGTGAAACCCTGTCTCTACTAAAAAAGTACAAAAAATTAGCCAGGCGTGGTGGCGGGCACCCGTAGTCCCAGCTACTCTAGAGGCTGAGGCAGGAGAATGGCATGAACCTGGGAGGCAGAGCTTGCAGTGAGTCGAGATGGGGCCACTGCACTCCAGCCTGGGCAATAGTGCAAGACTCCGTCTCAAAAAAAAAAAAAAAATTAAAAAAAAATATCTCCCAAATATGTACAACTATGATATAACAAAAAGTTTAAAAACATATATTTATTAATGGCTGTATTTAACAACCAGCTTGCAACATTCCTGAAAATTTAACAATCAGTTCTTGCAAGTCAGTTTAAGCCAGCTCCAGAATACCACTAGTTTCCTGCTCTTAGTAGCCAACTCTTTTGTTCACATACACAGACACTTCCCTGGTCTCAGGCTGGCCCAACATGGTGGGTTCAGGACAGACGCCAACCTTTGCCACCCAGTGGACCCATCTGACCTAAAGAGAATTCAGTCTGGTTCAGTTGCTTCCAGCCTCAAGGGAACTGTATTGCCTAGACCTTGGGCCATGCCACAATACCATATACTGCTACTTCAGAACCTCAGGGATCAGGGACTTGAACTTTAATCCCTTCCCTCCTAGGGGGCACTGGGCTTCCAGGCAAACAGGTCCTCCACTTACATGCAGATCTGCGTGTGAAAGAAGGGAAGGTTTCGACCCTGAACAAGTGAGAGAGAAAGGGAAAAAAATTCTTTTACAACTTCTCCCAGGATAAAGGGCCTATTTGTCCTACATTTATATAACTAAAAGAGACTGTGAGTGATTTGTCACTGCACAAAGAATATCTGCTTCAGGACGATTTACCCTTCTGCAGGACAATGGGTCCAACACTACTACATAATGTAAGCAACTATAGGAAGCCACTTAAGAGGTTCTTCACAAAGAAAGGAAGACACACATCAAAGTGATTTTCTGTCCTTGACTGTAGAGAGCAACAACTCCCACTATGGAAAAGAAAAACAAAAGTTTATTCTATGGTGTGTGCCTCTGGAGAAGCCTCTGGTCCCCCTCCCTCAGTCTTCTAGTCTTTCCTCCCCACCCTAACTGTCGTTCTTCCTTCCCTAAACATTTATATAGCACCTTCCTTAAAATATGCTACCAAAGTGCTAGGAATGCCAAGATGAGTAAGAGGAGAATACACTCTTGCTCCCCTTCAATTCTTTCTTTACAAATCTGCCACAGTGTTCTTTTAAAAATGCAAACCAATACATAACCCAACTCTCCCGCTTCTCCCTTCCCTTCCTTTCTATTCCCTTTTGTTCTCTTTCTGTCTTAAATATATGTATTGGCTTCTGTCAGGCCTCTGAGCCTAACCTAAGCCATCATATCCCCTGTGACCTGCACCTATACATCCAGATGGCCTGAAGTAACTGAAGAATCACAAAAGAAGTGATATTTAAATGGCCTGTTCCTGCCTTAACTGATGACATTCCACCACAAAAGAAGTGAAAATGGCTGGTCCTTGCCTTAACTGATGACATTATCTTGTGAAATTCCTTCTCCTCATCCTGGCTCAAAAAGCTCCCCCACTGAGCACCTTGTGACCACCCCCCCAACTCCTGCCCACCAGAGAACAAGCCCCTTTTGACTGTAATTTTCCTTTACCTACCCAAATCTTATAAAACGACCCCACCTCTATCTCCCTTTGCTGACTCTTTTCAGACTCATCCCTCCTGCACCCAGGTGAAATAAACAGCCTTGTTGCTCACTGCTCACACAAAGCCTATTTGGTGGTCTCTTCACATGGACACGAGTGAAAGCTTCTTGCTTTTTTTCCTTCATCCAAAAAAAAAAAAAAGCAATAATCTGAATGAGGTAGGTAGCCAGTTCAGAGGACGCAGGCTCAGGAGGGGTGAGCTGGGTGGGGCATGAATTGGGAGATTGGCTACATACAGGTAAATTGAGATAATGGGAGCCAGGCTTCCACTGTTGGAGAAGGGAAACACTGACATGGAAAGGGGGGAACCAAAATGATCTTCATGGTATTACCACTGTGTAAATTGTGCTTTAGATAGGCAGGCAGGTAGGCTGGTAGGTAGATAGATATGTTACCAGAAAGGGGTCCCGATCCAGACCCCAAGAGAAGTTCTTGGATCTCACCCAAGAAAGAATTCAGGAAGGCAAGCCCATAAAGTGAAAGCAAGTTCATTAAAGAAGTAAAGGAGGCCAGGTGCGGTGGCTTACGCCTGTAATCTCAGCACTTTGGGAGGCTGAGGTGGGCAGATCACGAGGTCAGGAGATCGAGACCATCCTGGCTAACACGGTGAAACCCTGTCTCTATTAAAAATACAAAAACAAAATTAGCCGGGCGCAGTGGCGGGTGCCTGTAGTCCCAGCTACTTGGGAGGCTGAGGCAGGAGAATGGCGTGAACCCGGGAGGCGGCGCTTGCAGTGAGCCGAGATCGCACCACTGCACTCCAGCCTGGGTGACAGAGTGAAACTCCTTCTCAAAAAAAAAAAAGAAGTAAAGGAATAAAGAATAGCCACTCCATAGGCAGAGCAGCTCCCCTGAGGGCTGCTGGTTGCCCATTTTTATGGTTATTTCTTGATGACATGCTAAACAAGGGGTGGATTATTCATATCTCCCCTTTTTAGACCATATAGGGTAACTTCCTGAGGTTGCCATGGCATTTGTAAACTGTCATGGCGCTGGTGGGAGTGCAGCAGTGAGGACGACCAGAGGTCTCTCTCATCGCCATCTTGGTTTTGGTGGGTTTTGGCTGGTTTCTTTACTGAAATTTTACCAGCAAGGTCTTTATGACCTGTACCTTGTGCCAACCTTCTGTCTCATCCTGTGACTTAGAATGCCTTAACCTCCTGGGAATGCAGCCCAACAGGTCTCAGCCTCATTTCACTCAGGCCCTATTCAAGATGGAGTTGCTGTTTCAAATGCCTCTGACAGATAGATAGAGATAACTATAAATAGATAAAGAAATAATGAAAAGAGATATAAGTTTCTCTCTGTGTGTGTGCGCACGTGTGTGTGTAGGACTGACATCCCAGTAACAATAGTCCTGAGTACTGAGTAAACATAGTGCTCAGATCTTAGTTCCCAGAAGCATTTTCCACTACAAGGAATGATGGTTTCCTTGGACAAATAGCTGATTCCAGGGCTGTGGCAGGGAAAGAACAACATAAGCCTGGGATATCTTATTGTAAGGCACTTCTCCAAGAATGATGAGGGTGTGTCAAAAAGATACCAAAACCAGCTTGAAAGGGCCTCTACTGACCAAATCTGGGACAATATGAGAATCAAAATAAATAATTATAATCCATTGAATAAAATAGAAGTTTCTGTGTTCACACAGATACAGATATACAAATGAACAAATGAAAATGAAGAAAATTATTTCTTACCGTAAAAAGCCAACTATTAAATACAGAATAATCTTTTTAGCCTAGGAGGTTGAGGCTGCAGTGAGCTGTGATTGTGCCACCGCACTCCAGTCTGGGTGACAGAACAAGATCCTGTGTCAAATAATAATAAACAGAATGAATGAATAAATAAATAAATAAATGGTGAGAAAATCACTATTTGACGGTCATCAGTGTAAGAATTAATTCAGGCAAGAAACATCAATGGATGATGGTGGATGTGGGTCAGTATGGGTGAGGGCAGGGCCCAGGCGCGCCCACTCCATCTCTTGGCATTTCCAGATCAGTGTGGCGGGAATGCTCAGGCAGATGTCCCTCAGAATTGTACCTGCATCGATATGGCTGGCCTGGGTGCACAACTCTGTCCATCTCTCACACTCTGTCTCCTTCTTTACTGCTTGTGATGTTTCTAATTCATGAGCTTGAACACAATTTTATAAACGGTTTCCAAGCTGTTCCTGGAATTAAGCATGATACTATAATATCTTCTAACACAATAATGATATAACAGCTAACATTGGCTAGGCCCAGTGGATCATACCCATAATCCCAGCACTCTGGGAGGCTGAAGAGGGAGAATTACTTGAGGCCAGCAGCTACAGACCAGCCTGGACAACATAGTGAGATCCCATCTCTACAATAAAATAAAAAATTAGCCAGGCATGGTGGCACATGCCTGTAGTCCCCAGGTACTTGGGAGGCTGAGGTGGGAGGATTGTTTGAGCCCAGGGGTTCAAGACCAGCCTGGGCAACATTAAGGAGACCTCGTCTCTATTAAAAATAACTGAATAAAATCAAGTAAAAAATAACAGCTGTCTGAGATTGGTGGTTCACATATATTGGGAGGCTGAGGCAGAAAGATTGCTCGAGGCTAGGAGTTCAAGACTAGCCTGGCAGCATAGTGAGACTATGTTGCTACAAAATAAAATAAAATAAAAGCAAATATTTGAGTGCTTTCCACGTGCCACATGGTTTTACATGTATTCTCTAATTTAATCCTTACAATATTTCTTCCAGGAAAGATACTCTTATCCACACTCTACCTATGAGAACACTTAGGCCCAAAGACATTAAATAATAACTTAGTAAGAAAAAGGAGCTGGCTTACAAATGCTGATAATATGACTTAAGGACCTGCTAGCGTCACCAGGAGACTGTGCTGTCCCTGGAATATAAATCTGCTCCTAACAGGACTAGCCTGTGTGCATCGGGAGAATGTCTCAGATAAGACCCAAAAGGACAATGTCTAAGTAACTATAATTGGCATTAATCAGCTAATGGAACACATGCCCAGGCAGCTATGGGCACTCGTCTTCTGGTGACATTTATGTCTTCAAATGTAGTTTTCTTTTTCTCCTGCACATACTTAGATTGCCTATGATGATGTAAACTGGGAGGAATGATTGGAAGCAGTGGAGACAGTGGGAGAAGTCAGACCAGGTTCAGATAATAAGGAGTGCATTAGTCTGTACAGGGTTTTAAAATAATAATAAAACTGGCCAGGTGTGGTGGCTCATGCCTGTAATCCCAGCACTTTGGGAGGCCAAGGTGGGCAGATCCCCTGAGGTCAGGAGTTTAAGACCAGCCTGCCCAACATGGTGAAACCCTGTCTCTACAAAAAAAAAAAAAAAAAAAAAAATTATCCGGGCATGATGGGGGGTGCCTGTAATCCCAGCTACTGAGGAGGCCGAGGCGGGAGAATTGCTTGAACCTGGGAGGTGGAGGTTGCAGTGAGCCGCGATCGCGCCATTGTACTTCAGCGTGGGCGACAGAGCGAGACTCTGTCTCAAAATAAATAAATAAAATAATAATAATAATAAAACCAACTAAATGCCATCTGGTTTGTATAATCACATGAGCCGTGGCAATTCCGAACAATGTAAGTGACAAAATGCTCCTCCCAGCCAAGGGCTAACTCTTCTACCCTTGGAATGCTGCTTGTTGAAAGAGAACCATCTTAGTAGATTCTGAGCTTTTTTCAGCTTTGAATTCCCAGAATGTGCTATGTGTCGGATATAATAGATGCTCAAGAAACATTAAGTTGAAAATAACAAAATTGAGCTCAGATATATCCTCAGCCCTTTAAAATCTGGGCTGGAGATCCCCAAAAGTCTTTGTCATCTCTCACAAAGTCTGGTGTCATCTCTCACAAGAAAACTTGCAGCCACACAGGCCCCCTCTGTTAAAACACAGGAAAACTGAGGTAGCTGCCCAAGAAATGTAGGCAAAGTTGGAGCTTTGCTGGAATGCTACAGACTTGATTTTTCACTCTGCACTTGCAGTGGTTACCAGGCATGCCACCAAGTGATTTTATTTACACATTTTATTTCCTTTTTTGGAAAACCATTACAAATCCCCTCAGAATTCAGAATATTAAAGCATCTATTAGTTCTAGTTGGGCTTGGGAAGCTGAGTGCTTAGAAAATACTCCTCCTACTGCACAGGCACCCTCCACACTCTCAAATTACCCAAACCAGCTCATAATTGGGACCAGCTGGCAGGAGGAGAGAGGGAGGCCCCTGCGCTGAGCTTGGAATCATGTTACAAATTTCATCCCTAGAAAGAGGCTAGCCTTCACCCATTAAGGGTTAAGATGTGGGAAGTCAAAGGAATAGTGCTTAGGAGCTGGAATTTAAATTGGCTAAATAGAACCTGAAAATGAAGTGTTCACATTAGCAATGGTAGCTCCTTGCTTTGTCTAGAACGAAGTATGTATGGAATAACTGAGTGGACTGCACAGGGCTACAGCATCAGCCGGATTTTGCTTTATTGTTTGTCTTTCCAAAACTGGCATAACTGACCTGCATCCCACTCAATATCTTTCCTTTCCCCAAAATTATTCCACTTAGTTTGGGAGCACAGACTTCCCTATCTGTGCACCAGGAAAGGGCAGGTTTAAAATGAGTAGTGTCTGTGACACCTGGTGCTCTCTCATTGCCAGTATTTCTCGAGATCCACTTTCTCCTGCATTCATGCTAGATCTTCTAGGCACTGAAGCTTGTGCCCCCGCCCTGCTTTGGTCTGAGCCAGAACAACAGCTCTGCTCTTGGAGAGCAACTCATGAGGCCAGCCCTCCCAGCCTTGGCCGTGGGCTTCCCAGCCTGGATAGGGAATCTGGAGGAAATGAAACAAGCCCTCAGAGCCAGTGAACCATTATTCAGGAGAGCCTGGGCGCAGTGGTAGCTGTTAGTGGCTGGTGACCGTGGTGCTGGTGGCACTGTCCCAGACATGTGGTTTTCAGTGGTGTGACCTTGGCTGTCTTTTCTGGTGCCAACACCCTTGGTTTTTGCCTGTTTACTGAGCCAGATTCTCCAGGCTTCCTGTGGATTCTGTGAACTACTTGATTGCTCTGCAATAAATATTTTCTGCTTAACAGAGTCGATTTCTGGTGTCAGAAACCAAGAACTCTGACTGGTACAGCATCTGTCCCTGCAAGATTCAGGAAACCAAGTCCAGTGCTCAAGAGGGAGAAGAGATTAAAGAAAACAGAAGTAGAATATAGAAAGGAAATAAAAAAGCAGAAAAAGGGTGCAGCATTGTGGAAGCGTGGGGAGAAGGAAGGAGTGTGGGGGAAGAAAGTAGAGGAATTGGCAGGTGAGACAGAGCAGCCTGGAAGGGGTCATTCACCTTGTTAATGCTTGTAATAGGAGCCCTGAAGAAAACTGCCAAAGTGGCCTCCCTGAGGTATTTCTGCATTTCTGTTTCTGGTGGACAACGTGGTTTAAATGATTTTATGTGGCTGTTTCAGGAACAACAGATCCTTGATTTGGGCTTGCTTTTGGAAATAAATGAAGGTGTTAGCTTTTACTTTTTGCATTTATCAAATGTGCTGCGTGCTTGGAAGCGCACAGATATACGGACATGCATATGCATAGTGTGATATGATAAATCTATGCACGAGAAATGTGGGTCTTGGGCTAGTTATGTAGGTGGGGGAATTTTATGTAACAAGCCTATTCAATATCTCAAAGGGAAAATGTTACTTACTGTGCCACATTAGCATATCATTTGTTTTATTGGGAAGGCAGAATGAAAAATATTTGACAATTAATAGAAATCATAGGAAAAATTATGATTAAGTGCCATCTGCTGGCTTCTGTAAGTTTTATTTTTACGCAGCCTCAAGCCTGTCCTCATAATTATTGAATGTCTCTCTTTTGCTGAGGATAAAATTGCTTGTTCCATATTTGGCCTATTAATGAGTGCTGCATTTTATGTGTGTGTGTGTGTGTGTGTGTGTATGTACATGTGTGTGAATGGAACTACTTTGGGAGAGCAAATTCACCTTACAGAAATCCATTTTCTTCTAAATTCTGATTTGAGAGAGTAGACTGGGGTTTATTTTAAAATTCTGTTTTCGTAGCAGATTGCAAAAGCTCTGTGTGCTTAGCATGTGTATGGAAGGGGGAAGGTAGGGGGATGGTGCTTTGAAAGTGACTTCTCTCTTTGGTTTCAATCCTCTCCTCTGAGAGTGTATACGGTTTGCATCTCAAAAGCTCTGTCTAGCTTATGGCAGGTGAGGAATTTCCACGTCTCATTTTGATGACATTGCAACAAGGGAGCCTCTGATCACTCAGAAGTTGGTGGGGGTGGGGAAAAAGAAAAAACAGGTTCCATGTGGACATGTTTGACCCCTTCCTCTGCGTCTAGCTCTGGAGCTCAGACTGGAACTGCTCAGCAGGAAACAGGTCTTGCTGCTAGTAAATTACCATGACTGTGTTTACATGGTGAGTCAACAGGCATAGGTCAGCTCTCCTTCTCTCCAAGCAGTCCCTTGAGCTGATGATTTATCTGGGTAAATCACATTCCAAATCAATTTTATTTTTGGCTGTGATTAATGAAATTGGTTTTCAATAGTTCCCAGATAATGATAATAGTTACCATTTAGTAAGTGCCTGTGACATACTAGAAACTATGATAGACTATTTCAAAATTTTTTCTTAGCACTGATTTATTTATGTGTGAAATCTCTCTTTGAATTTCAACATCTAGTGTTAAGTAAGTGTCCCTTTTATTATTTTAATGTTACATTTGATACATAAAAAGAATATAGGTCACATATATGTGTTATAAAGGGTAATAATAAAATGAGTAAAACGAACTGTGGTAGCTTTGTTTCATCACCAGTTCTGTTGCATTGTGGTAGATTCTTTGCGTGCGTTTGTTCCATTTTTCACACTCTTATGAGATAGATGTTATTCTTCCTATTTTAAAAATTAGTAAATTGAGGCTCAGAAAGATAAAGCAACTTCTCAATCTCACCCAGCCAGTAGGCAGGAGAAGTACTGTGGCCGACCTTATCAGAACTCAGCAATATTTGTTTCCCCTTCCTTCGCTGAGGGCAAGGTAGAATTTTCTACCTTACAGTGATGTGGGCCATGTGGCTAGCTAGCTCTGCCCATGCTTGTGTGAATGTGTCACCCCTAGGCTGAGGCAGCATAACATTCCTGAGAGACTCTGCAGCCTCCCTCCTCCCTGCTGGGACAGACTCCATTAGTGCTCTGCTCACATCCCCTTGGTGCTCACAGTTTGTGTTCACGTCAATGGCTTCTTACTGCAGTCACCTGCCACTCTTTGTTCAAGATAGAAAGGTAGGTGGGAACTGTCAGTGGGTGAGTCTGTCCAGGAGTGGCTGTGAGTAATGACACACAGGATTTGGTGGATAAATACCACCCCATCTTTGCCCATTGAGAGGGACAACTCCGGGACATGTTCTATTCTGATTTGCAGGGGCCCCCAGCAGTTACCTGTTCATTAAAGTGCGCTCCATTGATTTCCTTTCCTTTCCCATCTCACTTCCATACTCCCAGATAAATGGCTTGTGCTCATATCCCAGGTTCAGAGTCGGCCTCTGGAAGAACCAAAGCTGAGATACTTTGGCATGTGTCCCCAGGGTGCAGCAACTATATGATGAGGATCCTCCACATGTGAGCTGTCTCCTCTTCAGTAAAAGAAGCACGGCCCCAGGGGCTGGGAATGCTGTCTGTGGCAGCCTTCAGTTGTCAATCTCTGCAGGGCTGCCTCAGCCGCCGAGAGTCACCCCACCCAAGGTTTGCCCCTGATTAACACAGAGGTATCAGGGTCGAGCCATCTTGGCCCAGTTCAGGACATCTCTAAAGGGTTATTCAAGCTCCAGAGACCCCGTGGGTTACGTGAAGGCTGGTGCTGGGCCTGCACTGCAGCTCAACTCCTCCCTCTGCACAGTCCTGTTTCCTTCTGCTCTTTTTCGCAGGTGTCAATCGTAAGGGTACCCCTTAACAAACATCCTGCATGTTAATCTCCTTTCAGAGTCTGCTTTTCAGGGACCCTGACTGCGTCAATATGGGCCCCTGAAGCCTGATTAGAGCAGGAGCCACATTCCCGTGGTGGACATTCCCACATTCACCCTTTGTTGTGTCAAATCAACGACACCTCAGAGTTAGTCTGTTATAACAGAATATCACAGTGCATTTAAATGTGCCTGACTCCAAAGCCTGCATTCTTTCCAGGCATTGGTCCATTCCCTAAAAATGATCATTCTTCCCGTGGTTTTGGCTAGCAACTTAACATCCACTTGCATCTTGACTGCATTTTGGCTACTTACATGTTATTTCCTTTGCCCTTAATTGCCCAGGAGGTGTCTGAGGCCCACTTTGCAGGTTTAAAACTGAGGTTCAGAAGGCTAACTGCACCCTCTGAGCCTGCAGTGCACCACCTGCAAGGCTGCGGCACTTTAATCCCTTTTGTCTGTAACCGCAATTCTGGAGGAGGTGGGGCATGGCAAGCACTTATTAACGCATGGAACACATTAATTCCACACACATTTTAAAGCACCTCCTGGGTGCCACACACTGAGGATATGATGACGGATAAGGAACAGCCCCTGTTTTCAGCCTTGTCGCAGAGACAGGCAGGTAAACAAATAATTGCAATGCAATAATGTAAGAAAAAGTAAAGAGGCTCAGAGAAGGAGCCCGGGAAACTGATGGGAAGAATTCAGAGCCAGCATTCTGGGGAAAGTGCCATCTGAACCAGATCTTAAAGAATTAAAGGTGCTCCTATTCACAATAGCAAAGACTTGGAACCAACCCAAATGTCCACCAATGATAGACTGGATTAAGAAAATGTGGCACATATATACCATGGAATACTATGCAGCCATAAAAAAGGATGAGTTCATGTCCTTTGTAGGGACATGGATGAAGCTAGAAACCATCATTCTGAGCAAACTATCACAAGGACAGTAAACCAAACACCGCATGTTCTCACTCATAGGTGGGAACTGAACAATGAGAACACTTGGACACAGGGTGGGGAACACCACACACCGGGGCCTGTAGTGGGGTGGGGGGAGGGGGGAGGGATACCATTAGGAGATACACCTAATGTAAATGACGAGTTAATGGGTGCAGCACTCCAACATGGCACATGCATACATATGTAACACACCTGCACATCGTGCACATGTACCCTAGAACTTAAAGTACAGTAATAATGAAAGAATAATAATTAAAGATGCTCATTAGTGCAGTAAGTGGAGGAAAGGAATTCCAAGCAGAGGGAACTAAGGCACAGAGACAAGAAAAGTGAGGCATTTGGTTGACTAGAGCCTAGTGTGAGGCAGGAATCAGAGAGGCGGGTCAGGGCCTCGGAAGCCACTGGGCTCTAGACTTTATTGTGCAGGCCATAGGGACTTATATTATCAGACTGACATTTTAGAAGGAAGGTAAGAACCCTAACACTTATTGAGGAATGAGCATAAGCTGCATATTTTACATAGATTATTTCACTTAGTCCTTATAAAGAGCATCTCTTCATTTACAGATGATTATGCTTATTGGAGAAACAACCTCAGGATGTTGAGTGGGGTATTAACTGGAATGTACAGTTTAGGAAGTGTGTGGTATTTGGCCAGGAAATTACAAGGCTCTGAGCAAAGTGGGGAACAGAGGGAAGGACAGAGGGCTCAGATATCTGAGTGGTTTCTATGAGACTTGGCAATTGATTGGCTGAGGCTGGGAGACTCTATTATCCATGAAGGGATCGCTGGAAGGGCAGGTTCAGGGAGAGCATGCTGCATTTTAGGGTCCTGCTGATGTCTAGGCAGATATTTCTGTTGAGGAATTGAGCACATGTGATTTTGAGACCATCGAGAGACTTAGAGTGGCAATACAGACTTGGAATTGTCTCCCTGTGGGTAGTAAATGAGGACATGGCAATGTAATAGAAAGAGCTTAGACATTGGCGAGAAATGACCCTGGCATCAAATCCCAGCTCTATCATTTACTGGTGGTACAACCTTAGACAAGTTACTCTGTGATCTCACTTTCCTCATTTGAAAAATTGGGAAACATAATGCTGACCTTGGAGAGTTATAATGAGCATTTAGAATGCCTAGTAGAATGTCTAGAACATAACAAGTGGTCAATAAATGGTAACTAATTTTGGGCAAGAAGGTGGCATGACATGGGAAGAGCATGTACAGTGGAAAGGAGGCAGGATGAGGATGAGGGTGGAGCCCTGGAGAATAGCAACATCCCTGAGGAAGGTAAACAAAAAAGAGCCAACAAAAGGATGAGAAAGAGGCTCCAGAGAACCAGAAGATGGAAGTGTCCTGGAAGCAAAGGGAAATGTTTCTTTCAAGAACAAGAGGGTTTTTGCTGGTAGATGAACCGGCATTTCACAGAGAAGGAAATACAAATGGCAAACACATAGATGAAAAGAGGCTTTTGATCCCACTCATCACTAAAGAAGTGCAGATTAAAATAACCATAAGGTACTAATTTTCACCATTCATTTGGTAAAGATAACCAAGATGACGCTAAAGTGGAGTAATATCCACTGTTGACCCAAGTGTGGAGAAACCCTGTGTATGCTTGCATACCCTATGGGAATATACATTCATATCATTTTTAAAGGACATTTTGTCAAAATATGTCCCAATTGTGAATGTATATGTTCTTGATCCAGGCATTGCACTTCTAAGAATTTACCCAGCAACAAACTCACAAGTGTACAAAGATGTATCTTCTAAGATATTAATTATAACATTGTTTAACACAGAAAAAAAAATGGGGAGCAACCTAATGTCCATCTGAAAGGATCTGATGAAATAAAAATGTATTGCATCCTTACAGCTTGAGAGGTTGGGAGATAATTGGGATTGGGTTGGAGAAACAGAGACCTTGGAACAGGAATGATAGGAATGACAGGCTGTGTGTGTCAGAATAGATGGTGTACAGAGGCCAGAGAGGAGCATGACCAATTTGTGGTGTGGGCTGGTAAGAATGTGGAGAGACATGTTGAACACAGTTTTGTTTTGTTTGAGACAGAGATGTTGATGCTGTACACTGTGATCATTCTCTCTAACCCCATCAATCTTTAATAATACTTTAAAAATCAGGATATACTTAATGTGATTGGATTTCTTGTAAATACTGGTCAAGGACTGAGATTTGTGTGTCAAGCATGGCCTGAGGCCAAAAGAAAGTCAGTCAAGCAGATGAGACGGACGGCCAACATCTGGGTCACATATGCTTGTGTATGTGTAAAAATTTTATTGAAGCATATGCAAAGATCTGTTGCCAGAGTTACCTCTAGGGGGCAAGACTGGGGGTGCTTTATGGAGGTGGACTTTTCAGTTTATCCCCTTCCAAATCACTAGCATTTTTACTTTAAAAACAATCTTTTTTAAAAAAGTATAGCACTCAGACAATATAACTGGAGAATGACGGTGACTCCTAACCAATTGAGTGTAGTGTCTCAACTTTGCCCCAGATTTGATTCTTGCATGACTGTGAAGACTAGAATGAGTCTTTTTTTTTTGGAGATAGAGTTTCACTCTTTTTTGAGATGGAGTTGCCCAGGCTGGAGTGCAATGGCACAATCTTGGCTCACCGCAATCTCTGCCTCCCAGGTTCAAGTGATTCTCCTGCCTCAGCCTCCCGAGTAGCTGGGATTACAGGCAAGTGCCACCACGCCTGGCTAATTTTGTACTTTTAGTAGAGACGGGGTTTCTCCATGTTGGTCAGGCTGGGCTCAAACTCCTGACCTTAGGTGATCTGCCCACCTTGGCCTCCCAAAGTGCTGGCATTACAGGGCATGAGCCACTGCGCCCAGCCTAGAATGATTCTTGAAGAGAGATACAGGTGAAATGATTGTGCTTGCAAAAGGTTTGAAAATGACACATTTCTGAAATTACGTAATTCACACATTACAGAAAAAGTACTATTTGTTGCAATTTATGCATATTCACATTGTAAATAGTAGGTGCTCAACAGATGTGTATTGGCTTCAATAATATTTAAAATATTTAAACCTTTGCCCAAAGTTCAGATATACATGTATACTCTCATTCGACTAAATTTTAAGAGAACCATACTCTGGTAATTGTTAATTGCCACTGTGCAGGGCAACCCCTTACTCTGTGTTTGACATAAGCACTGCACCATACTTTTCTAATCCACATCCTGTGCTATCCAGAACCAAAACAAGAAATGAGAGTCTGATGAATCACCCACACAACACTTAGCAGTCACATACATGCTATTTTCAAGACACGTGAGACCCACGTTTACAGTAATTTAGAAATTTTACCATTTAATTTTGCTCTCGAGGAGCGAGGTGCTTTTTTTTTTTTTCTACAAGCTCCAGAAGTTCCTGTAGAAATCCTAGGACTGAAATTTTCCATTTTGAGAGCAGAGTAATTGTTTGTAATGCTAGGCTCCCCCAGGCAGGCTGGAAGCAGAACTGGAAATGAGCATGGCTTGTCTGGCGGGGAGAAGTCCTG
This sequence comes from Homo sapiens, assembly GCF_000001405.40. Taxonomy (NCBI): domain Eukaryota; kingdom Metazoa; phylum Chordata; class Mammalia; order Primates; family Hominidae; genus Homo; species Homo sapiens. The sequence continues at coordinate 116,847,784 of NC_000001.11, read as the reverse complement.
CACACATGTTCCAAATGATGCAAACTTTCCTGGCCGCACCAGCGAATCTCTGTGAGCTGGGGTTCCAGCACCGTGTCCACCACATCGGGAAAGCGCTGCTTCCTCTGGCTCTTCCGGGCTCACCCCCAACCCTCATTTCTCTCTCCCTAGTGCCAATTTAATCGGTTTATAAGCCTGGTCAGTTGTTGTCAATCTATTCTGCCCAGGCTACCCATGGCCATGGAGGTTTGGAGGAGATACCAGATTTTATTTTATAACTTTATTTCCCAACATTTTATTATCACAATTTTGGAATATTCAGAAAAATTGAAAAAAATTGCAGTTAACACCCATATACTCAGCATCAAGATTCTAACGTTTTCTCACATGTGCAAGCACTAGTATTTGGGCCTCCTCTTTCCAGTACTGCTGGGGCTCAGCAGCCACACCTTTGTCCTGAGCTATCCACAGAACTCTCCCTCCTTTCTTAGCCACACTGATCTCCAGGCTCCCAGTGCCTACGGCTATTATAGACTTCAGTGCTCAACATTTAGCACCTGCATTTAGATCAGTGCCAGGCCCTTAGCAAGGCACAACCTCCTTTTACATATATGATCTTATTTAATTTTTAGCCCACAAGATAGATATCATTATTATTCCTAACTTATGGTGAAGAAAACGGAGACACAGACAGGTAAAGAGTCTTCCGAAGTTACTTATGGCTGAAATTATTACTATGAAAGTAGTAATCACAAATGAGATATTTTAATTTATATATTTAAAACAAAATATATAGGTATATTTAGGTGCTCCTGTTAGTATTTCAATGTGTACTGGCAGAATTACATTGTCATCATTGAATGTGTGTTTCAGACCAAGATGTTTTGAAGTTGTTGTTTGGGTGCTGCCAGTTTTCATTTTTTTTTGAGACAGCATCTTGTTCTGTCGCCCAGGCTAGAGTGCAGTGGTGCGATCTCGGCTCACTGCAACCTCTGCCTCCCGGGTTCAAGCAATTCTCCTGTCTCAGCCTCCCAAGTAGCTGGGATTACAGGTGCGCACCACCATGCCCAGATCATTTTTGTATTTTTAGTAGAGACAGGGTTTTGCCGTGTTGGTCAGGCTGGTTTCGAACTCTTGACCTCAAGTGATCCACCCGCCTCAGCCTCCCAAAATGCTGAGATTACAGGCGTGAGCTACCACACCCAGCAGATGCTGCCATTTTGACGTGGCTTTTTAGATATCTGTACCCAGTCCCCAAAGAGGTTTTTGTTTTTGTAGCTGTAATTGTTTAATGTGGGTCATTTTAACTGTACCACTCCATTTTTTCCCCCTAGAGAATCAAAAGTGTCTCATTTGTTTTCCAGTGTTGCTTAGTGAAAATTCATGGCTATCAATGACTTAGTGTAAATAATCTAGTAGAGGAGTTCTGGACAACAGCAGAAAATACCACGCAGTTTCATGCTGATTTCACCAGTCTAAAAACAAGTCATAAAACTTTCCGTTACAAACAGCTGTTGTGCAGCCTCTGCTCCTACAAGATAGTAACAACGCAGCACATCAGGGATGATGGGAAGCATTCAAGTACGCCACAGGAAAAACATCTTACGTGTTATCAGTTAATACGAACACAAGGGAGGGATTTTTGAGATGTGGGGGGAATGCAAAGGTTACCAAGAACAAACTCTGCATTGCCCAAAACCAGCCCCCAGAGCTCTCCACCTTCTTCCCTTTTTGTAGCATTCTTTGCTAGAAAGCTAATCTCTATGTGCCAATCTAAATTTATAAGGCACTTCCCAATACACAAAGTCCTTTTCTAGAAATTTTCAGACCTGAGTTTCCCAACAACTAGGAAGAAAGCAGGCTAAGTATTATTGTTCTCATTTTTCCTTAGGCTCAGAAGTTAAGAGACTTAACCAGGATCACCCAGCTTTTCTTCTCCCTCTCCAGGTGGAGCATAGGATTTAGAAATCAAAGACTTAGATCTGAATCTCATTTTTTGCCTCCTACTAGCTCAGAACTGCTGAGCCATTGACTTAACCACTCTGAAATTGTTCCCTGTGAGATAACAATAATAAAATCTACCTTGTAGGCCTGAGGTTAGGATTATATTAAATTATACATGAAAAGTGCTCTGTAAACCTCAATATACTATATGAATTTGGTTATTATTAATGTATAGATAATATGCCACCTATCGTAGCATATATTTTGTTCCATTAAACTTTTTATGATGACATTTCCAAGCATCACTAAAGTATGTTTGAATATAAGGAATAGATTTACAATGAACCCCCATGTACTCACCACTCAGCATCACCATTTATCAACATAAGGCCAGTTTTACTTTATAACCTCTATTACCCTACCCTCTGCTACATTATTTTTAAAGCAATCCCAGGCTTTATATAACTTATTCAAAAATGCTTAAATATATACCTCTAAGAGATAAGAATTCCTTAAAAAAATCCATAATACATTATGACACCTAAAAGAAACTAACAATAATTTCCTAATACCATGCAATATCCAGTCAGCATGAAAATTCACATTATCTCATAAATGGTTATTTTATCTGAATCAAAATCCAAATGAGGGACACATATTGCTTTTGCTGATATTTCTCAAGTCTTTAAAAATCTCTACGAAAGCCCCCCACACTGCCACAGTTATTATTTTTTTTACTTGCTATTGTTTTGGTTGAAAATACTGAGTAATTTGTCCTAAAAAAAAATCTCCCATATTTTGGATTTGGCTATTGCATTCTCATAGTGTCTTTAGCATGTTCTTCTATCCCAAGTGTTTGTATAAAGCAGTCATTATATCTAGAGGCTTGATCAGTTTGGCATTACACTTTTGGCAGGAGGATTTTGTGGCTGTTGCTATTGCCTATTGCATCACAGGAGGAGGCTCATCATGTCTGGTGGTCTCTTGCTTTGTTTTGGGATCTTAAGATTGATCAGTGGGTTTACCAAGTGGGTAAATCAAGGTTTTGTGGAGACTGAAGTTTGTGCAATTTGAGGGGCTTTCTTTAAGAGAAATAAATCAAAATTACAAATATAAAATTAGGTTCTAGGTCCATGCAAGTGAGGAGAGCTGAAGCTTACACCATATTAGCTTGTGGTAAACTTGCCTCTGGTTCAGGGAGTCCATCCATCAGTCTGATCCATCCATTATTACGTTCCCCATCAGCCTCTTATCTACTGACTTTAGCATCGATTGATGGTCAGTGCCTACATCTATTTTTTTAATTATAAAATATTCTAATTCTTTCATTCACTGCACATTTATTAGCTGGTATTCTTGTATACAGAAGAAGTTTTCCTCATCAACGATTTGCTTACTGTATGAATCAGAGTCCAGATAGGAGACAGAAACCACACGATGCTTAGAATAGGTAAATTTTATTTTATTTATTTTTTTGAGATGGAGTCTCACTCTGTCGCCCAGGGTGGAATGCAATGGCGTGATCTTGGCTCACTGCAACCTCTTCTTCCTGGGATCAAGAGATTCTCCTGCCTCAGCCTTCCTAGTAGCTGAGATTACAGGTGGCTGCAACCACACCCAGCTAATTTTTGTATTTTTAGTAGAGACAGAGTTTCACCATGTTGGTCAGGCTGGTCTCGAATTCCTGACCTCATTGATCCACCCGCCTCGGCCTCCCAAAGTGTTGGGATTACAGGTGTGAGCCACTGTGCCTGGCCTTAAAATAGGTAAATTTTAACATAAATTATTAAATAGAGATTAAGGAACTCTAAAGAATACAGGAATAGCAGAAACAGAGAACAGCCACTACTTCTAGAGTGCAGTCAGAGCACTCAAGGAAATAACAAACTGGAAGACAGTCCCTCATTCCCAATGATGGAGAGAGTGTGACTGTTCCATGGAGAGTGGAGATTGAATAGTGGAGATGTTCACTGAAGTACCTTAGGCTAGAGCTGGCAAGCAGGGAAATGCCCTGTGTTAGTCAGGGTTCTCCAGAGGGACTAATAGGATAGATGTATATATGAAAGGGAGTTTATTAAGGAGAATTGAGTCATGTGATCACAAAGTAAAGTCCCATCTGCAAGTTGAGGAGCAAGGAAGCCATTGGTGGATCAGTCCAAGTCCCAAAACCTCAAAAATAAGGAAGCTGACGGTGTAGTCTTCAGTCTGTGGCCAAAGGCCTGAGAGCCCCTGGCAAATCACTGGTGTAAGTCCAAGAGTCCAAAAGCTGAAGAACTTGGAGTCTGATGTTCAAAGGCAGAAAGCATTCAGCACAAGAGAAAGAAGAAGGCCAGAAGACTCGGCAAGCCTGCTTGTCTATCTTCTCCTGCCTGCTTTATTCTAGCTGCGCTGGCAGCTGATTAGATTGTGCCCGCCAGATTAAGGGTGGGTCTGCCTTCCCCAGCCCACTGACTCAAATGTTAATCTCCTTTGGCAACACCCTCACAGACACACCCAGAAACAATACTTTGCATCCTTTAATCCGATCAAGTTCACACTAAGTGTTAACCATCACATGCCCACTGTGGGGCTGACAAAGCTTGATAGAAAGTTCTCCACAAGGCCAGGCATGGTGGCTCATTCCTGTAATCCCAGCACTCTGGGAGGCCAAGATGTGCAGATCACCTAAGGTCAGGAGTTCAAGATCAGCCTGGCCAATATAGTGAAATCTGGTCTCTACTAAAAAATACGAAAATTAGCTGGGCATGGTGGCAGGTATCTGTAGTTCTAGCTGCTTGGGAGGCCGAGACAGGGAGAGTTGCTTCAACCCTGGAGGTGGAGGTTGCAGTGAGCAGAGATCATTCCACTGCACTCCAGCCTGGGCAACAGAGTGAGACTCCGTCTCAAAAAAAAAAAGTTATCCGCAAGTGTACTGCTAAAACTAACTGGGGCATCCGCCACACTGTTGGTCGTTGTGCACTGCAGGAGCAAGGAGGAAAGCACACTGAGCCAGAAAAACTCCTTCCTCCTGCAATTTCCCTCCAGCACCCTCCACTGGCAAAAATGTTTAACATTATGTCAGCTGTTGATAGGAGAAATGTTTACAGGGTACAGCACCAGAATTGCAAAGCAGAGCAAAGAGTGGGCTTTGAGCTGAGAGATAGCACATTGATACCTGGCATACTGTGAAGCATAGTTCATACAGGAAAGGCAGGACAAATGCTTGGTCTGTCCCTTTATTCTCCAGTTTTCTAAATAAGTTAGGGTCCTGGAAACTTCCAAAGAGTACTCTAATAATTTCTGTCGTAATTGTTTTAAAAGCATTATGAACTCATGAATTTAAACATGTTTGAAGTGTTCAATCTGCTACAGTTATTATTCTTTTTGATTGGTAGCATATATTTTTAACTGATCCAGTGTATAAAGAATGTATGCTATCTTTCCTTTAGTGTTTAGAGGAGGAAAGATGAAAAACTATCTCAAAGCTTCTGGACACAAAAATCCTTATAGCATAGATACTTATAACATAAAGGGATCAGAACTGGGAAGGTTTTTTTTCTGTTAGTTCAAGAATTACCCTGAAACATGTGAGAAATCTTGCCCTTGAATGCACACTAGCTATAAAGTAAGGAAAGGAAGCTTTCTTAATCACAGATAGTTAGCTTGTCAGAGCTTTCCAACTGACATGTCATAAGCCATATACATATTAATGCTTTCAGTGTGTGCTATGAGGTGACAAAGGTTGGGAAACACTGGATTAAATGACTGAGGCAAATTTTATGTTCTAAAGGTGGCTGAAACAACATTTTTCACCTCGTGTGCTCTTTCACAATGTGACCTTGTACTACTCCATCAAGAGGTAGAGCCTACTTCCCTTCCCCTTGAATCTAGTCTGTCTAATTATTCATTTGTAACCAATACAATGAAGTAGAAGTGTGCTACGTGATTTCTTCAGCCATGTCAGAAAAAGTCTTGCAGCTACTGCCTGGTTCTTATGAGATGCTTGTCCTGAGGGAAGCTAGATGCTAGGTATGAAGTCCAACTACCCTGAGTTAGCTATATGGGAAAGGCCACATGTGAGTTCCCCAGTTGACAGCTTAATCAGCCACCATCACCTGCCAATCATGTGAATGAGACATGCTGGACATCCAGTCCTGTTGAATCTTCAGATGACTTCAGCTCCAGGTAACATCTGACTGTAACCACAAGAGAGATGCCAAGTGAGAAGTCCTAGGCACAGCCTTTTCAAAATTTTTGACCCACAAAATCATGAGTGAAATAATATGGTAGTTTTGGTAAGGTGTAGTAGCTCATGCCTGTAATCTCAACACTTTGGGAGGCAGAGGCGGGTGGATCACCTGAAGTCAGGAGTTTCATACCAGCCTGGCCAACATGGTGAAACCCCATCTCTGCTAAAAAAATTAGCCAGGCATGGGGGCAGGTGCCTGTAATCTCAGCTACCCAGGAGGCTGAGGCAGGAGAATTGCTTGAACCTAGGAGGTGGAGGTGACAGTGAGCCGAGATCCTGCTACTGCACTACAGCCTGGGCAGCAGAGCCAGACTCTGTCTCAAAAAAAAACTAAAAAAAGGCTGGACACGGTGGCTCACGCCTGTAATCCCAGCCCTTTGGGAGGCCGAGGCAGGTGGATCACGAAGTCAGGAGTTCAAGACCAGCCTGGCCAAGATGGTGAAACCCTGTCTCTACTAAAAATACAAAAATTAGCCAGGCGTGGTGGTGGGCACCTGTAATCCTAGCTACTCGGGAGGCTGAAGCAGGGAATTGCTTGAACCTGGGAGGCAGAGGTTGCAGTGAGCCAAGATCGGGCCACTGCACTCCAGCCTGGGCGACAGAGCGAGACTCTGTCTCAAAAACAAACAAACAAACAAACAAACAAAACAACAACAAAAAAACCCCACAAAATAATATAGTAGTTTTAAGGTGTTGTTTTGGACTAATTTATATCTCAGAAATAGTAGCTGGAATAAAGACCTCAAAGGCCTTCCCTACGTAGGTGACAGATCAAGATTGCATGTATACTTATGCATTATATGTACTATACAGAAGAGATTTTATAAATAAGGACCTAGTTCTTCTAGGCTCTGATCTGAGGGTCCCTCGAGTCCGCGGGCAAGCCCTGGTCATTTTTTGATAGGCGTCAAGTATCCTGAGTCACCTGTCTCGTCGTCTGGTATGACCTACTACACTTTCCAGGGCACTTATTGGAGTTTGAAGTTCTTCACTCATTCTGGCTAATAGCAGAAGAGGACCAGTGGCTTTCCTTCTAACATATCCCGTTATTTTAGCTGTTAGAAGAATATGTGGTTCTTGCAGAGGCAACGGGATGTGGAAGAAGGAGCATGAAATCTAGAGTCAAAAGACCTCGGCTCAAGATCCAATTAATTCACTTATAGCTGCATGACCTTAAAGAGTTTAACAGCCCTAGCCTCAGTTTCCCCATTTGAAAATAAGAAAAATAATTTGTGTCTCATAGAGATGTTGTGAGGATTAAATGAGACAATATTTATGAAACCCTAGGAGTTTCAACCAGTTTGTTTGCATTTCTTTTATTATTTTTATGCCTTTTCATTTTATTTTTAGAAAATTAAAAAATATAGAAAGTACAAAAAAGAAAAGAAGTATCATTCATATTCTTACAACTGGGAATTACCACCATTAATATGGTGATTAATTTATTTCCAGTTCTTTTTTTTTTTTTTTTTTTGAGATGGAGTCTTGCACCGTTGCCTGGGCTGGAGTGCAATGGTGTAATCTCGGCTCACTGCAACCTCCACCTCTCCACCTCCTGAGTTCACACAATTCTCCTCCCTCAGCCTCCTGAGTAGCTGGGATGACAGTGCCCACCACCACACCTAGCTAATTTTTTGTATATTTGGTAGAGATGGGGTTTCACCATCTTGGTCAGACTGGTCTCAAATTCCTGATCTCATGATCCACCTGCTTTGGCCTCCCAAAGTGCTGGGATTACAGGCATGAGCCACCGTGCCCAGGCTTCCAGTCCTTTTTTATTTAACCAGTCTGCTGTTTGTTTTTGAAAAACTGAGAAATATAATGTATATATTATAAATTATTCAATCATGCAAAAGAGTGCTCTCAAATATGGAGTGCTTTATGAAGGTATAAGGCATCTGGTGCAGGGGCCATAATAATCTCTGTATTATTCCAATATTTTAATTACTTAATTTATTAATTAATTTATTTTTGAGATGGGTGTCTTACTATGTTGCCCAGCCTGGTCTCAAATTCTTGGGCTCAAGTGATCCTCTAACCTCAGCCTCCTGAGTGGCTGGAATTACAGATGTGCACTACCACACCTGGCTCCAATGTTTTACCATTTTACTCCCTGTGATGTCCAAGTCAGCATGCTGGCACACTTTTAAATACTAGGATTTTTATTGGTACATATGAAGAAATGCAGTGATATCTACTGCCATCCTCCTGGTCTTTTGACTGTCCTTAACCCTAGGGTCACAATTTGAGTACAATTATTCCCTGCCTTGGCTGGACACATATCCTCAGGGGGCAATGTTCTCCATTTTGAGTCAAATTGAGAAATGTCTTTGCCACCACCTCGCCCTCTACCACTTTTTGCAGCAAATTATATTCCATTCTACTCCACATCACACTGTCTGTTCAATATATCATTGACTGTATCAGAACCAAATTTTACACACTGATCTGTGTTTAGTGGCATACCCGTGAAGGGGGTGTGGTACCCCAGTGTCTGTGGCATGCTGCTAGAAATTCTTTCTTGGAGTTCCCTTCTGTGCCAGCTACACAGTAATGATGTCCCCGTGTCTGACTCTGTAAGTCCTCTCTGTATTAGTCCTTTTTCACGCTGCTGATAAAGACATACCCAAGACTGGGCAATTTACAAAAGAAAGAGGTTTAATGGACTTATAGTTCTATGTGGCTGGGGAGGCTTCACAATCATGGTGGAAGGCAAGGAGGAGCAAATCACATCTTATGTGGATGGCGGCAAAGACAGAGCTTGTGCAGAGAAACTCCCCCTTATAAAACCATCAGATCTCATGAGACTTATTCACTATCTCGAGAATAGCATGGGAAAGACCTGCCCCCATGATTCAATTACCTCTTACCAAGTCCCTCCCACAACATGTGGGAATTCAAGATGAGATTTGGGTGGGGACCCAGCCAAACCATATCATTCTGCCCTGGCCCCTCCCAAATCTCATGTCCTCACATTTCAAAACCAGTCTTGCCTTCCCAACAGTCCCCTAAAGTCTTAACTCATTTCAGCATTAACTCAAAAGTCCACAGTCCAGAGTCTCATCTGAGACAAGGCAAGTCCTTTCCGCCTATGAGCCTATAAAATCAAAAGCACGTTAGTTACTTCTTAGATACAATTGGAGGTACAGGCATTGAATGAATACAGCCATTCCAAATGCGAGAAATTGGCCAAAACAAAGGGTCTACAGGCCCCATGCAAGTCAAAAATCCAGCAGGGCAGTCAAATCTTAAAGCTCCAAAATGATCTCCTTTGACTCCGTGTCTCACATCCAGGTCACACTGATCCAGGTCCACACTGATGTGGACTCCCACAGCCTTAGGCAGCTTTGTCCCTGTGGCCTTGCAGGGTATAGCCCCCCTCCTGGCCTCTTTCATGGGCTGGCTTTGAGTGTCTGTGGCTTTTCCAGGCACATGGTACAAGCTGTTGGTGGATCTACCATTCTGGGGTCTGGAGGATGGTTGCCCTCTTCTCACAGCTCCACTAGGCAGTACCCAAATAGGGACTCTGTGTGGGGGCTCCGACTCCACATTTCCCTTCTGTCCTGCCCTAGCAGAGGTTCTCCATGAGGGCCCTGCCCCCGTAGCAAACTTCTACCTGGGCATCCAGGTATTTCCATACATCCTCTAAAATCTAGGTGGAGGTTCCCAAACCTCAATTCTTGATTTCTGTGCACCTGCAGGCTCAACACCACATGGGAGATGTCAAGGCTTGGGGCTTCCACCCTCTGAAGCAACAACCTGAACTGTACCTTGGCCCCTTTTGGTCACAGCTGGAGCAGCTGGGACACAGGGCACCAAGTCTCTAGACCACACACAGCAGGAGGACCCTGGGCCAAGCCCATGAAATCATTTTTTTATCCTAAACCTCCAGGCCTGTGATGAGAGGGGCTGCTGCAAAGGTCTCTGACATGGCCTGGAGACCTTTTCCCCATTGTCTTGGGGATTAACATTTGGCTCCTCCTTACTTATGCAAATATCTGCAACCAGCTTGAATTTCTTCTCAGAAAATGGGATTTTCTTCTCTATCACATTGTCAACCTGTACATTTTTCAAACTTTTATGCTCTGTTTCCCTTTTAAAACTGAATGCCTTTAACAGCACCCAAGTCACCTCTTGAATGCTTTGCTGCTTAGGAATTTCTTCTGCCAAGTACCCTAAGTCATCTCTCTCAAATTTCCACAAATCTCTAAGGCAGGGGCAAAATGCTGCCAGTCTCTTTGCTAAAGCATAATGAGACACCTTTGCTCCAGTTCCCAACAAGTTCCTTATCTCCAGCTGAGACCACTTCAGCGTGGATTTCATTGTCCATATAATTATCAGCATTTTGGTCAAAGCCATTCAAGAAGTCTCTAGGGAGTTCCAAACTTTCCCACATTTTCCTGTCTTCTTCTGAGCCCTCCAAACTGTTCCAAACTCTGCCTGTTATCCAGTTGCAAAGTCACTTCCACATTTTTGGATACCTTTTCAGCAGCGCCCCACTCTACTGGTACCAACTTACTGTATTAGTCCGTTTTCACACTGCTGATAAAGACATACCCAAGACTGGGCAACTTACAAAAGAAAGAAGTTTAATGGACTTATAGTTCTACATGGCTGGGGAGGCCTCACAGTCATGGTGGAAGGAAAGGAGGAACAAGTCCCATCTTATGTGGATGACGGCAGTCAAAGAGAGAGCTTGTGCAGGGAAACTTCCCCTTATAAAACTATCAGATCAACTGGGCTTGGTGGCTCATGCCTGTAATCCCAACACTTTGGGAGGCCAAGGCAGGTGGATCACCTGAGGTCGGGAGTTCAAGGCCAGCCTGATAAACATGGAGAAACTTCATCTCTACTAAAGATAAATAAATAAAAAATTAGCCAGGCGTGGTGGTGCATGCCTGTAATCCCAGCTACTTGGGAGCTGAGGTAGGAGAATTGCTTGAACCCAGGAGGCAGAGGTTGTGGTGAGCCAAGATTGCACCATTGCACTCCAGTCTGGGCAACGAGAGTGAAACTCTGTCTCACAAAACAAACAAACAAAAACACAAAAAACCATCAGATCTTGTGAGACTTATTCACTATCTCAAGAACAGCATGGGAAAGACCTGCCCCCAGATTCAAATACCTGCTACCGGGTCTCTCCCACAACATGTGGGAACTCAAGATGAGATTTGGGTGGGGACACAGCCAAACCATGTCATGCTCCCTCCACCCTCATGACCTCCTCCCTCTCAGGAGGGTTGGCCTCTTTCCCACGGCTCTGCTTCTCATTGGCCCAGGGGCTGGTAAGGTAGTGCCAGCATTCTCCCTCAGGGACAGGGTTCTCTGTTCAGCACAACAAAAGCACCTACAATTCAGGGAGGAGATCTGTCCCTAGCCAGCTTCCTCAGGGAGGAATTATTTTGAGCTTATCTAACACTCCCTGGGAGTCCTTAGGGCCTCTCCAGGCTGTGGCATTCCTGCATGTGAGTTTTTGGGTATTGGAGCAGATGTTGATCAGTGTTCAGAAATTGGGATATCCTGACAAAACATCACCTGACATTTCTGCTGGGCTTGGGCCTGAGTCCCTGTGGGTATCTGAGGACAGAGTGGCTGAAAGGTAAAGCAGGCCTCGTCTTTCATTCTTAGCTCTTCCTGCTACTTGAGTAGCAGGACCCAGCAACCCTGTCAAGATTGAGAAAAACACCAGAGGCAGAGCACTGGGGAAGAAGGAGGCCTGGTTCAACTTCAGCAAAATGGGGAGCTGAGGGCAAGAGCTGGGACTGGAAGACAAGGATTTTCCAGATAAAATGGCCTGGGAGGTACCCAGCTCCTTTCTTCTCCCTCCACGGGGTGTTTTCAGTTCCTGCCTACGTCTCCCCTCATATTCCCTGAATACCCTGCCCACTGGCCTCTAGGGCAGCCTGCACACTGCAGCAGGCGACCCCAATTACCCACTTGAAACCAGGCCTTTGGAACAAGTCCTGCTCTTTCCCAAAAGTGCTCTAAAGTATAAGTGTTGCCCAGGAACAACTGAACACATTTATACTCATGTTAGTACACAGCAGACTAATAATTTGAGATATTAACCAGAATGTTTTATTTTTTTCTGCCGCCACAACTGGGATTTGAACACTGAGATGTGATCCTGCCATTTGCCACTGGCAGAGTTGTCAGGCAAGGGCTAAACCTGTGGAAAACCTGCATGATTCCTGACTTTAGGGTTCCAAAGGCACCACCTCTAGTGAAACTAAAGAGACTTGAAAGGAAGCACAAGCAGGCAGAACAGGTTTCTGTCCCCAGGCCCCTCCGCACCCCAGACACACACCTACAGAAAGAGGACCGGCAGGAGAAGCAAGGGAGACAGTTCCAACAACAGTGTGTGAGCTACGGGTTTTATCCCCTACCTAAAGGAGCTAAAGGGGAAGGGTCCAATATGGAATTGCCTTGGTCCCTAGGGAACTTCCTGTCTAGGATGTTGGAAGATGCACAGATGTACCTGTGCCATCTGGGCAGGAGGAGGGGTGAAGAGGGCTGCATGGGCTCCTGAGGCACGGGACACCAGGCCTGAATGGTGATGGAGGGGACAGTGTTGTTGGGTAGAAGAAACTCAGGTAGCAGGAATCACTGAGAATGAGAGACGGGGTCTGCTTCACCTTTCTCTCAACCACTCAATTTGTTTGGGCAGAGCAGCAGGGCAGTGCCTGTCAGGAAGTCAAGAAGAAGAGGCACTGGTCTGAGGGGTGTCAGGTGGACTTCCTGCTAAGAGTCAGGGGAGCACAGCTGCTCCTCTGGTGGCTGTCATTGCCAAGGAGGAGAGGTGAGAAGTGAATCAGCAGGGACAGGCTGCTGAGATCTGCCCCAGGGAGGACCACACACTGTCTAAGCTGAAAGAAACAGGTGGGAAGAGGTCATAAGCCACAGCCATGAGCATAGCACCAAGAAGGATCCAGGACCAAGAAGCAGATCCGCCTCTCTCAGCTGCCAGTTATACGAGCCTCCCAGTGTGGAAGGGAAGCAGTTGCCTACATTCCTTGGAACTCAGTATTGAGCCTAGGGAAGGAGGAGAAGTGAAGGGCATTTTAACCTTGAATGTGAAATGTTTAGGAAGGCAAAAGGTAACTGCATATCCTTTTAATGCCGTACTGTAATGTTTAATAAGCCTACCTAAGGTCATCTGATGTTCTAGAAAAGTGGTTTCAAAGTATGGCTCAGAGACCCCTGACATCTCTGAAACCCTTTCAGAAACCCATGAGGTCAACTCTACTGTTGCAATAATAGGAAGATATTATTTGCCACCCATACAGGAACCTGACTTTGGATTGTTAGGAGATAAGAAATAGATTCTTTTTCTTGGGCACATAGGTAGACTGCATTTCCAGCCGCCCTGTGGTTAGATTATCCCTGTAACTGAGTCATAGCAATAGATTTTAGGCAGAAGTGATGCCCTCTACTCCCATACCTGGCCCTGAAGTCCTCCCATGGATGACTATCCGTGCTCTTTCTCCCTCTGGTTAGTTAACTGGAATAGATCCCCCTTTTCCCCACTCCATCTCCATGACAACTTTGGGAACTGCCTGTTGACAATGGCAGAGAAGGAGGCTGGATCCCTGAATCTCTGCTTAGGAGACAGCTACTCATACAAAGAGCCCCATGCTGGATAGTAAAGAAACAAGAAATAAACTTTTATTGTGTTAAATCACTGAGCCTTCAGAGTGTATCTGCTACTAACACAATGAGCACCACGCTATGAAGACTGAGACCACTTATCTGGAGTTAACTGCTGTTGTCAAGTCCAATGCATGGCAAATATAATCTGACAAATCCCTCATTTGTTTGGCAGCCCTTCAGGCTTTGACATCAGCTGTTATTGTGCTGCATGACAACTAGGCATTAATAATAAACATTTCACAAAAATGGTTGTAATAGCTTTTGCTTTTTAAAAGACAAACGAATTTCTTCCTCCTTTTCTCTCTCTAGTACCTATTCGTGGCATCAGTCAATTATTGCTTCTCTGTACATTATCATGCTTAAAAGTATGGCGTCAATAAGTGTATAATATCTAGGACTGGTGGTTTGATAATCCTTCTTCAGTCTAGGCTGGAAGTCACATTATGGCTGTGAAGGGTGGCAGAAAATGCCACCCCAAAATACAGCATAAGGATTATTTTGAGCTGAAGGCAATTGAGAAGAAACAGACACATAAAAAGCTCTCTGCCCTCCCCTTATTTGCCTAAAAGCAGAACATAAATTTGTAAAGGTGTCCCCTCTCCCGTCTCTAACAGGAAAGACAGAAATTAATCACCAGAGACAACTCTAGGTCCTTATGGCCCAGAGAAATCTCCACAAACCTTGCTAAAACTAAACCTTATCTACTTTCCATGTATTTGCACACAATTGCCACTCCTAGAAGCTCAAAGTCCTTTTCTTTTGTCTTGTTGCTTTCTTTTTTTCAAAACTCTTCTTTGCTAAGATGCTCTCTAAGCCCAAGTTCTAACTCCCCTTTGGAGTTACTCATCACTGGGTGCTCCCAGGTGTATGCGTGATACACATGTTAGTAAACTTATGTTTGTTTTACTCTTGCTAATACGTCTTTTGTCCATCTAATTTGCTGGGCCCTAGCCAATTAACCTAAGATAGGTAGAGAGAAAACATTTTTTTCTTCTCCACAACTGGAACTTGCCTTCAGGTCTGAGGTCCCCACTTTATGTTTGGGAGTAACAAATTGGAGCCTAAGAACACATCCACCAGGATGGAGAAGGGGTTCAAAGCTGCCCTAGGGGAGACCGCTGAGGGACTAAGAGAAAAAGAAAACTCAGGGAAGACACAGCAAGGATCTTAACCTACAGTATTTGAAAAGCTGTCACGTTGAAGAGGGATTAGATTTACAATCACCCCATAGGGCAGAAACAAAACCAACCAGCTGAACGCTCCCTAGGAGAAATATTTCAATAAAGAAAGAACTTTCTAACAGGGCAAGAATATCCACAAATGGAAGTGACTTTGGAGTGAGAAAATAATTTATTGCTGATGTAAAGGAAGAAAGGGGAGGGAGGGAAGAAGAAAGGGAAAAACAGAGGCTTCCTCCTTCTTACGGAAGTAAGAACTTACCCATTTCATTTGAAGGCTGGAAGCAGTTTTCTGCCTTGGGTTAACTTGGAGGCAGACTGCTTCATTGTTCTGGAAAAGAACACCCTTTGGTTATGCAAATATAGAACAATGACCCTTTTCTAGAATGACAGGTTTGAGAGCCTGGCTCTTGGGAACTAAACTACAGTGCATAATAATGAAAAATGTATCTCTTTTTTTGTGGGAAAAATCGCATCTGTACTATCGTGTTTCTGATAGAAAAATATTTCTTTCCTAAACGTGGATTTAGATAACATGCACTATTTATATATTGTGACTTGTCCCTGTGGAAGTGTGAATGTGTGTTCCTGCCCCAGCAGTTTGCTCAGAGGAGACTCAGAAGATGGTGGGAGTCCAGGGGTGGTGGGACATCTTAGACTATTGATGTCTCATTCACTTGCCGAAATGAGAGAACCAGATAGGGGGAAAGTACTGGTGAGGAGTTTTCAGCTTTTGATGGATTCATTTTGAGGGTCTGGGGCAATGTTTCTTACAGCCTGGTTCAAGAAAGCTATATTCACCTCAAAGAATAACTGTAGAACAAACATCTGCATAATTGGTCACCAGTCAGAATACAACATTGATAGTAACATCAAAGACCCTGTGTGTGTGTCTTCCAATCACATCTCCTCCCTTTCCTATAGAGGTAACTACCATGATAATTTTTGATTAGTCTTCTCTTTCTTGTCTTAATACTTTTAACATCTATGTATCCCTAAAATCATTTTCTTAGTTTTGCCTCATGAGTCATCCATGTTGATGTTTGTTGCAGTGTTTCATGCCTTTGTAGTGCTATTATTTCATATATGATAACTTATTTGTCCAATTTACAGTTGAAGGACGTTTGAATTATTTCCAGTTTTTAAAAAAGAATTAAGACAATGGTGCTATGGCACCTGGTGCACATGTGCAAGAACTTTTCTAGAGCCTCGGTTTTCAAAATGTAGTCCCAGCATCAGAGCACCCGGGAACTTCACGAGAAATGCAAAATCTCAATTGCTGCATCAGACTTGAATTAGAAACACTGGCAGAGGGGCCCAGCAATCTGTGTTTTTTTTTTTTTTTTTTTTTTTTTTTTTTTTTTGAGACGGAGTCTCGCTCTGTCGCCCAGGCTGGAGTGCAGTGGCACGATCTTGGCTCACTGCAAGCTCCGCCTCCCGGGTTCACGCCATTCTCCTGCCTCAGCCTCCCGAGTAGCTGGGACTACAGGCGCCCGCCACCACGCCCGGCTAATTTTTTTTGCATTTTTAGTAGAGACGGGGTTTCACTGTGTTAGCCAGGATGGTCTCGATCTCCCGACCTCGTGATCGGCCCGCCTCGGCCTCCCAAAGTGCTGGGATTACAGGCGTGAGCCACCGCGCCCGGCCACAATCTGTGTTTTAACAAGCCCACTGGGTGTGCTAATGGCAGGTGAAAGTTTGAGAACCACGCCCTAGGATATGGATGTAGAAGTAAGATTGCTGAGCTCATGTTCACATTTCCAGATAAAGTCAGTCTGTTTTCCAAAGTAGTTGTGCCAGTTTACACTTTGCCAACAGTGTATGAGAGTCCCTGTTTTTCCATAACCTTGCCAACACTCAGTTTTATCAGTCTTTTTTACTTTAGCCATTCTGGTGAGAATTAAGTTATACTTCGTTGTGGTTTTAATTTGCATTTAACTTTTCAGTAAATGAGATTAGTCAATGTATCAGTCAGAGTCCCAGCAGAAAAATATGATACATTCAACTCAGGATAACTGTGTGTGTGTGTGTGTGTGTGTGTGTGTGTGTGTGTGTGAGAGAGAGAGAGAGAGAGAAAGGGAGAGAGACAGAGAGAGAGAGAGAGAGAAGGGTTAAGATAGGTGTGAGCATGTGAAGAGAAATAGTAGAGATGGTGCAAAAACTCAAGACTAGCAGCAGTAAGTCTGTCACTATCCTTAGGCCAAAAAGATGGAGATAGAATTTCATAGAGTTGGCCACCATTCGAGAAGCACTGACCTTCTGTGAAGAAAAGAGCCAATCCAAGGCAACTGCTCTCAGGGAGCAACTAGCTCACTCTTTTTCTGTCTCTGAATTCCCAAGGGACTCCTCATAGCCAGGAGATGTTTGATGAATCTGGAGGAGCAAACAGATTTTTTTGCGGCAAGAGACCCATTTATGAAGCAGAGAGTGCACCCTCACCAGACTTAGAATCTGCTGGCATTTTGATCTTGGATTCCCAGCTTCCAGTACTCTGAGAAATAAATTTCCATTATTTATAAATTACCCAGTCTATATGGCTGGCACATAGAAGGCTCTCAATAAATATTTGTGAATGTTTGTTGAATAAATCCTTATTTTACAAACATGGAATGGAAACACTGAGCATTAAGCAGCTTACTTAAAGTCACCCAGTGAGTAAGTGGCAGAGCTGGGATTCCAGCCTACACTCTGACCACTGTGCTCTCTGTCTCTGAGGCTGGTGCTGTACTACACAAATAGTAGTATAGCACAATAGTATAGTGCTATACTATTTGTATAGAGAGTATACTATTTGTATAGTATAGCACTGTACTATTTATGTACATTAGAAACATAGCAATACAGCACCTTTTTTTTTCAGAAATAATGCACATTCAAGGACTCAGGCAAAACATATTTGAATGGGTGTCTATGTGGAAGGGAGAGAAAGAAGAGTTGAAATTAGAAATGAAGGGAAGGAAGGCCAGGCATGGTGGCTCACGCCTGTAATCCTAGCACTTTGGGAGGCTAAGGCAGGCGGATCACTTGAGATCAGGAGTTCGAGACCAGCCTGGCCAACATGGTGAAACCTCCTGTCTACTAAAAATATAAAAAATTAGTTGGGCATGGTGGCGGGTGCCTGTAATCCCAGCTACTTGGGAGGCTGAGGCAGGAGAATTGCTTGAACCCAGGAGGTGGAGGTTGTAGTGAGCCAAGATCGTGCCACTAATCATTTCTCTAATGATTAATGATGTTGAACATCTCTTTTCATGTCTTTTTTCTTCTTAAAGATGAGTATGTTTGTAAAGTGATGCAAATGACCCAGTAAAGCAAGAGCTTGGTGATGCAGGAGGTATCACGGATCTCTGCAGGGGCCATGTCCACAAGGAGGAGCAAAAAAGACTGAGGTCTACACTTCAAACCAAGGGTGAGGCTTTGATTATGGCAAGGACACTTCGACCTACTTACCTGGCCTGAAGAAGAGGAGGTACGTGGGAATGCAGGCTGGATTCTAGATTTGGTGATGGGAAGATGAGACCATTCCTATTTGAAACCTTCTATTTTTTCCATGTAGTAAGAGGTGAGTTCACCTGCTGAAGAGGGTGCAGTGGCAGAAAATGTAGAAAGTCTAAAGTAAGAACAAGAAGATATGAGTTAGTTACTCCAGAGAGTGGGAAACGGTCAGTGTTGAGGGAAGCTTTGAGCACTCTGGTCAGGCTTCTGGTCATGAATTCAAAGTGTGAGGGTCAGCCTGGCATAAGATTTTCTTTAGAAATATTTTATCTGGCCAGGTGCGGTGGCTCACGCCTGTAATCCCAGCACTTTGGGGGGCCGAGGTGAGCGGAACAGGAGTTCGAGACCAGCCTGACCAACATGGTGAAACCCTGTCTCTACTAAAAATACAAAAAAATTAGCTGGGTGTCGTGGTGTGCGCCTGTAATCCCAGCTACTTGGGAGACAGGAGAATCGCTTGAACCCGGAGGCAGAGATTGCCGTGAGCTGAGATCGCGCCACCGCACTCCAGCCTGGGTGACAGAGTGAGACTCTGTCTCAAAAAAAAAAAAAAGAAATATTTTATTTAGGCACATTGGATACAGGCAAGGAAAAACAGTTATTGAGGTTGTCAGAGAGAGGTTTTTGCCAAAAGAGAAAGGATGAGGAAATGGAGGGTATTTGTGAGGTAGTGTTTATCAGGGTGGGCTTTGGGCTGTAAGTCGGATCAGGAATGCAGTGAAGACAAGAGGCCTGCTAAAGAGTGACACATGATGTGTCTCAATGTAATTAAAGAGTCACAGCCAAAAGGGCACTAGAGCAAGTGGAAGAGAAGGACAGGAAATTAGTTGAGATTTTTTTTAAAGTCTACTTTGTTTTTTAGAGTTTTAGATCCACAGCAAAACTGAACAGAAAGTACAGAGCTTTCCCATATACCCTCTGCCCTCATATGTGCACAACCAACCCTGCTATCAACACACCCCACCAGAGTGGTACATTTGTTACAAGTGAAGAACCTCCAGATGAACCTCCATTGACACATCATTATCACCTTGATACAGGTTGGACATTTGTCCCCTCCACATCTCATGCTGAAATCTGATCCCCAATGCTGGAGGTGGGGCCTAGTGG
Organism: Homo sapiens; assembly: GCF_000001405.40. Lineage (NCBI taxonomy): Eukaryota > Metazoa > Chordata > Mammalia > Primates > Hominidae > Homo > Homo sapiens. Next base: position 116,828,203 of record NC_000001.11, on the reverse strand, counting down.
GAGGTGTTTGGATCATGGGTGAATCCCTCATGAAGGCTGTGGTGCCGTCCTCATGGAAATAAGTAAGTTCTTGCTTTATTAGTTCTAGTGAGAGCTGGTTGCTAAAAATGAGAGATGGCAACTCATCTTTCTTTCTTGCCATATAATCTCTGCATGAGCTGGCTCCCCTTTGCCTTCTACCATGAGTGGAAGCAGCCTGAGGCCCTCATTATAAGCAGATGTTGGCGCCATGCTTCCTGTACAGCCTACAGAGCTCTGAGCCAAATAAACCTCTTTGTAAATTACCCAGCCCAGGTAAGACACACCCAAAGTCCATAGTTCACATTAGGGTTCACCCTTGGTGTTGTATATTCTGTGGGTCCTGACAAAGGTATAATGACATGTATACTCCAGTAGGGTATCACACAATATCGTTTCACTGCCCTAAAAATACTTTATACTCAACCTCTTCATCCCTCCCTTCTCCCAAACCTCTGGCAAACACCTTTCCTTTTAATCTCCATAGTTTTGTCTCTTCCAGTGCCATTTAGTTGGAATTATACAGCATGTAGCCTTTTCAGGTTGGCTTCTTTCATTTACAGTCCCTCCATGTCTTTTCATGGTCTAGTGGGGATTTCTGAGAGGGAAATTTCAGAGCTGGTGTTCTTCTTGGTGATGACAAAGTCTAAGCTGATTACAGGTATCGGTGGCTGAGACGAAGTGAAGGAAAAGGTTGCTGGAGGTGAACAGATGGAGGAAACCAGAGGCCAGGACGTTGGATGAGTCATCCTCGTGGTTCTGAAGTGAGTGAACCATCCCACTGTCAATCACCCTTGGAAGAGATAATGCCTGAGACAGGAAATGAGGCCTAAGAGGGACAAGAAGAGTTGCAGTTTCCTTTCCATGAGCCTTAAGAAGTGGAGCTCAGGGCTTTGTGCAGGGGTGCTGGGGTGAGAGGCTCTACGTAGGCTGTAAGTGATTGCAGAGCTCAGACATGGGGAGAGAAAGGTTGGCTTCTTCCTGAGTGAACAGGCTGGGAGGTGGACAGGATGGCATTCTATAAGCAGGCGAGGATTGCAGATTCTGTCTTCTCCTCTCTCTGACATGAAGGTTTATGCTATTTTTGTGGCTGTGTTGTAATACCCTTAACCTAAGCTTTAGGTACGAATCTTGTTAAAGATTAACAGTTTGGTTTTTGCTGTCATGGTGGGGAATGGAGGGAAGGACCTGTGGCCAGCTTGAGAGAGTCAGAAGAAAGCTGCTCCCAAGTGTGGTTGAAGGACTGCAGTGGAGTAAGCTGTGGCTGGAGACAGGGCCCGGCCAAGGGGGCTGGGCCAACCAGGGAAGACTTCGAGGGATGGGAGTTACCTCAGAAATACATGGGGTGAAATGTGAGGGAAAAACAAGTTTCCTGTAGTCAAAGGAGGCTAGGATAGGTTCCATCCCTTGTTTTAAAATAAGACAGTGACAGAGTTGTTTAGACAAATGCTGGTACAGACCTTACATTTGGATTATACTTGCATAAACAAGTGCCTGCCCCTCTTCCTCTTCATACCCTCTTCAAGTGACTTATTTTGTGGTCCTTTTCCCTCAAAGCTGCTCCTGAAGTTCATTTGCATACCATTTCTCAGTAGACAGAATGGGAGTCAGGGAAGCACCTCC